>NC_000004.12:43148440-43457864 GCF_000001405.40 Homo sapiens | reverse complement strand
TCCAAGTGGGATTGGCTAAGACCATTGCTGGCTCTGGATTACAGCACGACATTTCCCTCTGCCTAATCCTTTTCCCCTCCTTTGCTATCCACAGGTGTTGATCCCAAGGGCTCGCATAGAAAACACGTGCACATTAAACTCAGTATCCTAATCTGCTTGTAGACAAATGTTACCTGCAACATCCAGTGGAAGAGAGTAGGAATTCGGGAAGATTAAAGTTGCCACCATTGCAGAGAAAAATCATTATTGAGCCGGGTCTCAAATTTATTATTATTACCATTTTCCACATACTGGTGTCCGAAAATAAACCTGAAATAAATGCTTAAGAAAAAAAATCATTTGAGTACTGTCTTTTATCTATACACTCAGAGCCAAATACACTTTTGAAAATTAATTTCTTGGAATAGAGTAGCCTAAAATACTTATGCATTTTATATGAATAAAAATGAGAAGCAGTATATTTATATCAGCTTTTCTTTAGAAAAAAACATGATTTTATTTACAGACCTATTTTCATTGTGATTAATTTGAAACTATCTTCCAAAACTTCCAGTTGTTCTTAATACCTCTGTGTTTTCAGTTCCAGCTGCAAGATAAAAAGTTGTAAGATTCTATATCTTTTACATCACCATTTCTTCCCACAACACACACACACACACACACACACACACACACACACACATACTTTGAGGTAGATTTGAGTGACTTTTAAAATCAATTTAGTTGAAGAAAGGTCAAGAGGAATTATATGATGTTAAAAAATAACAGTTTAAGAAATTTAGTAAGAAAAAGAAGAAATTAGTGCCATCTAGCATATCAGTATGGACTAATTATTGTGAGTTTGTTATTTTGAGTTATATGGCTCTGAGGCTAGGTGTCAGTCAGAGTTTCAGGATACAAATAACATAATCCCTAGCCGATTTAAGTATAAAAGAATCTTCAGATGGAATAATTCAGGCTTATATGGGAAATAGCCAACAAAGTCCAATTTGTACCTAATGGCTGCCCTGGTAAGAACCTAATTCCTCTGTCACTTGGCACAGACATTGTTGCAGCTTGCACCACTGAGGCAGGACACTGGATATGAGAAATTCTGCTTCCACTTCCTCAGAAAGCCAGACACTGTGTGAGAAGCTAAAAGCCATGCTGTTTCTGCATTCTCCCTTTGCTTTCTTCTTGAGCAGACTGAGGTGGTGTGACTTATTAGTGAAGTCTGTTTCACATGAGTAGGAAGAACTTGGAAAGTGAGTTTCCGGCTTCTAACTTAAGGAGCTAATGCTCATATTACAGGAAATTCCATAGATATTAGAAATTCATTCCAAAGTTGGCCACCAGTCATGGCAAATAGCCACAAGATCTACACCAAATTTTCCTGCCAGTTGGTGTCTGAAAAGCATGCAAACAAACAAAACCTGCTTCGATAAGTTTAGGCTATTTGTTTAAATATCTTAAACCTTTAATATATACTTAATAATACTGTGCTAAGCAAGTGGGAGGATTGGCTTGTCACACCAAAGGTGGTGTATTTGGAAATGCCATGAAAGAAGAGATGGTGACTTTTCTGGAGATTTGGAATGTAAGCCATGCTTCAATATAAAAGTGCTATAAGGACTGAGTTGAAAAGTACATATGTTTTAGACAAATTGGAAAAGTTGTGTGTGTGTGTGTTTATGTTTCTTTATATGTATGATAGAAGGTTGCTGAGAAATGGGAACAGAGAGCAGAAGAAAGGATTTGTTAAGAGTAAGGGCAGTGCTAGGTAGATTAGGTAATGGGATACAATCAGTTTAAGAAAGGATGAGCTACAGAATAAAGGTTAAAGCAGTTATGATAGTCGATCTTTTTCTAGGGTGTAACTTTCATTTTAGTTTTTCAGGATGAATAAAAAATTGTACTGCCTTTTACATCAGCTTGATATACAAAATAAAAGTATTGCTTCTTATTTGCAGAAAGTTATGAGAGAGTACTTAGCATTACGACAACTGTGCCACTTAGCTATGCCCCAGTGCCAGGTTGACTCCCAAGGATAGCTATGGGGTTTCGGGAAGTCTATAGGTGGCAGAGAAAACCAACAAGTAAGAGACACATTTATCTTCTGAGATAAGCAAGAAGACAAATAGGTATGGAAACTTTGAAGAATGAAATTTTCCATATATCCATATATAACCACTCCCATTGTGGCTAGGGAGAGCAGCAAATAAGAAACTGTTGTTTGAAGAAAAGGACTAGATAGAAACATTGAGGGAGATGATGAGGTCACGACACAGTCAGCAGTGGGCAATTGAAACTCTAAATTGAGGGAAACTGCCAGGTTAATAACTCCTGCACACACTGGGTATTTAGAGTTCAGTTGCAGAGACTTCTAGAAAATAGATTTATTTTCCTCCTAGAGTTTGAATGAAAGTCCCTGTTCTGAGGGACTAGGATGCTGTCCTATGATTAGGCACAAGCTAGTGACCAAAATCATCAAGTTCTACTGGAAATTGTGACTATTGAAAAAAATAGTTTAATCTTTCAGAAGAAATAGACTCTTGGGGAAGTGGACATAAAAGTACCTTGTAAGAAAAAAAAGCCAAGTTGACAGATTTGGAAGCTCCACGTATAATAAGGGAAAAGAGGATAAATTTAGCAACAAGAAAAAGCATGGCATAATGGAAAGCGTCTCTGCACAAAATTCCGAACAGCATCCTGATTAAACAGAGAACTCAAGATGACAACAGTGCAGGAGAAAAGCTGATAGTAGAAATGAAAGTGGAGCCTGGCTTCTTTAACTTGGCATAACCTCCCCCAGTTCCATCTATGTTGTCTCAAACAGCGAGATACTACGTGATCGCACTTATATGTGAAATCTAAAACAGTTGATCACGTAGAAACAGAGAGCAGAAAGATGGTTTCCAGAGGCTGGCAGGGAGAGGGTGGGATAGGGAAAGGGAAGATGTTGATCAAAGGATATAGAGTCTCAGACTGGAAGAATAAGTTTTAGTGATCTACTGCACTGCAGGCGACCACAGTTAATAAAGATGTATTATAGATTACAAAATTGCCAAAAGAAGAAACTTTTAACCCTCTCACCACAAGAAAATAAGTTGGTGAGGTGATGTTAGGTTAAGTAGCTTATTGACTCTTTCTACTACTACATGTATAGATCAAAGCATCACATGGCACTCCATAAATATATCAATTATTATTTGTCTATTAAAATAAATTTTAAAACATGAAAATTGAGAAAAATAGATAAGAAGTATTTCAGATAATAGATCAAGTTTTAAAATGCCATTTTAAGCACCCAAATGCAAGTATGCTTCATACCTGTTATCTAATATTTGAAATAGAAAGTACCATTTTTTAAATTGCACTCATTTTAGAATATTTGTCACAATTGTGTTTTTGCAGAACCACATTACTAATGTATATAGTAGGTAAGCCAATTTGATTTTATCTTCACATTACTATGGACTATAACATCCTTAGGAGAGGTTCTAGAACAAGTTCTTCTTAGATGGAATTTTATATGATAATGAGTCTCAAAATTTAACATTATAGTTTGCTTGAGCTTTAATTACTCCTAGAAAATCTTAAGGTAATAATTTTAAATTTCTACGAATATAAGTTTAATTTGCTTATTAGCCAATTTTTATATTTTAACTTAAATGAATGAAGAAAATTCTATTCTTTTGTATAATAGTAACTTATAGAGCAGGCTAAGCTAGTCTGTATCCTTCAAAATTTGTCCCTGTCTACAATACACAGAAGCTGATGAGATTTTTAGCCACCATTCAGCATTTGTGTATGTACTAATTCTTGAATACTTTTTGTGCCAGAATCTGTGTTATTTGCTGTATAATTGCACTTTAAAGTTATGCTGTAAAAGTGACTAATATTAGTAAAAGAGACATTCGTATGTCTTATACATTCTATAATATTAGGAAAAGAATTGACAATCCATGACAAAAAGGACTTCCAAAATAGGAAGCAGTCATGAGAAATAGAGGCATAGAAAACCAGATATTGGTGGAACGGGTAACAAAGAAAGTAAGAACAAGAAGAAAATAAGTGAAATTTTCAAACAATAATGAAAATTTGCCGCTACCTCAGTACAGAGTAGAAAAATTTAGCTTGTGTTTCTGTGTGTATGCCTGTGTATACGTGTGAATGTAAAATACATACGTTTGCTCTTTCTGTCAGATTATTTTCTGATAAGGGCCTGAATCTATATTTATTCCAATAAATTGATATAGGGATTTATAAAAAGGTGCTGTTATTGAAAAACAGAAACTAGAAAATATGGAAAGAAGGTTTAAAATCTTTAACACTTAAAACCTAAAACTCATGACTCTTAGCTATTATTTTCTAGGACAATCTTAGCTTAAGTTAAAAACGGAAACAGCTAGGAATGTATAGCTGTTTTGCTTTGCTCTGCAGGAGTATCCAAAAACCTCAATCCTTAGAAATATCAGGGCATAGAAACTGTCCTTGTTGCCTTAGATCTGAGAAGGCAATGACAGTCAGTTTTGCAATGACATGAAAAGGCAAATGCTTCTTTCTCCATGGAGTGGCCATGCAGCTTTCTTGGCTATATACTCTTCTGGAGATTTTAAGCACCAGGCTTAGACTCTCCAGTGCAGTTACAAAAACCAAAGGAGAGGGAGGATGTGATGGTTAATACTGAGTGTCAACTTGATTGGATTGAAGGTTGCAAAACTTTGATCCTGGGTGTGTCTGTGAGAGTGGTGCCAAAGGAAATTAATATTTGAGTCAGTGGGCTGGGAAAGGCAGACTCACACTTAATATGGGTAGTTACCATCTAATCAGCTGCCAATGTGGCTAGAATATAAAGCAGGCAGAAAAATGTGAAAAGACTAGACTGGTCTAGCCTCCCAGCCTATATCTTTCTCCCCTGCTGGATGCTTCCTGCCCTCAAACATCGGAATCCAAGTTCTTCAGTTTTGGGACTCAGACTGGCTCTTCTTGCTCCTCACTTTGCAGATGTCCTATTGTGGGACCTTGTGATCATGTGAGTTAATAAATTCCCCTTCATATATATATTTAATATTATATATTGAATATATTATATATTAAAAATATATTTAATGTTATAAATTTATACTATAATTTATAATATTATTATTGTAAATATTATAATACAAATATATAATATATATTAAATATATAATATATATTTAATATATATGTTAAATATATAATATATAATTTATTTATATATTATATATAATTATATATATTATATATAGTAGTATATAATACATTATCGTATATATGATATATTATACAATTAATTAATATATAATTAATTATATATTTTAATATATAATTAATTATATGTATTTTAATATATATAATTAATTATACATATTTTAATATGTATAATTATATATATTTTAATATGTATAATTAATTATATATATTTTAATATATATAAAATATAAATATATATAAATATGTATAAATAAATATATAATACAAATAATAATATATAATTAATTATATATAAATATATAAATACAATTAATTATATAATATATAATATATATTATATCATTAATTATATATAATTAATTATATAATTTATATATTACATATAATTAATATATAGTATATTATTATATATAAATAATATATATTAATATATATTATATATTAATATATATTAAATATTATTAATAAATAATAATACATATATTAAATATTATTAATAAATAATAATACATATATTATATATTATTAATAAATAATAATACATATATTATATATTATTATATATCTAAATACATACATTATATATTATTATATATAATTACATATATTATATATTATTATATATAATAATATATATTATATATTATTATATATAATAATATATATTATATATTATATCTATTAATTAATATATATAATAATATATATTATATATTATTATATATTTAATTAATATATATTATTATATATTATTTATATATGATAATATATATTATATATTATTATATATTTAATTAATATATACTACATATCATCATATATTTAATTAATATATTATATATTATTATATTAATTATATATAATTAATTTATATTAATTAAATTAATTATAAATAATATATATAATTATATTAATTATATTACATAATTTATATATAATATGATTAATATAATTATATAAATAAGACTATATAATTAATATATATAATATTATATATTATATGTTATATAATTAATTATATTTATATATTCATATGTAATTAATTATATATATTTATATTTTAATATATATAAATATATATAATTAATTATATATAAATTAATTATATAATATGTTATATTATATATTAATTATATAATATATGATATATATCTTAATTATATAATATATTATATTTTATAATTAATATATATTAATTATATTATATATTAATTGTATATATAATAATATATATTAATTATATAATATATAATCTAGTATATTATACATTAAATATATAATAGATTATTACATTAAATATATAATATTATTATATTAAATATATAATAATATATTATTATATTAAATTTAATACTAATATATTAGTATTAAGTATATAATAATATATCATTATATATTTATATAATGATATATTATTATTAATTAATAATAATATATTATTATATTAATTCATAATATCATATATGATATATAATTAATTATATAATATCATATATTATATAATATTATATTATATATTATATCATATATAATATTATATATTATATCATATATAATATTATATATTATATCATATATAATATTATATATTATATCATATATAATATTATATATTATATCATATATAATATTATATATTATATCATATATAATATATATGATAGAATATATTATGTATTATATTATATTATAGAAATAATATTATATATTATGTATTATGTATAATATATAAATAATATATAGTATAATATATAATATATGTGATATAATATATATTATATATTATATATAATATATATAAATAATATATATTATATATTATATATAATATATATAAATAATATATAATATATATTATATTATATTATATGTTAAATATATATTATATATAATATAATAAGTATATTTATAATATATATTTAATAATATATATATTAAATGCAGATTAAATGCAGGGACTCTGCATTTAATGTTACAGCTCGGGGGATTATGAAAGTTCTAACAGTTTATTTGCTTGGTTAGCTGCAAAAGATGGCTCACTGTGAGCAAGCTGGAAATGCCTAATCTCCCTTGGTCTAATGTAGAGTAAGGGGTCAAAAGGCTTAGGATGGGCCTGCCACGGTGGTTCATGCCTGTACTCCCAGCACTTTGGGAGGCCATGACAGGTGGATTGCTTGAGGTCAGGAGTTTGATACCAGCCTGGCAAACATGGTGAAACTCCATCTCTACTAAAATACAAAACTCAGCCAGGCATCGCGACGCATGCCTCTAATCCCAGCTACCAGGGAGGCTGAGGCAGGAGAATTACTTGAACCCAGGAGGCGGAGGCTGAGACAGGAGAACTGCTTGAACACAGGAAGTAGAGGTTGCAGCGAGCCGAGATCATGCCACTGCACTCCAGCCTGGGCGACAGAGTGAGACTCTGTCTCAAAAAAAAGAAACAAAAGATTGGGATGGTGGAGTGGATTAGTCACTTTAGTCCTACTCATCCCAGCTGGAATGATCCAGAAGATATACCAGTGACCAATGCCTTGTGAAATAGATTCATAAGGACAGCACCTGCATCTTTGAAGAGCCCTGTAATTGCTCTTCTCTATATGTCAGATCTAACAATGGGAACCACAGTCACTCAATTACAAAATTTAAATACAGTGGAAATAATTGTATCCTGAGGTGGCAGGGCCCAAGTGGGATCACTTTACCATCAAAGGCAAGGTGGGCATAGCTACCATAATGGACAGCAGAAACAAAGCAGCTATCAGAATAGTCTGACTCGTGTAGCGCTCTGGCATTGGCTAATCACAATTCTCCTGAAGTTAAATTGATGGGAAGCCTACTGCATTCCTACTTAATTTATATAAGCAGAAAACTTCCAGGTCGAATGGACAAAAGACTAATTTGAATTATAAAAAGAGAATCATGGCCTTTCAATAAATTTCCAGACTTAAGCCAGTTTACAGTCACAAAACCCCTTGAATGAAGGGGAGTCTGGGTCCCCTAGAGGAAGGACCACACTACAGTATTGACAATTTATGCAGTGAATCTTTCTTCCATTCTTCCCCAAGGAAGCCTCTGGCCATTCACCAGGGTAACTGTGCATTGGGGGAAGGGAAATGATCAGACATTTTGGGGACTACTGGACACTGGCTCTGAGCTAACGTTGATTCCAGGAGACCCAAAACATCACTGTGGTACTCCAGTTAAAGTAGGGGCTTGTGAAGGTCAGGTAATTAATGGTGTTTTAACTCATGTCTGACTTACAGTGGGTCCAGTTGGTCCCCAGACTCATCCTGTGGTAATTTCCCCAGTGCCAGAATGCAAAATTGGCATAGACATACTTAGCTGGCAAAACCCACACATTGGCTTCCTGACTGGTAGGGTGAGGGCTGTTATAGTGGGAAAGGCCAAATGAAAGCCATTAGAGCTGCCTCTACCTAGAAAAATAGTAAATCAAAAACAATATTGCATCCCTGGAGGGACTGCGGAGATTAGTGCCACCATCAAGGACTTGAAAGATGCAGGGGTGGTGATTCACACCACATCACCATCAAACTCTCCCATTTGGCCTGGGCAGGAGAGAGATGGATTTTGGAGAATGACAGTGGATTATTGTAAGCTTAACCAAGTGGTGATTCCAATTGCAGCTGCTGTACCAGATGTGGTTTTATTGTTTGAGCAAATTAACACATCTCCTGGTACCTGGTATGCAGCCATTGACTTAGCAAATGCCTTTTTCTCCATTCTTGTCCATAAGGCCCACCAGAAGCCATTTGCCTTCAGCTGGCAAGGCCAGCAATATACCTTTACTGTCCTACAACAGGGGTATATCAACTCTCCGGCTTTGTGTCATAATCTTATTCAGAGAGACCTTGCTTTTCACTTCTGCAAAATATCACACTAATCTATTACATTGATGACATTATACTGACTGAATCCAGTGAGCAAAAAGCAGAAAACACACTGGACTTATTGGTGAGACATTTGTGTGCCAGAGGATGGGAAATAAATCCAAGTAAAATTCAGGGACCTTCTACTTCAGTAAAATTTCTAGGGGTTCAGCGGTGTGGGGCCTGTTGAGATATTCCTTCTAAAATGAAGGATAAGTTGCTGCATTTGGCCCCTCCTACAACCAAGAAAGAGGCACAATGCCTAGGGGGCCTATTTGGATTTTGGAAGCAACATATTCCTCATTTGGGTGTGTTAATATGGCCCCATTTATTAAGTGACCCAAAAGGCTGCTAGTTTTGAAAGGGGTCCAAAATAGAAGGCTCTGCAATAGGTCAAGGCTGCCATGCAAACCGTTCTGCCACTTGGGCAATACGACCCAGCAGATCCAATGGGTGCTCGAGGTGTCAGTGGCAGATAGGAAGGCTGTTTGGAGCCTTTGGCAGGCCTCCATAGGTAAATCACAGTGGAGGCCTCTGGGATTTTGGAGCAAGGCCCTGCCATCTTCTGCAGATAACTACTCTCCTTTTGGGAGACAGCTGTTTGCCTGTGACTGGGCTTTGGTGGAAACTGAACGTTCGACTATGGATCATCAAGTCACCATGCGACCTGAACTACCTATCATGAACTGGGTGCTTTCTGACCAATCTAGCCATAAAGTGGGTCATGCACAGCAGCATTACATCATCAACTGGAAGTGGTATATATGTGATTGGGCTTGAGCAGGTCCTGAAGGAACAAGTAAGTTACATGAGGAAGTGGTTCAAATGCCCATGGTCTTCACTCCTGCCACCCTTCCTTCTCTCCCCTAGCCTACACCAATGGCCTCATGGGGAATTTCTTATGATCATTTGACAGAGGAAGACAAGACTAGGGCCTGCTTCACAGATGGTTCTGCATGATATGCAGGCGCCACCCAAAAGTGGGCTAGGATATCTCTGAAGGGCAGCAGTGAAGGGAAATCCTCACAGTGGAAAGAACTTTGAGGAGTGCACCTGGTCGTGAGCTTTGCATGAAAAGAGAAATGGCCAGATATGCTATTATATACTGATTCATGGGCTGTAGCCAATGGTTTGACTGAGTGGTCTGGGACTTGGAAGAACCACGATTGGAAAATTGGTGACAAAGAAATTTGAGGAAGAAGTATGTGGATGGATTTCTTTGAGTGGTCAAAGACTGTGTAAATATTTGTATCCTATGTGAATGCTCACCAACAAGTGACCTGAACAGAGAAGGATTTTAATAATCAATCAAGTGGATAGGAGGACCTGTTCTGTGGACAACACTCAGCCTCTTTCCCCAGCCACCGCTGTCATTGCCTCATGGGTCCATGAACAAAGTCGCCATGGTGGCAGGGATGGAGGTTATGCATGGGCTCAGCAACATTGACTTCCACTCAGCAAGGCTGACCTGGCTATGGCCACTGATGAGTTCCCAATTTGGCAGCAGCAGAGACCAACACTGAGCCCTTGATATGGCACCATTCCTTGGGATGATCAGCCAGTTATCTGGTGGCAGGTTGATGACATTGTACCTCTTTCATCATGGAAAAGGCAGAGGTTTGTCCTCACTGGAATAGACACTTACTCTGGATATGGGTTTGCCTATCCTCCATGCAATGCTTCTGCCAAGACTACCATCAGTGGTCTCACAGAATATTTTATCTACTGTCTTGGTATTCCACACAGCATTGCCTCTGACCAAGGCACTCACTTTACGGCTAAAGCAGTGTAGCAGTGGACTCATGCTCATGGAATTCTCTGGTCTTACCATGTCTCCCATTATCCTGAAGCAGCTGGATTGATAGAACAGTGGAATGGCCTTTTGAAGTCACAATTACAATGCCAACTAGGTGGCAATACTTTGCAGGGCTGAGGCAAAGTTCTCCAGAAGGCTGTGTATGCTCTGAATCAACATCCAATATATGGTACCATTTATTCTATAGCCAGGAATCACAGGTCCAGGAATAAAGGAGTGGAAGTGGAAGTGACACCACTCACCATCACCCCTAGTGATCCACTAGCTAAATGTTGGCTTCCTTTTCCTGTGACATTATGTTCTGCTGGCCTACAGGTCTTAGTTCCAGAGGGAGCAGCGCTGCCACCAGGAGACACAACAACTATTTCATTACACTGGAAGTTAAAATTTCCACCTGGACACTTTGGGCTCCACCTACCTTTAAGTCAACAGGCTAAGAAGGGAGTTACAGTGTTGGCTGGGGTGATTGACCCGGACTATCAAGATGAAATCACTCTACTACTCCACAATGGAGGTAAGGAAGAGTATGCATGGAATACAGGAAATTCATTAGGGCATCTCTTAGTATTATCATACTCTGCGATTAAGGTCAATGGGAAACTACAACAGCCCAATCCAGGCAGGACTACAAATGGTCCAGACCCTTCAGGAATGAAGGTTTGGGTCACTCTATCAGGAAAGAAACCACCACCTGCTAAGGTGCTTAATTAAGGCAAAGGGAATACAGAATGGGTAGTAGAAGAAGGTAGTCATTGATACTAGCTATGACCACGTGACTAGCTGCAGAAATGGGGACTGTAATTGTCATGAGTATTTCCTCCTTCTTTTGTGAAAAACATGTTTGTGTATGTAGATACTTGTACTAAGAAAATATCTTCATTTTATTTCCTTTTTTCTTTATCATGTGACATAAGATTTATTGACTTCACATCAGCATTTAAGTATAGTCAACTTTATCTGATCGTATTTGGTTTGGGGATTGGAGTGTTTCCAGTTGTATGAAGGATAGTTGTATTATGTTAGGCATAATTGTGACCATATTATTGTCTTTATTTGAAGATTATGTATGATCTCAGGAGTTGCATATGGGTTCAAGTTGACAAAGGGTGGACTTGTGTTAGTTAATACTGACTGTTACTTTGATTGTATTGAAGGATGCTGAGTATTGATCCTGGGTGTGTCTGTGAGGGTGTTGCCAAAGGAGATTAACATTTGAGTCACTGGGCTGGGAAAAGCAGACCCACCCTCAGTCTGGGTGGGCACCATCTAATCAGCTGCCAGTGCAGCTAGAATATAAAGCAGGCAGAGAAATATGAAGAGTAGACTCTCCTAGCCTCTCAGCCTACTACATCTTTCTCCTGTGCTGGATGCTTCCTACCCTTGAACATCAGACTCCAAGTTTTCCAGTTTTGGGACTTGGACTGGCTCTTCTTGCTCCTCAGCTTGCAGGCAGCCTATTGTGGGACGTGTGATCATGTAAGTCAATACTTAATAAACTCATATATATATATATATATATATATATATATATATATATATATATATATATCCTATTTGTTCTATATACGCTATTAGTTCTGTCCCTCTAGAGAACCCTGACTAATACAGAGGATCATTGGATTCCTAAACCACCTGGCTGGAGCCTGGGAGATTTGAACCTTGCCATTTTTCTCTCATGTTAAACATATAGAATATTATTTAATAATATATAAATTTGTGGACGTTTCTTACCCTCTCTTTGCTTTAGTTTAGGGATAATAATAATATCTGTTTATAGGGGTTTTAGGATGAATAAAAAGATAATGTAAGTAAAACATTTGAAACTATGTCTGATACTATTAAGCACTCAATACCTGTTAGATATCATAAACATTAACATCCTTTTTATTATTGCCCCATCGACTTATGTATCTGCTCTTTGGAACTGCCTTTAGAGCAACAGTCTTACCCTATTCCCCTAAAGACTCTAACCTCATCCTCCAGTGCATAAAGTGACCTGAATCAGCTATGACCCTTTTCAAACAGTTGTAATTTATTCATTTATTCCTACGTTTGTCCACTCAACACCTACAAAGTAGAATACTGTGTTCAACAGTAAAGTTAAAGCTGATTTTGGAAGACAGAGAGAAAACTCTGTTTCCACTTTCCTGAATAGCTGCTAACTTCCTATTGCTCCTTCTTCATGTTTTAGCTTTACTTCCAGAAGACTAATTTGCAAGACAGGATAATGAATCCATTCATATAAGTTTCCTTGTGCTATTATTCTTAAATAAATTGTAATAGGTTCCTACAATTAAATACAAATTTTAAAAGATCAAACATTTTACTTCTTAATGGAATAATTGCAACCTTTTAATGACCACTTACTGTGTTCCAATGACCTTTCAAATACATTTTCACGTGTTACCTCATTAAATCTTTATCATAATTTTGTGAAGTAGACATTGTTGTTCCAATTTTATAAATAAAGGTGCTGAAGTTTACAGCAGCTAATTAACTTTCCTGCAGTTTTACAGATGCTAATTAGAAAAGGTTTGATTGAAGCCTGTATGACTTTAAAGCCCAGGTTTGTATTCATGCAGCTACTCTACTTATCATTGACAGGTCTCAACAATATATGTGAATTACATTCACTTTATCATAATAAAACATATTCATACATCATTTGATATTAGGAATAGCCTCATTTAGACTTCCTAATTTCCCTTCACAATAAGTCTATAAAGTATAATAAACAAAGCATCCCTTTACAGAAAAATAAATTCAGATGATGACACTTAGTTGAGATGATGCCAACTCTTCCAGTTAGCACAGGGTAGAGCCAAGACACAAATTTCTTACTATGAATGTCATTTGAGAATTAAAAGGTTTGTCGATGTACCATAAGCAGTGGTAATATATGTTCTACAAGAAACAATCTGGAGTGGAAGAAGTTAAGCAAGGATAGTAAATAAAGTAAGATTCCTAATAGAGGCAGATATTGAGGCCAACATGTCTACTCTAGGAAAAAAGTAGATAGATGAGTGGCATGTACAGGAAGACTACAGCAAGAACACAGGCACGGTTATCATCTCAGCTTGTTATCATTAAAATGAGAAGTGGCTTATCTTTCATCTTTCAGGTTATAAGAGAAGCATATTTAAGTTACTTAAATCAGTCAGAGTTTAATATAAGAATAAACCAGGAAAGGAAAAATGTAAATATGATCATTTTACTTTCTGGTTTTATATCCTCCAGGGGTTCCAATAACCTGTATGATAAAAATTGGAATCCTGGTTTACAAGCCTTTTTATACCCAAGTAATGACTTCATCTTCAGCCTTATCTCTAGCTGTTTCTGCTGCCCTACTAAACTTATTTCAGCTGTTTAAAGGGCTATAATCTCTCATCTCTAAGAGATGTTTTATGTTTTGAATTCAAAGACCAAATGGGAGGAGGTGACTTAGTTTAGCAATCACCATCCAATACTGTGCAAAAGCGCTGCTCACAGACAATAGGCAAGCAGATACATGGTGGTCTTTTATCCAGGTGCCATTCTCTTCACTGTGACTCCAGGTGATCCATGGTTTTAAAAACTACCTGCAATCTGTTCCTTCAAAAAGAGTATATGGAAATGGAATCCTCAACTCAAGATGGAATCTGACAGTAGAAAACCTGGCCAGAATGGAGGGTAGACAAGCAAAATCATCATTAGTGGCACCTCATGGATACAGTCACATATTATCATGTAGTGCCTTAGGAATGAGTCAGTGAATTGTTAAATATTTCATATGGGTTAGTATATATAAAGAGGTTAAACAATGAACTTGGATTAATGCCCTAAATAAGCAGCAGCTGTTAACAAAGTCATTAATTAGGGTTATGGTTACTTTAATCATCAACTGTAATTATTTGTTTGAACTGAGATCCCATTATTAGCAGTCAACATTTCAGGTATTAAAAGAAAACACACTTGCATTTGTCAATTTGGATCACAGAATTTTGCCAAGTTTAGCTCTACACTCACTTACTATTTTAATAAGAAGTTTGCTAAAGAAAGATTTTTCTTTACAACAGATATAGAGCACCTCATTAGTGAATTTGCTCATTAGGCTTTGGCTTTAATAGATAAAAACACTGAAGTAGGAGGACAGACTAATCAGTTTTGCTAAAGGAATATGGCTGCCTTCCATTAAAGAAAAACCCTTGGGCTTCTAATGGGATACATTATTTCTGGTGAATAATCTTTGGAAAAGGAATTTCAAGATGACTGCTATGATTTATAATTTCAAATCACTGTAACCATAATAGAACTTGACCATTGGATTGATTATCATAATAGCTATTACAGTTGTCCATTTCAAAATAAGCATTAAATATATCAAAAATTACATTTGCATATATTACTAGTTTAATTGTCCTAAATATAACTGACAGCTATTATTAAACCAGTTTATTCATGGCTTGGGGTGTTCCAAATAGGCCATGTATTTTGGAGTTTGATGTGAACAAATCCGATTAAAAGACTAATCAACTAATTTAAATGGTCTTATACATGGCTTTATTTTACTCATATTGCATAAATTAAGTTATATATTTTACTAATAATAGATTTTTACTACTTATTGTACTATTGTTTTATTTTTGCTTTCTCATTCCATCAATGTGTTAGCTAAGATACGTTTTATTTTTGCTTTCTCATTCCATCAATGTGTTAGCTAAGATACAAGCAGGAAACAAATATTTCAGTGAGCAGACTTAGGAAAGATCTACTTACAGAGGAGTAGACAAGGATATGGAATATGCAATGGTGAGACACTCAGAAGCAACACAAAGCCATTACCACTCTTAGTGCTGAAGAAACAAGGAGAGGATTATCAAAGCCCACTGAGACCCAGAACTCTGGAGGAGGGCCCATCTACCATACAGGATACTGCCAGAGACTGTGTATTGATCAAGGGAAGAGGCAAGGAAGAAATACTGTTCTATGGTCCCTGGTCTCTCACTCCATCTACTCCAGTCTCCCAGGGGTTCCCATTGAGTTGACCCAACCGGAAGACAGCTAGAGAAATTTGAAGAGTCAGTCTATAGGACCTAGCCTCCTAGGGAAAAGCATAGCAGAGAAAGGCAGTGTGCAGATTGGGATAGAGCAAGTACAATATATTCCACAATTGCCAATATAAAGGGATAGGTTTTAAGTTTTCTTAAAAAGGATTTTTATTATGAAAATCATATTTTGTATTATAAAATTATTCAAACACACAAGAAAGTACACAGAACACTCTACTAAGTACCTCTGTATAAAGACATAGTTTTCTTCTAATTTTAAAAAGTTGCTCATGTTTGTTTCATATTTTTAAAAAATCATATGTACAGTTGAAGTCCTCTACATAACTCTGAAACTATTCCTCTTTTTATCCCTAGGAAATTTTACAATTCATAATTCCAGAAATGTGTTTAGAATTTTACTTAATATAAATATATAATATATAAAATATATACATATACTATTATATATATTTATATACAATATATACAGATGTAATTACAAGTATTGTTCAGTACATCTTAATATTCAAATAAATTCTATTAGTTTGTGAAGATTCTTAATAGACTCACTTTTCTCATAATTGTATAATGTAAAATTTATTCAGATGGATATAAGAAATTGTAGTTCATACATTTTAGCTGCTTCATCACATTGCATTGCGTTTGATATAAAAATGTCTTTATAAATTCTTGTTTTAAGGGATAAGTAAGTTGTCTTCAATTTTAACCATTGGAAATAATGCTATATTTGACATGATTATGATTCTCTATTTGTGCCATCAGAATCAGCAAGCATGGTTAGGTGTATGTCATTTCATTTGATGAAAGTTTACTGTGCGGCCTCCTTGATTCATTGCTCAGTGGCTCAGGTCGCAATATTACCTGGATTCCCATAATCGGGCATTCAGTTTCTATCTGTGCCCTGACAGAGTGACAACTATTTCTTAAAAGAAGAGTTGTTATTTTCTAAAGAGCATATAACCTTGAGAAAAAAAAAAATCCCTGTAGCTCAGTTTGGATATTGATAATAGATAACAGAAAACAAGGAGAATAGATGGATAAAATATAATGTATATATTTATTAGAAAACTAGAAAATTATAAAGATATTCAATAATTATAAGGTTAAGATTTAGAAGAAAATAAAGGGAAATAAGGCTTATATTTATGATACCTTTTAAATTGAAAATTCTAGTGAAGAAGACTGGGAGTTTGAGCAACTGAGCAGTGCATTCTACAGAGAGATGGGAGAGATAAAGATTGGAGTCTGGGCTTACAAGTAGGAAGGCCCTGGCAAACACCCTGAGAGTCTGTACCCTAGGAAGAAGGTGAAATAGAAGTAGTGAAGTCTTATTGGGGTCTAAAGCTCAGGATAGATGATATTAATCCCTTATTAGAATTACATTAATCTAGGATGGCTAATGATTCTTGAATAGCCACCAGATGATAGCAAAGATAACTCTATCTTGGAGTAAGAGAATAGTATCCAGAGACTCAATTTACCTTTATAGTCTTCATACATACCGCCTGATAATCAAGCATAACCAGGTATGCAAGTAGATAAAAATAAAAGTGACCACAAAGCCAAAGAAATAACCAGATAAGAGATTCAGATTATTCCATTATATGGCACAGGTTTTAAAATAACTATAAAAATTGTGTTTCAGTAAATAAGTGACACAATTTTGTAATTTCAGCATTGAAGTATAAACTTAAAGAAAATAAGGAAAATTGAAATTGTAAAACTTAAAAACCCAATAATAGAAACTAAGAACTTAGTGTATATATTTGACAGTAGATTAGATGCAGCTGGAGAAAGAATTAGTAAATTGGGAGGCATCTCAAAAGAAAATATTTAAACCAAAGCAAGGATAAACAAAAGGATAGAAAAAAAAAGCATAAGAGAAGGTAACAAGGCCTAGAGAATGTTGCTCAAAGAGTGTCCTCAGAGAAATGAATGTCCATAAACTATTACTGGTCTACATGAGATATATCAGAAATTGAACATTAGCATTTAGAACTTTTTATAACAAATTGATACTGCCACTCTATATTTATCGCGTTTTTCAAAAGTATCTGCTATCAATAGATTTGAAAAAAAGAAAATGAACAAACAAAATGAAAATAACCATATTTTTCACCACAGATATTTTAAGAAATAACAATCTAATATGCTGATAATTAAAATTTTGAAATCAGGTCCTAAAAAGAATGAAGTAGATGCACTTTCATCTGTATTAAACCACTGAGATTTTAGAGTTAATAGCACAGTATAGCTATCCTATTTTACATGATTTTCAACATAGCAGAAAAATTATTTAAAATTTTTGATATTAATCCAGGGTAGAATTAACTATGCTCACATTCTTGAAATACTAATAATTGTATCAGAATCTCTGGGCTCTGTTCAAATTCTTCCTTCATTCCACCAGCTACCAGTAGGGTAAGCTTCTGATTATTAGAATTGTGGGCCTATGTGTGAAGAATTACCCTGAACTGAAGAGAGGTACCTCACCCCAGCTTTCATTTCTCTCCTAACCCACAGGCAATAACTAGTTGATTTAAAAGAAACAATAAAAGGCCCAAGTTTGAGCCAATTTTAAAGAAACATCTCTGCTCCAGCTACAGTTGAGATAGCCAGAGATTACTAATGCAAATTCACTAGACTTCAATTTCTCCTTTTGCCAATTCCTATTTTCCTAACCTCGTTAATGGTGCTGTCTTTGAGGGTCTCCTGCATGCAAATTTCCTCTAACAGTCTGTTTCTGTCAAACTCAATCTGAAAGCATTGGTACAGGATTGGTCTTAGGAAATTGACCTTAAAATAGAATTTTGATGTTGGATCACTCATAGCCTGGCTTGTAATGAGTACTCATACTAGTGGTCAGTAATGTTTTGATTATTCCTGGTATGCTGTGGTGGTGCAATTGTTAAAACTTTTATCACTAGTAATAAGGGACATTATATAAATAGAAGATTATGCACTGTCAGTGCCATGCCTCAGACATTTGAGAATTATAGAGAAAGTAGTAAATTGAAAAGACTAGAATCGAATGTCTATTGCTGAGTGCTATAGATTCATTGAAGAAAGCCAGTAAAGTCTAGGGTGCTTAACCACTATTTTAATGTTAAATGTAAAATCAGAGCACTTGGCAACATATAAAGTGATTTTCCTCTCCTATAACCATTGGGCTAATGAATTTAGGATTAGACACAGTATTTAATTCTAAGTATAGTGAAATTCCAAAGTTGAATTCTCAACTCAATAGATCTTCTATTCGCAAATGTTGGTGCTTATTGAGAAAAATTCAGATTTTAAAAGTCTTTTCTTCAAACAGGAAATGTATTTCAGGAGTCTTGAGGCCTTGAAATGGCTGGCTTCTCCGAGTTAAAGTCTAGCACTCCCTACTCTCCATTCCACTTCCCAACTCCCTCATCACTTGAAGATAGTATAGAGGCCTCTGCTTTGCAACACAATGGGTCTGGTTGTAAAAAGTGGTTCATGTGTGGGAAATGAACATTGAGCAAGGGAGAGACTAAGTCCCCATAAGGGAGGACATAGTAATGCCACAATGAGTCTAGGCAGTAACTATTCCCCAAGTCATTCTGCACAGAGATCTCTGGCAACTTATTAGGAAAGCCATACACTGGAGCATGAGATCTCCCCCGACATTTTGAGGGCTATTGGACACAGGACCTAAGACTTTAGTGATGGCTGTATACATGAATCACTATATCTTCTAATTAGAAGATGATACTTCTTAGCCCACTTGTTAGATTGGTGCAGGTGCAATGGAGAAAGGTCTGGGAGTCATGTAATTGAGTCCTCTCTCTGTTCTTGTTCACCATGAATCTATTGGATTTACGGACATACCCAATGACTTTTCTTCAGTACATAAACGTACAATTAGAATGTAAATACTTGACAATTACTATGATCCTTGTATCAATTCCATGATCTGTGAGGTGAAAGCTATATTATTGGTAAATGGCAATTAAAAGTCCCAGCTAAGTCATTAAGTAAAAAATCATGCTTATCTATGAGGATAGAGCAAAGATTAGGGCTACTACTGTTTTTTCATCAAAATGTAAAACTTTTATTCTTTGATATATACTGTTAAAATAAAAAGACAAGTCACAGTTATCTCACAAATAAATTATACCCAAAGTATATAAAGAATTCTCAAAACTCAATGATTATAATAATGAAAAAACAACTAAAGAGTAAAAGAATTCAGGATCATGGCTTCTACCATTTAGGTTTACCAATTTGGCTCCTACAAAATTCAGATGGATTTTGGTGGGTGGCTGTAGATTATAATGAATTTAACCAGGATAACAGTCCTAACTACAACTCCTGGGATAGATATGGTATCTCTTCTAGAGGAAATTACTAGACTGCAGACATTCCCTATATGCCTGTATTCATCCAACAGATGCTAGGTCAGAGATAGTTTGCTTTCATGTGGGATGTACAATAATATATATTTGTAGCTTTGCTTGAGGGTGATACTAACCTTTTTTACTTCTGTCATAATATATTCCCAGGGGACCTGAACAGTCTGGACACTCTGACATTATTCCACTATGTGGATAATTGGAAATTCTGGAAAAGAGGCTTATGGATTAACCTGTGGGAGTGAACGTAAAGCATAGTGTAGGCAGGACATGAATGTCTACCATAAAGTATTGACCATAGAAGATGCTCAATAACCAAGTAGAAAGAATGACCCATACAAGTCACATCAGCCAGCCTCTGGCACTGGCCATTCTACTGCTGGCAAATGGTTCATAAACAGTGTAGACTTAATGGCAAAGATGAAGTCTCTGCATAAACCCTAGAACATAAGCTCCCAGTCACCATGATCCAACCTACCATCAACAAAAACCAATGCTCAGCCTCTGATATGACAATATCCTTTGAAGAGTCCAACTACCCAATTGTGGCAATTAGTTACTTTCAGTTTAGCTATATGTTTGTGATTTAACAATAGCTCCCATTAGATACTACCTCCATTGCATATCTTGAATTGCCGCGGACCTATTGGACTGAACAAAGAGGGGAGAATGCCGGAATAAAGACAAGAGACAAAAGTCGGAGGCACCTTGCCTCTAGTGGACAAGGGCCCTGAACTTTACACAGCATTCTGTATTTATTAGGCAAAAAAGATAGTGAGAATGGGGGTGGAATAAGGGGCTCAGTCCAGAGTAGGCTTGCAAGACTGCATTCTCTAGATGTTGCAGTAGGTAAGCTCGGCACCAGGGAATGATTGCCTCCAGCAAACCTTCTGTCAGCAGGAGCAGTTGTGAGTTTGCTCACATCCTACTTTCATGATAAACAGTTTGCTATCTGATCATATAGCCTCCAGTGGAATGCTGAGTTGGTCACATCCCATGGGCCTTCAGCCCCCTGTGTTGAATAATGTAATTGCTTTCACACAATGCAATTATGGTTAACCTCTTTCTAAATTATGCACTATTATTGTCTAGCATTTTAATTTTTTTAACCTTACAAATTGAAAGAAGAACATTGTTTTTATATAAACAATGGTTTCTTGAACTTATTCACTTGTTTTCCAATTTATATATTTTCTATTATTTATTTCTCAGTCTTCTTCTAAGATTCTTTTCTATCTTCCAAAAGTACACTCAGAAGTTTCACGATTGAAGGATAGTTAGCAGTGAGCTTTCAGTTTATTGAATCTTTAGCTTTGAAGAACAATTTTGTAGACTAAGTAATGTTAACGATACAGCTCCCCACTCACCAACCTTTAGCTCTTTAATATATCATCCTGTAGTTTTTTAGTCAATTCTTTACTTATTTTATCAAACAATTTTATAGTATGCAGTGTGCATTAATCTGCATTGTAAGTACTTTTAACCAGTCTGTTCATTATCTCCGAGTACAAACTACCTTTTGAGAGGAGTAGGTGGCTTACCTCTATTTTTAATAATAATTATAAAATAATAGAAATGGAATAATAACTTTAAAAAATATCTGAGCATATTCAATATTCAATCCTCATAAAAACCCTAGGTAGTCGACATTATTACTTCTCTTATTTTACAAGGACTGTGGTAGACAGACTAATGTCCCTCAAAAATGTTCAGGTCATAAGGCCTGAAATCTATGAATATATTACCTTTCATAGCAAAATAGGCTTTACAATGATTGAGTTAAGGATTCTGAGGTAGGAAGATTATCCTAGATTCACAACGTGATCAATCACTGTGGTCCCTGTTAAAGGGAGACAGGAGGGTAGGAGTTAGAAAAGGAGATGTGAACAAAGCAGAGGTTGCAACAATGAGAAGAAACAGCCATAAAAAAGGAATGCAGGGCACCTCTTGAAGCTGGAAAAAGTAAAAACATAGATTATACTTTAGAGCCTCCAGAAGAAATGCAACCCTGCCAACAACTGACGTCAGGACTTCTGGCCTCCAGAACTGTAATAAATAAATAAAGATAATAAATCTCTAATAAATCCAGATAATAAATCTATGTTGCTGTGTGCCAATGTTTGCAGTGATTTATCACAATAGCAATAGAAATCTACTACAAAGATAAGACACAAAGAGATTAAGTTATTTTCCAAAGATTTAACAGCCAGAGTGGCAAGGAAACAAACCAAGTAATCTGAATTCAGAAACCGCAATTTTCGTTATTGATGCAAAGTCTGCTTTCAATATCATCCAGTTATTTGTAGGTGATTTCTCTACCTGCATTAAAAACTTTTCATTGTCTTTTGTATGTGCAATGTTACAATATAAATGTGTTTTTGTTTGTTTGTTTTTCCTGTTTATAACTTATTGTGTTTCATGTATAGAGGCTCCTCAACCTATGATGGTGTAATTTCACAATAAACTCATCATAAGTCAAAAATACCAAAAGTCAAAAATGCACTTACTTCCTTGATAAACAAACCCATCATAAAGTTAAAAAAATGTTAACCTGACCCATGGTAAATTGGCAACTGTTTATATGTGTGGGTTCATGTTAGTTGAACTCTCAACTAGCCCTTTTCAGATATTACCTTTGCTTCCTTTTCTAAGTCTCTCTTGATCCTCATCTCTTGGCTCCTGGTGGTTATATCCTTTTGTAGTGCCTTCCCACTTTGTATCAGGCTCTTATTATCACTCTTGTAAATGCTTGCTCTCTTTCTCTGTCAACCTATACAGAGACCCAAATGGTGAGATGGCAGAGGAACTGAAGGACCTGCCAAAAGACTTGTGAGTGAGATTAGAAGAAATTTTAGCTTAGTCAAATCTTCAGAGACTGTTGTCCAGACAACAGCTTGACTGGGAACTGGTTAAGAGATCCTGGAACCAGACAACCATTTAGTATTTGTTGCTTGAAGTTGCTACATTTTGGGATAATGTGTTATGTAGTAGAAAATAATTAATACAATCTTCTATTGGGATGATTATTTCAGATATGCATTAAATCTTCTCAGTGTAAACAACATGCCACTTTTCTTTTTTCTGCATGTTTCATTTTGTCTGGTTAATTTCTTCAGATTTGTTTTTCTGCTTACTCTTCAACTGTGTCTATTAGATCTTTTTCATTTCAAAAATTATGTGTTTTTAATTAATCATTAGTTAATTCATTTTCTAATTAACTTTGCCTTTTAAAAATAATAGTATTACTTAATTTTAGATTTATTATCTACATATATTTGTATGGACACATATATTTAAGTAATATTCTGTATTTGATCTTAAAATATATGAACTAAGTGGGAACCCTATCTAGTTATTATTACTGCTCTCCCTTAAACCTGGTGGTTTATTTCTTATGTGTTGGGGATCTTTATTTGCTGTCTCATATTTTCTTTACCATGATCTTTGGAATCCTAAAGGCCTGAGTTGGGAACATTTTTCTCCAAAAAAGATTGTTACTTCTCTATGATGGAAATCAAGAATAGTGTTAATCTGGGACCACTTTAGCCTTCTATGAAAATCATGGACCTAATGTAATAATCTCAGAATCAATTCTTCCATTTGGTAGATTGGCCTATTGTAGTGACAATGTCTCCATTTTTTCTCGAAGTACTGCAGCAGAATAATTAAGGAATCAGAGAGACTGAGGAGTTAAGGAGGAATTATTTAATTATTTAGGTGCACCGACCCAGTCGGATTAACATCCAAAGGACTGAGCCCCGAACAAAGAGTCAAGCTACCTTTTAAGCATTTCATGGGGTGGGGGGAGATCTGTGCAGGGGGAAGCGTATTACAGAAACAAGAAACAAAAACAGTTATTCAGTTAAGACAGGCATTACATTATTTCTTACGTTTTAAGGAACAACATGTTTTATGACTTGAGATTATCTGTTTAGTGACCTTGCAGCTGCACAGCTAGAAAAACAGACTCTTCACAATGCCTGGGAAATGGAGAGATAAGGCTCACTAGCCACCCAAAAACAGGCATTCAATTTTTGAAGGACTTCGGCGCTTTCTTTTCCTCATGGGGAATTGGTTTTTCTTACATACAACTGAGTTTTTGCTTACACATTTTTTAATTTCTTTTAATTCCTGTTCCAGCACCAGCCACATATTTTGTGTGTGTGAAGGGGTGATCCTTATAGATTTTATTTACTTCTTAGAAGGCCACAAATATAGGAAAAGGAAAGGCTTATTGAAGATCTAGCTGTTTTTACCAAACTACAGAAAGAAGACTTTTTTTAAAGACTATTTTTTGAGAGCAGCTATAGATTTGCAACAAAATTCAGAGGAAGGTACAGAGATTTATGGGATACCCTTTATCCTACACATGCATAGCCTCCTTGATTATCAACATCCCCCACTAGAGTGATATAGTTATTGTAATTAGTGTAACTACACTGACACATCAAAATCACCCAAAGTCCATAGTTTACATTAGAGTTTACTCTTGGTCTTCTATATTCTATAGGTATGAATGAATATATAATGGCATGTATCCATAATTATAGTATCATACGGAGTATGTTCACTGCCCTAGAAATCCTGTGTTCTGACTATCCATTCTTCCCTATTCCCTAACCCCTAGCAATGACTATCTTTTTAATGTCTTCATTGTTTGGCCTTTTTCAAGATGCCATAGAGTTAGAATCATATGGTATGTAGCCTTTTCACAATGGCTTTTTTCACTAAGTCATATAAGGTTCCTTCATTTGTTTTTAGTGCTGAATAATGTTCCATTGTCTCAATGCACCACAATTTATCCACTCGCCTACTGAAGAACATCTTGGTTGTTCCCAAGTTTTGGCAATTCTGAATAAAGTTGCTATAAACATCTATGTGCAGGTTTTTGTGTAAATATACATTTTCAACTTCCTTGGATAAACAGTAAGGAGGGCAACCGCTGATCATATCGTAAGAGTGTGTTTAGTTTGGTAGGGTTTTGTTAGCCTGTTTTTCAAAGTGGCTGTACCATTCATTTTTAATTCCCATCAGCAGTGAATGAGAGTTCTTGTTGCACCACATCTTTGCCGCCATTTTGTGTTGTCAGTGTTCTGCATTTTGGCGGAAGCAGACATCTTTTCTGTTCTTAATAACTTTATATTATTCTGCCACATGATTTTGTTTTAATTTATATAACAAGAGCCTATAAATGGACACTCAAGTTGGTTTTTTTCTTCATTTTTTTTGATAACACTGTGTTATGCATTTTTGTATGTAATAAAATATATCTCTCATTATTTCTTTGGTATAGAGCACTATAAATTTAATTAGTAAATCAAGAAATACACAGTATTTATAGGAATAAAAATATATTGCCAGATTTTATTTTAGAGCGTATATATCAATTTATGCCCTCAACAGCTGTGTTTGGTGATTTACAGATTTATCTAAATTATTTTCCTTTTGTATGCAACCTCAAATACATAAAACCAATGAATTACATTGGTGACCATAGCAGAAAAAAGTTAGAATGTGTTTCAGTAGTGCACATAAATAAAGCTCTGCAAGGATACCCTTTGCTTGGTTGCCAGAAATGATCACTGCACACTCGACAGAAGGTGCATAAAGGAATACGAGAAATGGAATAATAAAACTAACTGCAAAGAATGAACTGTACTTATTTTGGAGATTTCCTACTAGCCAATCCAATTTATAGGATAAGATATTGTATTAAATTAAACATCCTCTAGATCACATACACTTTTTTAAAAAGTAACTTGCCCCAGAAAAATAATTCGTACAAGAGTTATGTCTATTAAGTAAGGTAAAAGAGAAGAAAATGGTTTTAAGAAAGTCACTTTTACTTGCATTACTGATGAAAAGACAGAAATTAGCAAAAGAAACAGGCTAGCTTTCAGCTTGCTAAATAATTAATTTGGCAAAAGTAGAAGCTGCTGACACACTAATAAGTAAAGATTTATTTGCAAAAGATCTGTTGTTGCCTCTGCGGAACTTATGTAACTTTGCGCTATATATCTTTTTTCTAAAAAGGATCTATTAAATCTAACATACCTCTAGATGAGTGAAAGCTCTTAAAAAGATGGAGTGTTATGCAAAGAAAATATATATGATGATTTTTTTTTCTGTAAGATATCTACTGACATGAGATGGTTCATTTCAAGATCTTTGTAAGTGTAAAAAATGGCATGCATAATATTTCAAATTGGTTTTTACCCATGCCCATGTATAAAATGTGGCATAAATAAATAATTTTCTAAAGAATATTTCTGATTATTCTAATTTATTTATGTAAGGGGAGTCTTTCTTCATTTTTATGGTTTTACAGTTGCTGAATTTCAAGGTACTATAATTTTATAAAATAAGACATAAAATCATTGGTACCTAGCCTAGAATTTAGATATTTACTTTACCTCCTTTCTTTATGATTTTAAAAGTGTATCCTGAGATTAACTACCCATATCAGCAGACTTCAATGGATAAATTGTTGATCCATGTTTGTAAAAGCATCACATATTCCTGCTTTGAGGAAGAATATCATATCCTCAAGACTAATTTTTCCCTAACTGAGATATCCTGGTAAAATGGTTCCTCCTCCATTGTTATCCTAGGCATATTTTAATTTTCTTTCCTTTGTAGCATTTAGTTAGTACTTCAAAAATACTTTACCTGTTATTTTATAATAAAAAAACAAAATAGGCCAACAATAAAAAACAATTCTCATACCATGAATTGTGAACTATAGACTCTATTTTCTTAAAAAATACAAATTTTTCTTTATCTGAGATATTAAAGGAGACTAAAAGCATTCTACATTTCACCACAAGAAAAAAATAGTAAGACATAGTTATAAATGTATTGTGCTGACAAAATAAATCATTTATTCAGTGTTCCTATTACTAATTTTATATAAACTATGGTAAACATGAATTTCCTTTGACTAGTATCTTATGTGATTAATTGACATTTTAAGCCAAATTAGAGTGCGTGAAATGAGTTTTAAAATGTAAGCCAGAGTATAAGCCGTAAATGGCAAGAGCCTTACATAAATATTAAAAATATAATGGCAAAAAATTGTATTAGTACTGTTTGAAAATTTGTCCCTCAGATAAAGAATCATCTAAGATAAAGGTATTTTTGTATTTTAAATAACAAACTCAATTTAGAATGATATAAATAACAATTTTTTAAATTAGATAATTGACCACCAATTAAATAAGTTTTTTTACCATATCTCAGTTTGGGGTAGATAAATCAACAGGAGCCACTGTAATTAAAACATCACATGGAATTAGTAGTAGTGGTATCTCTTCATTATGCCTTTTGGGTATATTCCCAGTCTCCAAATAAAGTTCTATAGTCCTTAGGCTTCAAAGTATTGCCTCCTATCTCTATCACAGGTCTTAATTTGAATGTCTTACTTACGCTTTGTATTAACTAGTAATCATTAAAGAATTTGCCATGAGATTTCATGGTTGCCATCAGGTCCTAACTGGTGGGTATTTTTGTATTCATTTGAATCGTTTCATCTAACTACATTAGAATAAATGTTCTAAGAATTTATCATACCAACCATGGCATATTACACAGTTTAAAAAAAAATAATGACTTAAACCTGATGGACAGTTAAAAAGTAACCCTTCAGAACTATTGTATAAATATACATAGCCTATCAGGGCTATAAATGTCATCTGTTGAATTACTAATAACATGAAAGACAAGAAACATTTAGCCTTTTCTTCTTCATAATTGCTATATTTTATGCCAAGATTTATGAATTATTATAAAATGATATAGCTATTGATACACAATTATATTAAATTAGATATAATCATCTAATTTTTAATCAACTCTTGGGGAAAATTTATTGTCTCCATATAAAAATAAATGTTTCCTTTAATATTTAAAATCAAATATACTTTAATTTTTAATATTTATTACTGTAATTATTTTTCTATAATTACAACTTTTCAAGCTACAAGGAATATCTATTTTATCTATTGGATTTGATCTTATGAACAAGTCCACTCCCTGCCTTCTATCCTAATGACACTGTAGATTCCAATAATATTCTTTGCCTTTACATTTCAAAATTGATAAGTAGTAATCCTTTACTGCATCCTCGTAATGCAACCTTCTTGATTCCAAATTACTTTGATTATTTTAATTATCCTTACTCATCACTTCTCAAACTCTAAATATTACCTTTGACTTATGCAAAGCAGTTTATTTGTGAATACACAGTGAATATATGGAAGGATTATATGATGATGACCTTTTTCCTGCCCCACAATTAACTTTCTTTTGAGGACCCATGATGTTGTTATTTAACATGGAAGCGCAAATCAGTAACAGCTTCAGGAAGTACTCTAAACTATTTTTTCTTTGATTATTAGCTGTATAGATTCTATTGTCTTTTGGCTATGAATAAAACCATTTATTCCTCGTCTTTGTTCGTGGTATGATGATAGTAATGGCAAATTTAATCTATCCCTCTTGCCACATTGCTCCTTCCACCTTCCCAGGTGCTTATTATATTTTGTAATTAAGGAAAATAAAAATTGTGAAGATGACCACAAAAGATTTGATCGGAGAACTAGGATTTTGCAATGTTTCTTTAAGAGCAGCCTTAAGTATCACTCTGCACATCTTCCATGTGATACCTTGATTTCAGAAGACACAACCTGCCCATCAATAAAAATACAACTGGATATGCTAATTTGCTGGTGCTTTCATTGCAAGATGCTGTAGTCTGGGTGGCTTGAAAAACAAATTAATTTTCTCACAGTTCTGCAGTTCACAGATCTGCAGGCTGCAAGTCTAAGATCCAGGTCCTGGCAGGGTTGATTTCTACTGACACCCCTGTCCTTGGTGCGGAGACAGCCACCTTCTTGCTGCATCCTTATATGGCCTTTTCTCTGTATGGGCCCTCCCTAGTGATTCTTCCTTTTTTATAAGAACATCAGTCATATTAGATGACTTTTATTAGGGTCCCATCTTCATGGGCTCATTTAACCTTAATTGCCTCCTTAAGGGCCCTATCTTCAAATACATCCACACTAGGGGTTAGGGCTTCAACATATAAATATGGAAGGGACATAAGTCATTCTATCACGTTTGATTTTACCTTCTTTTTTGAGAAAAAAAAAGGCTCATAAGACCACAGTAGGAGAAATTGTGGCACCAGCAATATCATTGAGGGAGATTGCCTCATGCTCCCAAACTATGTCACTCTGTATCCAAACAACTTCTTTCTGTTAAGTCTTTTCAAGGATATTTTCCTCATTTTCAATACTCCAGAGCTTACCAGAGGAAAAAAAAGGGGGTACTTGCTTCTATTCTTCTAATTTGAAACAACTTTATTTCTTTACAATTGAATATTTTATTAGAGCGAGACTGCAGGAGAAAAGGGATATCTGCACATTTATCCAGGATATGCATTATACAATTTCTTAACTAAGTCTCCTGAGATGATAGATACAAAAAAAAGGCAACATTATCTCCATAAGCCGAAGGTTGCTGTTGCTACTCACACATCTTACATGTGTCTGCTTTCCATGTGCTGAAGAGTTGCTCAGTATATAAGAAATAGACCAATGGAACAGAACAGAAGCCTCAGAAATAACACTACACGTCTACAACCATCTGATCTTTGACAAACCTCTCAAAAACAAGCAATAGGGAAAGGATTCCCTATTTAATAAATGGTTTTGGGAAAACTGGATAGCCATATGGAGAAAACTGAAACCAGACCCCTTCCTTACATCTTATACAAATATTAACTCAAGACAGATTAATGACTTAAATGTAAGAGCTAAAACCATGAAACCCCTAGAAGAAAACCTAGGGAATACCATTCAGGACACAAGCAATGGCAAAGAGTTAACGAATAAAATGCCAAAAGCAATTGCAACAAAAGCCAAAATTGACAAATGGAGTCTAATTAAACTAAAGAGCTTCTTGCACAGCAAAAGAAACTATCATCAGAGTGAAGAGGCAACCTACAGAATGGGAGAAAAAGTTTGCAATCTATCCATCTGACAAAGGGCTAATATCCAGAATCTACAAGGAATTTAAACAAATTTACAAGAAAAACAAACAACCCCATCAAAAGTGGGCAAAGGATATGAACAGACACTTTTCAAAAGAAGACATTCATGCAGCCAACAGACATATGAAAAAATGCTCATTATCACTGTTCATCAGAGAAACGCAAATCAAAACCACATTGAGATACCATCTCATGCCAGTTAGAATGGTGATCATTAATAAGTCAGGAAACAACAGATGCTGGAGAGGATGCGGAAAAATAGGAATGCTTTTATGCTGTTGGTGGGAATGTAAATTAGTTAAACCACTGTAGAAGACAGTGTGGCGATTCCTTAAGGATCTAGAACCAGAAATACCATTTGACCCAACAATCCCATTATTGGATATATACCCAAAGGATTATAAATCATTCTAGTATAAAGACACATGCACACGTATGTTTATTGCGGCACTATTTACAATAGCAAAGACTTGGAACCAACCCAAATGCCCATCAATGATAGACTGCATAAAGAAAATGAGGCACGTATACACCATGGAATACTATGCAGCCATAAAAAAGAATCAATTCATGTCCTTTGCAGGGACATGGATGAAGCTGGAAACCATCATTCTCAGCAAACTAACACAGAAGAGAAAACCAAACACTGCAGGTTCTCACTCATAAGTGGGAGTTGAACAATGAGAACATATGGGCACAGGGAGAGAAACATCACACACTGGGGCCTGTAGGGGGGTGTGGAACAAGGGAAGGGATAGCCTTAGGAGAAATACCTAATGTAGATGATGGGTTGATGGGTGCAGCACACCACCAGGGCATGTGTATACCTATGTAACAAATCTACACATTCTGCACGTGTATCCCAGAACTTAAAATGTAACAAAAAATAAAATAAATAAATAAATAAAATAAAAAAAGAAACAAACGCATCTTAAAACTCAATTCAATTAATATGGGCCTATCCAGAAGAAAGGCCCTAGAATCTCAATTTAAAACACATTTTTAAAATTATTTAGATCTGGTTTTGGTGTAGTGAGACTTTGTCTTCTGGAATAGAGTAAAGTAGATGTATCCAAAGTCTTAGCATTATAATGTTTTACTTAGGGTTCAGGTCCTTCCACAGTATTTCAGGTTTTATGTACAATATAACATAGTCTGCAAAACTGAACATAGAAATGTCGGTATATGCCGAAGTGTGTTACCCCAGGTTACACTATAGATTATAAGGGGTAAAGAGAACAGGAAAACTTTTCTTTAGTGTTTGGCCTGTATTGGTTTCACGTTGTCTTAGTGAATAAATCATTTGAGGAGGGAATTAATGAGGCTCCTCCTTTTATATAAATTAATTCTTCCAATAATTTATTGTTTCAGACAAGACAAATATCTCTTCCTGACTACCAAATTAATTGTTACTTCCATCCCCCCTTCCTCCTTTTCCTCTTTTATCATCTTGTTTTGTTTTTATGTGTGTATATATTAGACTATTATCAATGTCACTAGAAATGTTCAGTTGGAGGAAAAACACAGTGAATGGAGTTTTCAATATAAAAAGTTATTGGGTCAGTAAAGTATAAGGGACATACCTGACCTATGTATGGAATTAGGTAAGAGTGAACAGTTCATCTTCAAAATGGAAAAGAGAGTAAAAAATATGAACTTCCAAATGATTTTCATAAAGAAAGTTATTCAACCCAAGACACATAATTTTATAATTTTAAAATGTCTTCTTATTAATAAAAGTGTTCAAAGTGTTCTCTTTTTTATTAAAAATGATCAAACAGTACCTTCTGTGCAGTGTCAAATAATACAGCTGAGTCAGTGATCAAAAAAATTATGTTCAAAATATATTTTAAGCAGATCAGCAGGAGAAAGCTCAGATTCCTTTCAGAAATACCTCTAATAAAAAAGATGTAAAGATGATGATGAAAACAAGGTAGAAAAATGTGAAACAGGACTTTGTTGCTTCCTTTTAATTGTGATAAATTTTTTCCTTGGGAGAATGAGAATGGTCTTTCTGTTAGGTCATCCGTAGAAAACAAAGCAAGAAGTCATGCACCCTTAGGGAAGCTGAGACATGCCATTGCAAATCTATCATAATTCATATTCCACTTAGCATGGATTCCTAACAGGTATTTAGATGGGAACAGATTAATGCTGTGGAAGGTAGGCAGCTAGGAGGAATTTGGGAGCTCACTTTGAAAAAGACAAGAAGCTTATTCTTGGTTGTCACAAGATTTTCTGAAGCTTACAGGGTATCTTGAGAGGATTAATGTTAAGTTAAGGGAGATGCATTCCAACCAGTATTAACCAAATATCGCTCAGTATTTGATGCTGAGTTGACTTTTAGGTTATGCTTATTAAGACATATCTGTGTCTATACTTTTTCTCATGAAGTAAAATTTATCCATGTTACTCTACATTTTGTTAATTGTTTAAATTTTCCATTCAAATTTTGAAGTGCTTATTAAATATTTGACCACAACCTGGGAGAAACACTTTGCTTTCATTATTCACCTGCTCAAAAATATTCGGTATCTTAGCAGTATTTACAGTATGAAGTCATCCTCCATAACAAGGCATTCCAGTGTTACTATCATGTGTCTTTAGTTCCTAAACACTTTCTTCTGGGATTATATTCTTGGTCTCCAAGGGTTTGGGCTGAATTATTCCCATCCCCTCAAATTCGTATGTTAAAAGCCTGACACCCAATACCTCATAATGTGTCTGTATTTGGAATTGGAATCTATAAAGAGGTAATTAAGTTAAAATGGGGTCATTAGAGTAGACCCTAATCCAATATGTCCTTCTAAGAAGAGGAGATAAGGACAGAGAGGTATCTATGTGAGGACATACCAAGAAGGCAGCATTTCTACACCAAAGAGGCCTCAAAGGAATTGAGGCCTGCCAATACCTCAATTTTGAATTTCTGGCCTCCAGAATTAGTAGAAAATACATTTCTGTTGCTTAAACCTCTCAGTCTGTGGTATTACATTGTGAGATTTCTAGTAAACTAATGCAGCCAACTTTAGTTAAAGTTAATTAAAATTTTCCAAAAATATTTATCACTGATGGAATATTTATTGAACATTTACTAATGCCAAATATATTTTACTGTACACACATACAAAAAAAAAGAAAGGAGATTATTATTATCCTCATTTTAATGATATTAGCATTTTGCCCTAAATTATGTGGTCTGTTAACACTGGTTGTACCACCTGAATTTTGCTTATATCTTATAGTATTCTATCTTCCTAGTAGTGAATGTTTACACTCCTACCTACTTCAGCTTAATTTATTTTCAACAGCCATAGTTTTTAGTCTCCTGTTTCAGGGTTTTGCTCACTATACAAAATTTTCTATATCTGACATCTTCAATGTCAAAATTAAAGCAAACTTAAGAACAAAATCAGTACAATGGAAAGAGAACAGACCTGGATATAAATCTTCAATGTACCAATCAATAGTTGTGTGATGTGAATCCGCTTAACCTCTCTGGGCCTTGTACTTTCATTTGAGGAATGGAGTTACACCTAATCTGAGGGCTCTTCTGAGGTTTGATGTAAAGTCTGTGCACAGTACGTGATTTGTAACAGGCTCTTAATACATCAATTGGATAATAAATAGCCTTTAACATAAAATCTGTAGCTCTATCACAAGACTTTCTATTTTTGTATGATTCCATATGAATAGAATTTTAAGATTCTTTTTCAAAAATCTAATATTGCTAAGTCCTGACAATTAAAAATTTATTGTTTACATGGTAATATCAACTCCAGCAAAGCAAATGATACTTTGGATCAGTATTCTCAGCTAAGAATTGTTTTCTTCATTAGGTACTGCTGAACAGATAATCAATCATGAAATTATTGAGAGCAAGAGTTGCTGCTAACCCAAGCTGACAGGCAGCATAAGCCAAAGTAAAGAATTATTAAGAAAAAAATTCTACTCTTCATTATTACTTCATTTGTTGATTCATTCACTCGACAAGTAGCTAATGAATGACTAATGTGTGCAAAGCACTGAGATGATGCAGATGTTACAAAGATTCATCAAGGAAAGCATTAATAAAAAATATCAAAATGATAAATACAAGATAAAAAATGAAATTTTTTATTCTAAAATGACACAGAAAATCCAGAGTCTTGAGATTCCCCCCAGTGAAGAAATTATTTTTTTACTGACTTTATTAGGGCAGACAATATAGAGGATACATAATTTAAACTGAGTTATAAAAGATGCACCATCTTTAGACCTTAAGAAAACAGACTTGTGGGAGAAATAAAGCATGTTTTTAATGAAGATAGGGAAGCACTGGGCACATACGCAATAACTAAGTAAGTCTGGAGTTCTTTTTAGCAATAATGTAGCTTTCCTGATGATAAATAGTTGAAAATACACTTGGAAATCATGAGTGTCTTGCATACCAAATTAAGAAGCCTTAGTATATTCTGAAAAAATGGAGATTAATTATAGATTTTTTTTTTAGCAAGGGGGCATTACTCAATCAAAGCTGTGTGACATTTCTTTAAATAACTCATTATCCAATGCACTTCAGCAAGGGTCAAGGCTTGCCTCACATATGAGCTACAAATCAATATCTTTCTGGCTCTGCACTCAATTTTGGTAAATGCAGACCCTTTAAAATTCCCCTAGAATGGAAGCTTTAATCTTTTACCTATGGGGAGTCTTTAGGAGTTCCATGAACTAGGCATAGCCCAGAAGAAAATATAGGCCTTATGCACACAGAGGCACACACATTCATGAATACACTCACACACAGGCACACACACCCTTTTTTCATTACCTTTCTGTCATATTGTAAACTGTTTTTGTTTACAGAGAAAATGTTATATTAATTGTATTTTATAATTACATTAAAACTAACATAAAATGCTTTATTAATGTTATGTTACATTAATGCTATTATGTCTTTGCTGTAAATGGCATAGAATACAACTGAGCATACATGTATGTGAGTATAATCATTTTCAAGTTTCTGCTTGATATAAATAAATAAAACACATACTTCTCCGCTGTTTTTTATATCAGACATCATTTAAGTTGGGAACTGTCAAAGAAAATATAGTAAAATGAAGCTGAAATTACTTTAGATTTTAATTTCATTTAAAAATCTGATTGATCATCAAACGGCAATATTTATAGCATGACAAACTTTGTACGCCAATAGTAATCTAAAGCCCTGGAGGCTGAAAAACTCGTCAGGTGTGTTCAACCTGACAATATGTCACACACATTGATATGTCTCAAGAGAAAATGGCTTGATTTAAAGAGGCTGGAAACTAAGGCTACTCTGAATCAAAACCTTCCTTGAAAGCATCCTACACAGGGTTAGGTATTGCATTTCCAATTATGAAACAAATCTGCTCCGAATTGTGGAGACTTTGATACAATCATGAAATAGAAATAGATAAGCTTTTTTTGTAGTTTTTTTGCCCAGAAAGAAAAGATGCAGTGTGTGTGACAAATGACACCAGTCATTTGTTTTCTAATACATAAGAGATCACTAAAGAATCCGTGATTCAGCATCAACAGAGAATCTGAGAGTATATTAATGAAAGTCACTGAATAATTAGCAAAGAATCAGCATGCAGCAACATGAAACTACTGAAATCTCTTTGTGTAGCCAACACGTAGATTTCACCTCTTAAACTGGGATGACCACTGAGAATTCCTGTTTGGAGAGCTCATTTAAAATCGTCAACATCTCCTGAAAATCCTTTGCTACTAAAATGTGTAACTGAAAAGATATTTTTGATCCTCTTTTCAGAAATGAAGCACCTGCAATTCTTGCTAACACTGTTTTGCTGTTTGGGCAAAGAAGAATAGGTAAATGAGTCCTGTTTCATAGAACAGTTGTCAAATCTCAGCCAAAGATTCTGCAAGAGAGCTTGGACTTTTGCTGTGAGACGTTAACTTCAATGGAGCTGCTGATCTCTCCTCTCTAAAGTGATCCAGGCAAGAATTAAAAGCAGAGGCCGGGCAGGGTGGCTCACGCCTGTAATCCCAGCACTTTGGGAGGCCGAGGCGGGCGGATCACGAGGTCAGGAGATTGAGGCCATCCTGGCTAACACGGTGAAACCCCGTCTCTATTAAAAAATATAAAAAATTAGCCAGGCGTGGTGGCGGGCGCCTGTAGTCCCAGCTACTCGGGAGGCTGAGGCAGGAGAATGGCGTGAACCTGGGAGGCAGAGCTTGCAGTGAGCCAAGATTGTGCCACTGCACTCCGGCCTGGGCGGCAGAGCGAGACTCCATCTCAAAAAAAAAAAAAAAAAAAAAAAAAAAGGCAGAAGATGAGATTGCTTACCTGTGACAAAGAATGTTTTCACCTCTCAGTAAATAATTACTAAAGTATTTGAATTAACTTCAGACAGGTGTTTGATTATATTTTTGAATAAATAGGGAAGTCTACCTCAAAATAATTTGATAAGAAGCAGTTCATCCAAGGCTTTCTCTATTAAATAAAAATGTTTGGTCATACAATGAAGTTTATCTTGTCTGCTTGATCTCTCTGAGAGGAGTACGTTAAAATGACCAGTTACAATTTTTCATTAATCCATTGATCTCATGGTTCCGTCAAGAGTTGCTTAATACATTTTAAATAAGTTTATACATATTTATGATAAATATAACATTTCATCCATTTTTCCTTTACAAAATACAATTTTTTCTTTGATCCTATTTTTTCTTAGGCCGTAAATTCTATTGTGAAATCATAAAGGTTGTTACCTCTATTATTATAATGATTTGTATTTAAATGTTATTATGTTTCAAACCTTTTCTTAGGTATATTTTTATTTAAGAGAGAATCTTTAAAAATTATATTATTTTTAAAATTAAAAGTATCTTTCTAAATGATAAATTAAGCAAATAGACACATTTGAATTTACTCTTATGTTAGAACTCATACCCAAGTCATCTTAATTGAATATTTTAATTTGTACTTTCCATTCATTTTTTTCCATTTATGAGGCCCTTGGATGGAATGATTTATCTTCTAATTGTTTCAAAGTTGTACATGTGTTCCACATTTTTTGCAAACGCTGTTCATTGTTCTTTATTATATTTTCTTCTTCTTTGTCAGATTGAATAATCTCCAATGATCTCTTCAACTTTGCTAATTCTTTCTTCCGATAACTGCTAACATCGACTGTTGAGTACTTCCAGTGAATTTTAAAAATTTCTGTTAGTTGTCTTTTCAATTGCAGAATTTTGATTTTTTAGAATTTCTGTGTCTTTATTGATATTCTGTATTTGAAGACATATTGTCATCGTATCTTTCATTGATACTTTAACATTGTTTCCCATGCTTAAACTAGAATCTGGAAGAAGAGGTAGCCAGTATTTTTGGCCCCAGAACACTTGAGCTAGAGATTACATAGCATGGAGGTGGAGGAAGAGTTTTAAAAGAGCAATTTATCATTTTAATATCATAGACTCTCTCTGTGTTTACCAATATTTAGTAGATTTTCTTGAATTAATATTTTCCATTTCTTGTGTTTCCTATATTCCATATTTTTATTTCTTCCTCATTCCTGTCCTTAGGACAATTTCCAGAGACTTTAAATGAATTATTTTTATAATTTTCATCAGTTAAGTTATTTTGCAAAGAAAATGGTCCACCAAACTTCTTATGCTGTAATTCTGCAGTCCTGCTCTACCATATGCCTCTGATGAATATTTGAATTTGCATAGCATACTCAGGAGATGTTAAGCAGTTTGCTGTAACTTGTATGTAGGGTCACTGAGGTAGGGGCAAAGAGATGATATTGAAAAATATGATAGTGCTATATGGTAGTGTACCGACATGGTTTGACTCTGTATGCCCACCCAAATCTCATCTCCATTTATAATTACCATAATCCCCACACATGAAGGGAGGGTCCAGAGAGGAGGTGACTGAATCATGGAGGTGGTGCCCCCGTGCTGTTCTTGTGATAGTGAGTGAGTTCTCAGGAGTTCTGATGGTTTTATAAGGCAGTTTTCCCTGATCTTGCTAAAACTCCCTCTTGCCTGCCACCATGTAAGATGTGCCTTTGCTTCTCCTTCGCCTTCTGCCATGATTGTAAGTTTCATGAGGCCTCTCCAGCCATGCAGAAGTGTGAGTAAATTAAATCATTTTCCTTTATAAATTATCCAGTCTCAGGTAGTATATTTACAGCAGTGTGAGAAGAAACTAATACAGTAAATTGGTACCACACGGGGTGGGGTACTGCTATGAAGGTATTTGAAAATGTGGAAGTGACTTTGCAACTTGGTAACAGGCGGAGGTTGGAACAGTTTGGAAGGCTCAGAAAAAGATAGGAAGATGTAGGAAAGTTTGGAACTTCCTAGTGACTTGTTGAATGGTTTTGACCAAAATGCTGTTAGTGATATGTACAATGAAGTCCAGGCTGAGGTGGTCTCAGGTGGAGATGAGGAACTTGGGAACTTAAGCAAAGGTCACTGTTGCTATACTTTAGCAAAGAGACTGACAATATTTTGCCCCAGCCCTAGAGATCTGTGGAACTGAGAGGAGGGGCCAGCTGGGCTTCCTGGGTCAAGTAGGGGCTCAAAAAGCTGTGAAACTCACTCATTTCCTGAATCAGGACTTACTTCGGTCCTGGATGGATAATATTGAAGATCTATGCTTAAACTATTCCTAACACCAGGATTTATGCATGTGTTTTCTTCCCCAAGAAAGCTATAAACAGTGAAAATTTTGCTGTTAAGTTTCCCTGTGTCCTCTCTCCCTCTCTCCCTTCCCCTTTCCCCGAAACTAAAGTAAAAGGAATGTTAACTGCCCGATTTGCTGTGACCAGCGGACCTTATCTATGCTCCCAATTCCAATTCCTTGTAAACATACTTTGTAAAGTCCTATGAGATCCTGTCTCCTTTGCCATGCCACTGCAAGGTCATAAGATAGATAAAACCTAAGTTGCAATTCCGGTTTTCCTCAAGATCTAACACATGTCACAAATGGTTAATTGTCTTTGTTTCTCGCTCTGGTAACATCTTCCCACCACACGTATTTCCTGCCTTAAAGAGTTTAAAAGGCATGTATAATCTATCTCCGGCTACCCGTTCAGGACCCCTTCCATACTGTGGAAGCTTTGTACTGTCACTCTTCTCAACAAAGCCTACAGCTTTTTCTCTCTCTCGGTCCGTGTCTCCATCACTCGCCGTGGTCTGCTGCCACGCCAATTCTTTGGCGTGGCTAGGCAAGAACCTTAAGCATTACAGAACTTTGAACTTGAGACAGATGATCTGAAATTTGAACTCATGTTTAAAAGGGAAGCAGAAGTTAGGTGTGGTGGCTCACACCTATAATGCCAGCACTTTGGGAGGCCGAGGCAGGGGGAACACTTAAGTTTAGGAGTTTGAGACCAGACTGGCCAATATGGTGAAACCCCATCTCTACTAAAAACACAAAAATTAGCTGGGCATGGTGGTGCAAGCCTATAATCCCAGCTACTGGGGAGGCTGAGGCAGGAGAATTTCTTGAACCTGGGCGGTGGAGATTGCAGTGAGCCAAGATCATGCCACTGTGCTCCAGCCTGGGTGACAGAGTGAGATTCTGTCTCAAAAAGAAATAAATAGGAAGCAGAGCATAAAAGTTTGGAAAATCTGCATCCTGACAATGTGATGGAAAACAATAACCCACTTTCTGAGGAAAAATTCAAGCTGGCTGCTGAAATTTGCATAAGCAACAAGGAGCCAAATACTAATCACCAAGACAATGGAAAAAAATGTATCCAGGGTATGTCAGAGGTCTTCCTGGCAGCCCATCTTAGCATAGGCCCAAAGGCCTAAGTTGGAAAATGGTTTCCTGAGCAGGGCCCAGGGCCTTGAGGCTTTGTGCAGTCTCCAGACTTGATGCCCTGCTTCCCAGCTGTGGCTAAAAGGGGCCAAGGTACAGCTCAGGTCACCACATCAGAAGGTGCAAACCCCAAGCCTTGGCAGCTTCCATGTGGTGTTGGGCCTTCAGGTGCACAGAAGTCACAAATTGAGGGTTTGAAACCTCCACCTAGATTTCAGAGGATGTATGGAAATGACTGGATGTCCAGGCAGTAGTCTTCTGCAGGAGTGAAGTCCTCATGGAGAACCACTGCTAGGGCAGTATGAAAGGAAAATGTGGGGTTGGAGTCCACACTCAGAGTCCCCACTGGGCACTCCCTAGCAGAGCTGTGAGAAGAGGGCCACAGACCTCCTGACCCCAGAATGGTAGATCCACAGACAACTTGTACCAGGCTCCTGGAAAAGCCACAGACCCTCAGTGAGAGCCATAAAAGCAGCTGGGGCAGGGAGCTGTACAAAGCCAGAGAAGCAGAGCTACCCAAGACCACGGGGGCCCACCCTTTGTATCAGCATGCCCCAGATGTGAGACATGGAGTCAAAGGAGATCATTTTGGAGCTTTAAGCTTTAATGACTGCTCTGCTGGATTTCAGACTTGCATGGGGCTTGTAGCCCCTTCATTTTGGCCAATTTCTCCCATCTGGAATGGGAGCATTTATCCAATACTTGTAACCCCATTGTATCTTGGAAGTAACTAACTTGCTTTTGATTTTACAGGCTCCTAGGCAGAAGGGACTTGCCTTGTCTCACATGAAACTTTGGACTTTGACTTTTAAGTTAATGCTGAAATGAGTTAAGACTTTGGGGGACTGTTGGCATGATTGGTTTTTGAATGTGAGAACATGAGATTTGAGAGGGGTCAGGGGCAGGATTATATGGTTTGGCTCTGTGTTCCCACCCAAATCTCTGTTTGGATTGTAATTCCCATAATCCCCACGTGTTGGGGGAGGATCCAGGTGGGAGATGATTGGGTCTTGGGAGTGGTGTCCCCATGCTGTTCTTGTGAGAGTGAGTTCTCAGGAAATTTGATGATTTAATAAGACAATTTTCCCTGCTCTTGCTGAAACTCCCTCTCTTGCCTGCTGCCATGTAAGATGTGCCTTTGCTTCTCCTTCATCTTCTGCTATGATTATAAGTTTACTGAGGCCTCCCCAGCCATGCAGAACTGTGAGTCAATTAAACCCCTTTTCTTTATAAATTATCCAGTCTCAGGTAGTATGTTTATAGGTTTATAGCAGTGTGACCCCAGATGAATACAAGGACCTTGAACTTGAACTAAGGATTTAGAGTTTATCCCACAAATAAAAGAAAGCCATCCAAATGTTTAAATAAAAGAGTGATACATCAGATGTGTGTTATGTTAAGGAAATATACATAATTAAAAACAAAATCTCCTGCCAACCTTGAAAACTTCTCTAAATATAGAAGAGAAAGAAAATAGTTTTATTGTTGAATACATATTAAAGCACAATGTGATGCATACCACAGACAATCTGATAAAGAGATTATAAAGACAGATTTTTCATCCCCTTCATAGTTAAGCAGATACAACCCACTGCATACACATTCTCAAAATAAATAATAACTAGTACTCAAGTAAGAGGACTTGACAGCATTATCTGTCTCATATAGTAGTTAATCTTAATTCACCTGGTAATTAAGTTGCCATCTATGTTAGCTAATTGGCTTTGTCCAAAGGAAAACAAGAATTTCTCATATCTTTATGACAGGAGGAAGACTTGCAACTTGAAGCTAGGCACCAGCTGAAGTCAGTCAGCTGAAGAATTTCCCATCTTCTTACAGGAAATAGAGACTAGAGAACTATCTTCTTTAGCGATTGCATTTCACAGAAATGGCCCTTGAGAAAAGCATTTATGGCTTTTAAAGCTGGAAAAATGGATATTTAGCTTCTAAAAAGATTTGCAAACACCTGAAAGTAATAGAAAAAAAATTACAATTAAAAGTTTTCTAAAGGAAATGCTCATAAAAAATGATGAGTTCATGTCCTTTGTAGGGACATGGATGAACTTGGAAACCATCATTCTCAGTAAACTATCGCAAGAACAAAAAACCAAACACCACATATTCTCACTCATAGGTGGGAATTGAACAATGAGATCACATGGACACAGGAAGGGGAATATCACACTCTGGGGACTGTGGTGGGGTGGGGGGAGGGGGGAGGGATAGCATTGGGAGATATACCTAATGCTAGATGACGACTTAGTGGGTGCAGCGCACCAGCATGGCACATGTATACATATGTAACTAACCTGCACAATGTGCACATGTACCCTAAAACTTAAAGTATAATAAAAATAAATAAATGAAAAAATAAATAAAAAAGATGTTTATCCTTGTTTACAGCAAAAAAAAAAAAAAGACACAGAGAAAGATCTCTTTCTCTTTTTATTCTAGAGAAAATTCACGTTCTTTCTTCCTTTCAATGTTTATTGACCCTTAAAGTTACAACATAATTTGGTCCACATGTGAAAGCTTATAAAATCTGTTTATTATTCAGGGATCTTGGAAAAACAGTTACATAAAACTTTCATTATACACAATAACTGAAACGAAATGATACTGTATCTGTGTAATAGCTTCTTTTACTTGCCCTAATATTTTAAATGAGACAGGGTCTTGCTTTGTTGCCCAGACTGGAGAGCAGTGGTGTGATCATAGCTCACTGCAGCTTTGAACTCCTACATTCATGTGATCCTCCTAACTCAGCCTCCTAAGAGCACTAGGACTACAAGCACTTGCCACCATACCCAGCTAGTTTTTAAAAATTTTTTTAGAGGCAACGTCTCGCAATTTTGCCTAGTGTGCTCTCAAACTCTTGGCCTCAAGCAATTCTCACATCTTTCTCCCTTGGCCTTCCAAAATACTGGAATTACAGGTGTAAGACACTGCAACTGACCTTACTGGCCCTATTTTTCAAAAATAGTTTTATAAATACATAATATTTATAAAGGTTTATGGAGTCCATCTAATATTTTGATACATGCATTCAATAGGTAATGATCAAGTCAGTATCTTTAGTATACCCATCAACTCAAACATTTATCATTCCATGTTGGAAACATTACAGCTTTTCTCTTCTGGCTATTTTGAAATATGCAATAAATTATTAGCTATAATTTCACTACTGTATTATCAAATGCTAGAACTTATTCCATCTATCTAACTGTATTTTTGTACCTATTAACCGATTTCTTTTCATAGACTCCTGCACCCTTCAGTTTTACAGCCTCTGGTAACCACCATTCTATTCCACTTCCATGAGATCAAATTTTTTAGCTTCCACATATCAGAGAGAACACATAATATTTGTCTTTCTGTGCTTGGCTTTATTTCATTTAAGATAATGACCTCTGGTTCCATCCTGTTGCCGCAAATGATGGAATTTCACTCTTTTTTATGGCTGAATAGTTTTCCACTCTGCGTGTGTGTGTGTGTGTGTGTGTGTGTGTATCACATTTTTAATCAATTTATCTGTCGATGGACACTTAGGTTGACTCCATATCTTAGCTATTGTGAACTGCAATAAATATGGAAGTGTAGGAATCTCTTTGATATATTAATTTCCTTTACATTTCGCTAAATACCCAGAAGTAGGAGTGCTGGATCATATAGTATCTCTATTTTTAGTTTTTTAAGAAACCTCTGGCTGGGTGCAGTGGCTCACACTTGTAATCCCAGCACTTTGGGAGTCCAAGGTGGGCTGATCACCTGAAGTCAGAAGTTTGAGACCAGCCTGGCCAACATGGTGAAACCCCATCTCTACTAAAAATGCAAAACATTATCCGGGCATGGTGGCGCACGCCTGTAGTCCCAGCTACTTGGGAGGCTGAGACACAAGAATCACTTGAACCCAGGAGGCAGAGGTTGTAGTGAGCTGACATTGTGCCACTGCCCTCCAGCCAGGGTGACAGAGTGAGACTCCATCTCAAAAAAAAAAAAAAAAAAAAGAAGAGAAAATAAAAGAAAAGAGAAATCTCCATACTGTTTTCTATAATGGCTATACTAATTTATGTTACTACTAAGAATATATAATAACCCCCTTTGCTCCACATTCTAATCAACATTTGTTTTTGTTTTTTGTTTTTGTCATTTTGATAATACCCATTCTAACTGGGATAAGATGATATCTCATTGTGGTTTTGCTTTGCGTTTTTTCTGATGATTAATTATGTTGAGCATTTCTTCATATACCTGTTGGCCATTTGTATATCTTCTTTTGAGAAATGTCTATTCAGATTATTTGCCCATTTTTAATAAGATTATTTGTTGCTTTTGCTGTGCAGTTGTTTGCGTTTCTTATAGATTCTGGATATTAGTCCCTTGTTGGATTGAATAGCTTGCAATATTTTCTTTCATTCTAAAGGTTGTGTCTCCACCCTGTTTATTATTTCCTTTGATGTGCAAAAGCATTTTGGTTTCATATAGTCCCGTTTGCATCTTTTTGTTTTGGCTGCTTTTGAGGTTCTAGTTGTATAATCTTTGCCTATATCAATGTCCTGAAGTTTTTCCCCCTGTGTTTTTCTTTTCTAGTAGTTTTATAGTTTTGGGTCATATATTTAAGTCTTTAATCCATTTTGAGTTGATTTTTTAATATGGTGACAGACTGGAGTCTAGTTTTATTCTTCTGCATATAGATATCTAGTTTTCTCAGCATTGTTTATTGAAGGGGGTATCCGTTTCTCAATCTATGTTCTTGGTACCTTTGTAAAATATCAATTGGCTGTAAATACAGTTATTTATATGTAGGCTTTCTATTCTGTTTCACTAGTTTATGTGTTTTTATCCCAAACCATGTTTTGTTTTTTGTTTGTTTGTTTGTTTACTATACCTTTGTAGTATATTTTGAAGTCAAGTAGCTTACTTCTTCTAGCTTTATTCTTTTTGCTCAGAATTTTTTTGCTATTCATGTCTTTTGTGATTCCATACACATTTAAGACTGTTTTTTTTTCTACTTCTGTGAACAATGTCATTGGTATTTTGTTAGGGATTTTATTGAATCTGTAGGTTTCTGTGGATAATATGATCATTTCAACAATATTAATTCTCGAGTCCATGAGCATAGGATGTGTTTCCATTTGTTTGTGTTTTCAGTTTCTTTCATCAGTGTCTTATCGTTTTCCTTGTGGAGATCTTTCATCCCCTTGGTTTTATTTATTTCTAAGTATTTTGTTTATTTGTATCTATGATAAATGGAATTGCTTTCTTGGTTTCCTTGTTAGCTATTTTATTATTAATGTATAGAAATCATAGTGATTTTTATAGGTTAATTGTCTATCCTGCAACTTTACTGAATTTGTTTACCAATTCTAATAGTTTTCAGTGGATTCTTCTAGTTTTTCAAAATATAAGATCATGTCATATGCAAAGAGGGACAATTTGACTTTCTCTTTCCTAACTTGGTTGCCTTTTCTTTCTTTCTCTTACCATATTGTTCTGGCTAGGACTTTCAGCATTATATTGAATAAGAGTAGTAACACTGGGCATCCTTGTCTTGTTCCAGTTCTTAGAGAAAAGGTTTTCAGATTTTCCCCATTTATTATGATGTTAGCTGTGGATTTGTCATACATGGCCTTTGTTGTATTGAGGTATGTTACTCCTATGCCTAATTTGTGAAGAGTTTTTATTATGAAACATTGTTGAATTTTATCAAATACTTTTTCTGCATCTATTGAGATGGTCAATATGGTTTTGTCCTTCATTCTGTTGATATGATGCATCACATCTATTAATTCGCATATATCAAACTATCCTTGCATCCCTAGGACAAATCTCATTTGATTTTGGTGTATTATCTTTTTGATGTGTTGTTAGATTCTGTTTGCTAGTATTTTGTTGAGGAATTTTGTGCCTATGTTCATCAGGGATATGTGCCTGTAGTCTTTTATTGTGTGTCCTTGTCTGGTCTTAGTGTCCAGGTATGTCTTGCTCATAGAATGATTTAGAAAGGATTCCTTCCTCTTTAATATTTTAGAATAGTTTAAGAAGAATTAGTGTTAGTTTTTCCTTATAATTTTGGTAAAATTCAGCAGTAAAGCCAGTTTACTGAGCTTTTCTTTGTTGGGAGATTTTTTATTACTGGTTCAATCTTATTACTCATTGTTCTGTTTATGTTCCCTCTTTCTTCCTTGTTCAATCTTGGTAAGTTGCATAAGTCCAGGAATTTATCCATTTTCTCCAGGTTTTCCAACATGTTTAAGCATAGCTTTTCATAACAGTCTCTGACAGTTGTTTATATTTTTGTGGTATTGGTTGTAATATTTCCCTTTTTATTTCTCATTTTGTTTATTTTGGTCATTCTTTTATTCTTTGTTTTATCTAGGTAGCAGTTTACCAATTTTATCTTTTCAAAAAATGTTTTTGTTTAATTCATCCTTTGTATTTTTATTTTTAGTGTCCACTTTGTTTAGTTCTGCTCTAATATTCGTTATTTCTTTTTCCTATAAATTGGGGGTTAGATTTGTTCTTATTTTGGTAGTTTCTTGAGGTACATAGATTATTTTAAATTTTTCTACTTTTTTGATGTAGGCATTTATTATTATAAAATTCTACCTTAACATTGCTTTTGCTATATCCTAAAGGTTTTAGTACATTGTGTTTCTGTTTTCATTTGTTTAAAAATTAACTTCTTTCTTCTTCTCCAAGAAAACACCAAATGGTGGATGACGCTGGTGCAGCGGGGGAGTGGGGGGCCAGAGGCCCTGGTGGCCCTGGGATGGGGAACCACGGTGGCTTCGGTGGAGGTTTCGGCAGTGGCATCCAGGGCCAGGGTAGCGGCCATGGATGGGGCCAGGGCCGAGGCCGTGGAGCTCATGGAGGCAAAGCTGAGGATAAGGAGTGGATGCCCGTCACCAAGCTGGGCCACTTGGTCAAGGACATGAAGATCAAGTCCCTGGAGGAGATCTATCTCTTCTCCCTGCCCATAAAGGAATCAGAGATCATTGACTTATTGACTTTTTCCTGGGGGCCTCTCTCAAGGATGAGGTTTTGAAGATTATGCCGGTGCAGAAGCAGTCCCCTGCCTGCCAGGGCACCAGGTTCAAGGCGTTTGTTGCTGTCGGGGACTACAATGGCCACTTCTGTCTGGATGTTAAGTGCTCCAAGGAGGTGGCCACCGCCATCCGTGGGGCCACCATCCTGGCCAAGCTCTCCATTGTCCCCGTGCGCAGAGCCTACTGGGGGAACAAGATCAGCAAGCCCCACACCGTCCCTTGCAAGGTTACAGGCCGCTGCAGCTCTGTGCTGCTGCACCTCATCCCTGCACCCAGGGGCACTGGCATCGTCTCCACACCTGTGTCCAAGAAGCTGCTTATGATGGCTGGTATCAATGACTGCTATACCTCAGCCCGAGGCTGCACTGCCACCCTGGGCAACTTCGCCAAGGCCACCTTTGATGCCATTTCTAAGACCTACAGCTACCTGGCCCCCGACCTCTGGAAGGAGACCTGTATTTACCAAGTCTCCCTATCAGGAATTCACTGACCACCTCCTCAAGACCCACACCAGAGTCTCCGTACAGCGGACCCAGGCTCCAGCTGTGGCTACAACATAGGGTTTTTATACAAGAAAAGTAAAGTGAATTAAGCCTGTAAAAAAAAGAATTAACTTCTTCATTGAGCTAGTGGTTGTTCAGGAGCATGTTTTATTTCCATCTATTTGTACAGTTTCCAAAGTTCTTTTTATTATTTATTTCTAGTTTTATTTTAAAAAAAATTGTTGAAACCTGTTTTGTGTCCCAATTTATAGTCTATCCTGGAGAAGGTTCCATGTGTTGATGCAAAGAATGTATTTCTGCAGGTGCTGTGTAAAGTATTCTGTAAATGTCTGTTAGGTCCATTTGGTTTAAAGAGCAGTTTAAATCCACTGTTTCTTTGTTGCTTTTCTGTCTAGATGATCTGTCCAATGCTAAGAGTAGGATATTGAAGTCTCCAAATATTAATAATGTATTTGAATCCAATTGCTTTATATACCTGGGTGCATTGGTGTTGGGTTCATATATATTCAGAATTGCTACATCCTCTTGTTGAATTGTTTCTTTTATCATTATATAATGACATTGTTTGTCTATTTTTACTGTTTTTGACTTAAAGTCTGTTTTATCTGATATAAGTATAGCTACACCTGCTTGCTTTTGGTTTCCATTTATGTGGAATATCTTTTGCTGACTTAATGTTACAAAGACCCAGCACAATGCACTGGAAGAATGAAATACATAAAGCAAATCGGGTTTCCTAAGCATTTTTTTTTTTTTTTTGAGACAGAGTTTCACTCTGTTGCCCAGGCTGGAGTGCAGTGTCATGATCTTTGTTCACTGCTAGCTCTGTCTCCCGGGTTCACAACATTCTCCTCCCTCAGTCTCCCGAGTAGCTGGGACTACAGGCGCCCGCCACCACGCCCGGCTAATTTTTTGTATTTTTAGTGGAGACAGGGTTTCACCGTGTTAGCCAGGATGGTCTCAATCTCCTGATGTTGTGATCCACTGGCCTCGGCCTCCCAAACTGCTGGGATTACAGACGTGAGCCACCACTCCCGGCCTCCTCTGCATTTTATGGAAGCAACAGTCACTATCTGCCACAGTTCCATGTCTTTTAATTCTAATTAACTCAAAAATAAAATACTTCTCATAGTTCTTTTAATATAGCTTTTCTTTCATGAATTATATTTAATATTCTGTATTAAAAATAGACTTCAATATCATATCCTTATAACAAACCTATAGCTATCATCAGTACACTTTTAAAATAATTCTCAAATGTGTTTTGCCACACAGAATGCAAAATATTCACTCGCTTTTGATAGAATATTATAGTTTATACTGTCCACATAGACATCCACCTCATTCCTAAAATAATACAATTGGTCATCAGGACAAATAGAATAATATATATTATTCTGATAAGGATTTTGAAACAAAGAGAGTTTGAGCAACTTCCTCAAAGTAAGGACACAGCTGAGATTCAAATTCAGCACTCCTGATACCCAATTTCTAGGATTTTCCACTGTACCATATGTATTAGTTCGTTCTCATGTGCTATAAAGAACTGCCCAAGACTGGGTAATTTATAAAGGAAAGAAGTTTAATTGACTCACAGTTCTGGAGGGCTGGGAAGGCCTCAGGATACTTACAACCATGGCAGACAGGTGAGAAAACATGCGCTTCTTCACATTGCAGCAGTAAAGAGAAGTGCTGGCCGAGGAAATGCCAGACACTTATAAAACTATCAGATCTTGTGAGAACTTACTATTATGACAGCAGCATAAGAGAAACCACCCCCATGATTCAATTACCTCCCAGTGGATCCCTCCTATGGCATGTGGGGATTATGGAGACTATAATTCAAAAGCAGATTTGGGTGGGGACACAGTCAAACGATATCATTTTACCACTGGCCCCTCCCAAATCTCATGTCTTCACTTTTAGAAGCACAATCATGCTTTCTCCACAGTCCCCCAAATCCTTAACTCATTTCAGCATTAACTCAAAAGTGTACTGTCCAAAGTATCATCTCCAACAAGGCAAGTCCCTTCTTCCTGGGAGCATGTAAAATCAACAGCAAGCTAGTTACTACTCAGATACAGTGGGGGTTGTATTAGTTTGTTCTCATGCTGCTAATAAAAACATACCAGAGTGATATGGTTTGGTTTTGTCCCCATCCAAATCTTTTCTTGAATTGTAGCTTACATAATTTCTTCATGTTGTGAGAGGAACCCAGTGGGAGATAATTGAATCATGGGGATGGTTTTCTCCATACTGTTCTTGTGGTGGAGAATGAGACTCACAAAATCTGATGGTTTTATAAGGGGAAAACCTCTATGCTTGGCTCTCATTCTCTTCTCTTATCCGTGTGCCTTTCACCTTCCACCATGATGGTGAGGCATTCCCAGCCACATGGAACTGTGAATCCATTAAACCTTCTTCTTTGGTAAATTTCCCAGTCTCAGGTATGTCTTTATCAGCAGCGTAAAAATGAACTAATACACAAAGATTAGGCACTTTTTAAAGAAAAAGAGGTTTAATTGACTTACACTTGAACATGGCTGAGGTGATCTCACCATCGTAGCAGAAGCCCAAGAAGGAAAAAAGACATATCTTACTTGGCAGTGGAAAGGAGAAGTGTTGAGTAAATGGGGAAAAAGCCTCTTATAAAACCATCAGATCTCATGAGAACACACTCATTATCATGAGGACAGCATGGAGGTAACCACCCCAAGACCCATGATAAAATTACCTCCCCCATGTTCCTCCCATAATGTGAGGATTAAGGGAACTATAGTACAAGATGAGATTTGGATGGGAACACAGCCATGCCATATCAGGGGTTCAGGCATTAGGTAAATACACCAATTACAAATGAGAGAAATTGGCCAAAACAAAGGGGCTACAGGCCCCTTGCACATCTGAAATACAAGAGGGCAGTCATTAAACCTTAAAGTTCCAAAATGGTTTCCTTTGACTCCTTGTCTCACATCCGGGTCACATTGATGCAAGAGGTGGGCTCCAATGTCCTTGAACAGCTCTGCCCCTGTGGCGTTGCAGGGCATAAGCCCCCTCCTTGCTGCTTTCAGAGCTAGTGTGTGTCTGCAGCTTTTCCAGGAACATGGTGCAAGCTGTCAGTGGATCTACCATTCTCGGGTCTGGAAGACAGTGGTCCTCTTCTCACAGCTCCACTAGGTAGTGCCCTAGTGGGGACTTTGTGTAGGAGCTCCAAGCTCACATTTTCCTTCTGCACTGCCTGAGCACAGATTCTCCATGAGGGCTTCACCCCTGCAGCAAAATTCTGTCTGGACATCCAGGCATTTCCATACATCCTCTGAAATCTAGGCAAAGGTTCTGAAACCTCAATTCTTGTCTTCTATGCACCTGCATGCACAACACCATGTAAAAGCTGCCAAGGCTTGTGGCTTGCACCCTCTGAAGCAATAGCCTGAGCTTTGCTTTGGCCCCTTTTATCAACTGCTGGAGTGGCTGGGAAGCAGGGCATCAAGTCCTGAGGCTGCACACAGCAGGGGGTCCCTGGACATGACCCACGAAATCATTTTTCCCTCCTAGGCTTCTGGGCCTGTGATGGGAGAGGCTGCTGTGAAGGTCTCTGTCATGCCTTTAAGACACTTTCCCCATTCTCCTGGTGATTAGCATTTGGCTTCTGGCTACTTATGCAAATTTCTGCAGAAGGCTTTAATTTCTACCCAGAAAATGGGTTTCTCTTTTCTATTGCATTATCAGGCTGCAAATATTTGAAGCTTTTATGCTCTGCTTTGTCTCAAACACTTTGCCACTTGAAATTTCTTCCAGTAGATACCCTAAATCATCTCTCTCAAGTTCAAAGTTCCACAGATCTCTAAGGCTGGGGCAATTTGCAGCCAGTATATCTGATAAAGCATAGCAAGTGTCACCTTTGCTCCAGTTCCCAAGAAGTTCTCATCTCCATCTGAGACTACCTTAGCCTGGACTTCATTGTCCATATCACTATCAGCATTTTGGTCAAAGCCATTTAACAAATATCTAGGAAGTCCCAAACTTTCCCACATCTTCCTGTCTTCTGAGCCCTTCAAGTCTCTGGGAAGTTCCATACTTTTCTACGTTTTCTTGTCTTCTTCTGAGCGCCCCCTCCCCACAAACTGTTCCAACATCTGCCTGTTACCCATTTCCTTAGTCGCTTCCACATTTTCCAGTATCCTTATAGCAGCACCCTACTCTCTATGGTACCAATTTATTGTATTAGTTCATTCCCATACTGCTATAAAGAACTGTCTGAGACTTGGTAATTTATAAAGGAAACAGGTTTAGTTGACTCACAGTTCTGCAGGGTTCAGAAGGCCTCAGGAAACTTGCAATTATGGTGGAAGGGGGAGCAAACGTCCTTCTTCACATGGTGGCAGGAAGGAGAAGTGCCAGCAGGGGAAATACAGATGCTTATAAAACCATTAGATCTTGTGAGAACTTACTATCATGAGAGAAGCACGGGAGTAACCACCCCGATGATTCAATTACCTCCCACTTGGTCCCTCCCATGACACAGGGGGATATAGAAGACTACAATTCAAGATAAGATTTGCGTGGGGAAACAGCAAAACCATATCACCATACTAACAAGATTCTGAAAATTGAACATTTCAGTATAAAAAGCACAACGTAGCTTAACGTATATTGTTATAAATTCAGACTAAAATATCTGTAACAAGATAAAAGTTCACCATGCAAACACACAATTTTTATTTACAATCATTGCTATTATATAGATTAACATGAAGAGGATGCAGAGATTCACCATAAAGTAACAAACAATTGTCCAATGTTTTACTTTATTATGGTGTCTGAAATAAAATAGCTAGATTGAGATTCAGCAAACAATGAATGAAAGTTAATGGTTTAGAAACTCTCAATTAGTTTAATTGGAGCCAAGATTTACATTTTGTTTTAAAACATGTTTAGGAATGCTGCCTCATTGCAACTATGGTGGTTATCATTTAGCCATCAATGAAGAAATCTCTTCTCCTAACCTGGAGCCACATAATCAAGCAATTAACCTGGAATTGAAGTATAATTTAAAGCTCCCAAAAATTTTACTTGCCCCCAAAACTCTCTCCCTGGGAGATATTATGTTCCTCCTCCCCTCTTCTGTGTGAATTGAAAACTCCCATCGAACCCAAACAGACACACCACCACCCTCCCCAATGGAATGGCTACTAACTTCTGCTACAGTAGGTATTTTTAAAACCTCATTATTACCCTGTCATTCTGAACCAATGGCTTCCTTTCTGTCTTTGTTTCACAAAAGCTAGCTAGAATTAATAAATAGATTTTATTAGCAATACAAATGGCTAATCATGGAAAAGATAACTATACTATAAGCTGAGGAAAAATTGCTTACATATTAGGTAATAAAATCAGTCAAATACTTTTATCCAGTGTGTGAGTTAATAAACATAAATGTGATGGGGCTAGTTCTTGACACATAGTATATGACTTGCAAATGTTTCTTTTCATCATATTAAAAGCTTCACTTAAATTCCTAATGTAAACATTGTGAAAGTAGTACTTTACAGAAAAAATAGGCTTTCTTGTCAAGGCTCCAAGATTTCCATACACAGCATGGTTAGAAAGAATTATAAGTTCTTTCCAAAAGGGCAGTAGATGATTGGGCCAGTAATTGCCCAATAGGACAAGTAAAGAATAGTTAAATCACAAGGTAAGTCAATTACAGACCAGAGGCTGCAAGTAAGAAACACTGGGCCTCTAATCAAATATGTTCTCCTGTTTATTACAGTGATATTCTTAAATTTTTATATTACAATTTGTGTGGAAACTTGAGAAGATAATAGAGGCCAAAATTATATTCAAGCTCCATTCTATCACCTCAATTTATTTAACAAAGAAACTCCATTAGAAAAACTTCATAATAGAGAGGAAAATTTTACTAATGGAAAATTCATTTCAGTGACATCTTATCCTTATCCAGAGAAATCTCTTCTGAAAGTTAGGGAATCAAGAATGCTGATGAGTTGGTGATGCAGATATGATATAGAATATCAACAAGATGATAATATGATAGAATACTCCTAATTGGCACAACCTGGTAGAAACAAAAATATGCTAATTAACCAAGCATTCCAATTAACAGAGGCTCCTAGGGATACCTTCTGCTGCACAACGTGTACTTTTAATTAAGTTATTGTTTGCAAAAATAACTAGAGACATAATTTGTAAAATGCAAAAATTTAGGTTATTCCAGGAACACATAGCAACACACTATTAAAAAAGATGTAATTAACAATTAAGATAAGTTATTTTTAGGAGCATGCCTCAATAACTCTGTTGCAAACAATACATTTATAATAATAAATTGATAAATAAAAACATGTTCTGCAATTTAATGTTGACTGTTATGTGCAGCTCATATAAGCAAAACCATTCAAAAGTCAACCCAAAGTGAGTTTAGATACTAGTTTAGATACAATCAGACTCTGATAACCTTAAATTTGACCTTAGTCAGGCACCATATTGCTACCCTACTATCAGATTTATTGCTAAATAATGAATCTTTTAATATATTTTACTCCTTTATCTATCTATTCTATTTCCGTGCCATTTTTCCTGTGAAAGTAACTGGATTTAGGGTCCAAATCTCTCTCTACCCACTTTGTAGTAAGGGCTTCTCAGATTCTGATTAATTTATGATTGAAGACAACTCAAGTAGACTACTCTCATAGCAGTTGATTTATTCCATACAATAATTTTCATCCTTTTGCATGTATACTGGATAGTAAGATTGTATGCAATTAGACAGATAGTCCTCTATGAAGAACAGATATGAACATATCAAGGCCTAAATATTGATAGCTTGTGGGAGATAAATGTTTAGAGAATATAGTAAATAGAAAATTCTGTAAATAACCATGATCACCCTAATTTTTAATGTTCCTATCTATAAAATTGAAATAATAATTTTATCAACTACAAATGACATGTAAGAATTAACAACGAGATGATCCACATAAGGTTCTTGGCAGGAGAAGTATTCAATAAATGATAGTCATTCTTTACTCTTGATTTAAGTGTAGTCTTTTATTAATAATGTAAGGAATGGATATAGTAAAAACTGTGAGGGAATTGTTTTTTCCTTCATCTTTCAGGAGTCAGATTTATTGTCTTTCTTGTTACCTTAATTAGAGCAACTGAATCTTCAGTTTCTCTTGTTCTCCCAACACAGTTTTCAATTAATAAATACTGGATAAAGGACAGCATTGAAACTGATTAGCCAAAAAATCTTTGTAAAGCAAAGGCCTTCATATGGTAAAATGTCATCTATAAAATCTTTTTCAGAACAATTTTTTTATTCACCAACCCTTTTTTAGAATAATAACAGGTTAAACAAAAGTTTCCTGGATATTTCTAGAACAGCAAATAGTAAAGTATGAAATGAAATGAATCATAGAAATACACTTATCACTGAAAGGCATATCAGGAAGCCCTGATCAGAATTGCCAATCCAAATACCAACCATAGGCAAATAGGTTATGCAATTGAGTACATAAGGCAATCTATGAAAGCTAAGACAAATGAAAGAAAGCACAACCCTTTTAAAAGAGATAGCTTTTATTCAGCTCCATCCAGTTGTTGCCATGAGAAATTGGACCCAATGTTGTCATGTGTTCAGATTTTTCAAGGTAGATGGAATATCCATCGATGTATGTATAGATGCTCATGTCTTAAATGGTGTCAACTCGTTTCATTTTGAGAGTATATTTTTGGCTAGAAGTATCCTATATACAGGTAGTTTGTGAATTCTGTGCTATTGATTGAGTCAACTCTCCTTGCACATGAGAAAAGTGATACTAAAAAGGTCACTGTACAATAAATAGGAATATGTATATCCAAAAAATGTATGCATACCAATAAGTTTAACAGTAGAGAGGGGTAAATTTATTTAGTCTATGTTAAAATTAAAATATAATTTTCTTTTTTAAGAACATGATTTTCGTATACTCTTCCTCTGCAAAATTTAACTTTATTTCCATCACAGCCACTTTATTTTTTCTTCTTCTTTATTCATCTCATTATACATTCTGGTTTACATTGGCCTTTTTTATACTATTCCTTTTCATTCTCCTAAAATCTGTTACCTACACATCTACATTTTAAAACACTAATTGATTTTCATGGACAAATACAAATGTAAGTTTTCTGAGAGCAAAAACAACCAATCACTTACTCTCAACTTTATCCTTTGCATCTTGCACAATGCCAGAGGCATGGAGATGATCAATACATATTTCTGGAATTAATGAACATATAAATTAATGAATGAAGGAATGATCACCCCAGTCAGAACTGCTGACTCCATCCTCTAAAAAAGTAGAACATTTCTTATGTTTGGAGGCACTTGTCTTAAACTTTCTGGTTCTAAGCCCTTTTGGTAAACTCAAAAAAGGTGTAACTTTTTTTTTTTTGTTTTAAGAAGGAGTCTTGCTCTGTAGCCCAGGCTAGAGTGCAGTTGCGCGTTCTCGGCTCACTGCATCCTCTGCCTCCTGGATTCAAGCAATTCTCTGCCTTAGCCTCCTGGGTAGCTGGGATTACGACATCCATCTAATTTTCTGTATTTTTAGTAGAGACGGGTTTCACCATCTTGGCCAGGATGGTCTTGAACTCCTGACCTCGTGATCCACCCACCTCGGCCTCCCAAAGTGCTGAGATTACAGGTGTGAGCCACCCCACCTGGCCAAGGTGTCACATATTAATGATTGTCAGTTTTCTTGCTGTCTTTAAAATGTAGGGTACTCGGGCTACACTATGTACAAGTTTGGGCCCCAGAATTCAACTTTGAGATATTAGAAATAGTCTCACCCAGACATACCTGTTTCTTTCTTATTTACTCTCCCTCACTAGATTTCAATATCTTTGCAAGCAGAAGTGATGTTACAAATTATCTGCTTACTCTCATTAAAACGTTTAGCCCAATGACTTCCCACATGATAATCCTTTAATGAAGTGAAATGAATAAAACTTAATAAGGAAATGTTTTACTCTAACTCGACATTTCTAATTATTTTTCAGTGGCATTGTTATTTTTTTCATCCCCATCTTCATATCAGATGTCCAAATAATTAAAAGGAAATAAAACATGAAATGTCTAATTATCAGCTGAATTTAGTTCAACATCATATTACCATTTTTTGCTCATCTGTCAAACACCATCTAGATGCTAAGGAAACAAAAGCAAACAAATACAAACAAAAGGAGGCATAGCACAGTAATATGTACAGTAATAGGAAGATGTTCCAGGCACTGCTGGGGGAAATAGAAGTTATTAACTCTATGTGGTGATGCACAAGTGCTATTTACTAAAAATCTTTGTTTAATGCAACCCCACTGTTGAAATCCTATATTTCTTCAAATTCATTAAGAGAGAAGGGTAATTTTAATCACCAGATTTTAAAATTTAATTTTATAATTTAGATATGAAATCCGAATGTCAGGTAATTGTTGGCTTTCAGGTCCTCAAAGACCATTGCCTTCACTTGTGCTATCTTATTTGCTACCCTGGGGCCATGTTTATCCAACCTCTGAGATGACCACACTCCAGATAGGAGGTGTTACTGTATTATTTATCTATCATTGTATAACAAATCACCCTGTATTTGACATTTCAAGACAACAAACATTTATTATTTCATGAAGTTTCTGAGGGTCGGGAATCTCACAGAGGCTTAGCTGTTTGGTGTGATTCAGGGTCTCTCCCCATTTGCAGTCAAGCTCTTGCCTGGAGCTCTGGTCATCTCTAAATTTTGCTGCAGTTGGAAAACCTGCTTCCAAGCTCACTTGTGTGGTTTCGGCAGCCTGAGTTCTCACCATGTGGACTTTTCCACAGGGCTGCTGATAACACTGCAACTTCCTTCTTCCAAGATGAGAGATTCAAAAGAAAGACAAAAAGAGTGGACACCTGTGGTAAGTTCAAAGATTTCAAGGCTGATCAAGGGAAAAACAAGTCCATGGAATGGCAGTACATCACACGATTTATTGGGTGATGCTTGGACAAGGTTGCATGACAGAAGTCCCTCAGAGCAGGAGACTTTCCAGGGACAGCAGCAAGAGGCACTGTCCACAGCGGGAAGAGGACAAGGGAACTCCTGGGGAAGGATGGGAATCTGAGAGAGGGTTTCCATGTCTAGGTGACGTCATTCAGTGACAAGGTAGGAGTTTCTGGGTCAGTGAGCTCCAAAGGGCAGCAGAAGTTTGGAGTCTTTTAAAGCTACAAGGTTTGTCTTATTTATGCCTAGCAGGTGTTGGTTGCAATTGTACAGGGTATGCAAAAGCAGGAATGCTTAAAATAACTAAATATATGCTTATTTGGGCTATACTTAAAGCAGTTGGATGTGTAAGAATTTGAATTTGGTACCTACAGGTTTTGAACAAATGGTCCTTACCATGCTGTGGAGTAAATAACATCAGGGGCCCTGTACAGAAACCATGTTTGGTTCATTTACATAACAGCACCAAAGATTGAACCCACAATCTTTTTTTTTTTTTTTGAGATGGCATCTTGTTCTGTTGCCTAGACTGGAGTGCAGCAGTACAATCATAAGCAAGAAGCTACAATCTTTTATAACTTAATCTCAGAATTAATATACCATTACTTCTTCAATATGAAAATGGGCAAGAAAAATTCCAGTACAATGCACGGGATGACTATACAAGGATGAGAAATCAAGGAGGTAGAGATCATTGGAAGCCATGCTGGACCCTGGCTTCTATACCTACAAGAAATCACAGCTGAAGAAGGGAGTGTAAGCCACAGTTCGATACCAACTTTCCTTCTTTTTCTAATGCCAACCCTTGCCAAGACTGTCTGGATACTTAATTCCTAGTGTTTTACTCTTTAGTCTATTAATCTAAAGTTTTATTTTTACCTTAGCTAATTTTTTGGATTCAATCTTTTTCTTCTTTGTACTAAAGTACCCGTATCTTTTGTTTTCTTTGGCTGGTTTTCTGAACTTCAACTTGATAAGCCCTAACTTTTGCATTTACCCACCTGTCAGGTAGAACTTAACTTATTTTCCCAGCTCCCACAAACCTTCCCTAATGGATTGTCACAAAATTACAACATGCGGTAAAAGCTTTTAAGGATAAAGCTACTACAGATAACATCCAACAAATTTTTATATAAAGGCAATAAATTAACACCATATTATCATATACAACAATAATAACACAAGCAATAATCTTTTCTCAGGGATCCTTCTTCAGTGATCTCTTCCTTTTCCCTTAAAAGCTTCTGCAAAAAGTGAGCAGGTGGGTGATAAAACATCTAAAATTCCTACACCACAAAAAGTATTGACTGTAAATCAGGCTTATCTTGTTATTCTCTCACCTGTGTAGATCTCCTGATCTTGGCTTCATTCATAACAAAAACTCACATTCAGGTGGTTCTGTAGAGAGTAGGAAAAAATGTGACATTCAACTGTCAGTACCCATATTGTTCTAGAAAAGATATGATATTGTTGACTTTAAGCAATGAGTAATCTAAAATTATAATTCTATTGAATACTAGTTTTAATAATAAGTTCTGATACTTTCATTTCATTATGTTATAATATACCTCTTCCACTTTCATCCTCTTTTTCTGTGACTATTCCTCTTTGGGACCATGGGAGGGTTATTTGATGATTAAGTGATTGTCACTCCTTTCTTCTTTGTTCACACCATCTTTCCCAAAGCATTTCATATTAAAAAAAAAAAAACACGTACAATTTCATCAGCCCACATAGTTAAGAAAGATTGGAATAAATCATTCTTACCCATCCTTAATTGTCTTCGTTTGTGAGAAGACATGCAGAACAATCCCTGTCTAGACAGAGCCGACACTTTCCACCATCATTCAAGGGTGACCTTTGAGTCATATATTCCAGGAGATGAAAGAGATAAACAAATCCTTTGATTGAGATTAAAGCTATCTCTTCACAGGTTATCTGAGTGTCACACTTACTATGGTTATTTATGGTTCAAACCTTTTTCTGCATAAGAAAAAAATGCATTTAAAATTATTAAATGCTTGTTATTATGTGTCAGGCCTTGGGGTAAAATGGAAGGTTAAAGAAAAAGAAAGATATGCCCTAATTTTCAGTTAGCTTAAATTTCAACTAAGGAAAAGGCATCAGCCAAAAAGGAGCACACATACGATAACTGCAGATTGTGGTAACTACTGAGCACTATATAAGCATATAGTAGATTCTGATCTTGTCTGTAGGGTCATGAAAAGTTTGACTCAGGAACTGACTTCAGAACTAAGATTTGGAGAATGAAAAGGGCTTAACTAGAAAGAGAGGAGGGATGATAAGGAAAATATATGGAAAAAGAGACTCAGTAATAGATGGATTATGTCACAGACATAAAAATAAAAGGAAAATAAAATCAAGTGTAGATGAAGCACAGAGAGAGAGGAAGGGGTAGCAAAAAATGAGAATGGACATGTGGGTACGAATCAGAGAATGTAGGTTCCCATGAATATGGTGACCATATAACTTATTGTTCAAACTATTATGCTTCTGAGAGTGAAAGGTGAAGCTATTAATTTTTTCAGGACACTAGGCATAAATCAAGACTCTCCAAGGCAAATAAGAATTTATGATATTTCTACATACAGGCCACAATAAGGATTTTGCTCTTGATAATAAGAGAAACAACTACGGTGATGTATTGCTTAACTATGGGAAATTATTCTGAAAAATGTGTCCTTAAGCAATTTTGTCATTTCACAAACATCACAGAGTGTACTTACACAGACATATATGGTATAACCTACTACACGCCTAGACTATATGATATAGCCTATTGCTCCTAGGCCACAAACCTGTATGGCATGTTATTGTACTAAATACTGTAGGTAATTTTAATGTAATTCTATTAGTATATCTAAACATAGACAAGGTACAGTAAAATATGGTGTAAAAGATAAAAGATGGTACACCTACATAGAGAATGTACCACAAATGAAACTTGCACACCTGGAAGTTGCTCTGGGTGAGTCAGTGAGTGAATGGTGAGTGAATGTGAAGGCCTGTGTATTAGTCTGTTCTCACATTGCTATAAAGAACTACTTGAGACTGGGTAATTTATAAGGAAAAGAGGTTAAATTGTTTTATGGTTTGACAAGCTGTATAGGAAGCATATCTGAGAAGGCCTCAGGAAACTTACAATCATGGCAGAAGGTGAAGAGGAAGGAGTCACATCTTACGTGGCTGGAGCAGGAGGAAGAGAGAGAAGGGGGACTTGCGACACACTTTTTTTTTTTTTTTTGAGACGGAGTCTCGCTCTGTCGCCCAGGCCGGACTGCGGACTGCAGTGGCGCAATCTCGGCTCACTGCAAGCTCCGCCTCCCGGGGTTCCCGCCATTCTCCTGCCTCAGCCTCCCGAGTAGCTGGGACTACAGGTGCCCGCCACCGCGCCCGGCTAATTTTTTGTACTTTTAGTAGAGACGGGGTTTCACCTTGTTAGCCAGGATGGTCTCGATCTCCTGACCTCATGATCCGCCCGCCTCGGCCTCCCAAAGTGCTGGGATTACAGGCGTGAGCCACCGCGCCCGGCCTTGCGACACACTTTTAAACAATGAGATTTCATGAGAACTCACTCGTTATTATGAGAACAGCAAAGGGGAAATCAGCTCTTATGATCGAATTACCCTGATCAGGCCCCTCCTCCAACACTGGGGATTACAATACAACATGAGATTTGGGCTGAGACACAAATACAACCCATATCATTCCACCCTGGGTCCCTCAGAAATCCCACTTCCTTCTCACATTGAAAAATACAATCATGCCTTCCCAACAGTCACCCAAAGTCACCAAAGTCTTAATTCATTTCAGCATTAACTCGAAATCCACATTCCAAAGTCTCATCTGAGACAAGGCAAGTCTCTTGAGCCTCTGAGCCTGTAAAATCAAAAGCAAGTTAGTTACTTCCAAGATATAATGAAGGTACAGGCTTTGGGTAAATGCTCCCCTTCCAAATGGGAGAAATTGGCCAAAACAAGGGGCTAAACATGCTATGCAAGTCCAAAACCCAGTAGGCAGTCATTAAATCTTAAAACTCCAAAATAAACTCCTTTGACTCCATGTCTGACATCCAGGCCACACTGATGCAAGCGATGGGCTCCTGATATGGTTTGGCTGTATCCCCATACAAATTTCATCTTGAATTGTAGCTCCCATAATTCCCACTTGTTGTGAGAGGGACCCAGTGGGAGATAGTTGAATCATGAGGACAGTTTCTCCCATACTGTTCTCATGGTAATAAAAAAGTCTCATGGGATCTGATGGTTTTATAAGGGGAAACCCCTTTCACTTGGCTCTCATTTTCTTCTCTTGTCTGTCTCCGTGTGAGACATGCCTTTCACCTTCTGCCATGATTGTGAGGTCTCCCCAGTCATGTGGAATTGTGAGTCCATTAAACCTCTTTCTTCTGTAAATTGCCCAGTCTCAAGTATGTCTTTATCACCAGCATGAAAATGACTAATACAGCTCACAAGGCCTTGGGCAGCTCCACTCCTGTGGCCTGTGGCTCTGCAGGATACAGTGCGCACGGCTGCCTTCATGGGCTGGCATTGAGTGCCTGTGGCTTTTCCAGGTGTACTGTGCAAGCTGTAGGTGGATCTACCATTCTGGGGTCTGGAGGATGGTGACCCTCTTCTCACAGCTACCCTAGACAGTGCCCCAAGGTGCACTCTGTGTGCAGGTCCCAAATCCACATTTCCCCTCCACACTGCCCTAGTAGAGGTTCTCCATTAGGGCTCTGCCCCTGCAGCAGACTTCTGCCTGGATGTACATCCTGTGAAATCTAAGTGAAGGCTCCAAAGCGTCAATTCTTGCTCTCTGCACATCTGCAGGCTTAATATCACATGGAAGCCACCGAGGCTTATGACTCACAACCTCCAGAGAAGCAGCCTGAGACATATCTGGGGCCTTTTTAGCCACAGCTGGAGTGAGAGCAGCTAGGATTCAGGGAGCAATGTTTTGAAGGTGTACAGGGCAGCCAGGCCCTGGTTCTGGCCCTGGAAACCATTCTTCCCTCCTAGACTTCCAGGCCCGTGATGGGAAGGCCTCTGAAATGCCTCTAAGGCATTTTCCCCATTGTCTTGGCTATTATTTGGTTGGGGCAAAAGTAATTGCTGTTTTTGCCATTACTTTCAAGAAGAGGAAGGAGTCACGTCTTACATGGCCAGAGCAGGAAAAAGAGAGAGAAAGGGGAGATGCCACACATTTTTAAATAAACAGGTCTTGTGAGAACTCACTCATCATCATGAGAAAAAGTCACCTCCCACCAGGCCCCTCCTCTAACACTGGATATTACAACTTGACATGAGATTTGGGCACTGTCAGAAATACAAACCCTGTCAGCCTATGACATTATTGTACATTAATCTATGCTTTATAAGCAAGGTACATTTAGGCTGTACTAAATTTATTAAATATTGTTTTATTTCTTCAAAGGTAAATTAACCTTAGCTTGCTAAAACTTTTAAATTTATAAGCTGTTTACTTTTTAATTTTTGATTTTTTTGTAATAACACAGCTTAAACACAAACATGTTGTACATCTGTACAAAACATTTTCTTTTTATCCTTATCTTATAAACTATTTTTCTTTTTTTAAATTTTTTCCTGCTTTTTAAACTTTGTGTTTCTGTTTTGACACAAACACACATATTAGCCTATGCAGGATCAGGATCATCATTATTGCTGTTTCACACCTCTATATCTTCCCATTGGAAGGTTTTCAGGGGCAATAACATGCATGGAGCTGCCATCTCCTTTGGTAACTATGCCTTCTTTTGGATACTTCCTGAAGGACCTGCCTGAAGCTCTTTTATAGTTAACTTTTTCTGTATATAAGTAGAAGGAGCACCCTCTAAAATAACAATAAAAAGTATACTATAGTAAATACATAAACCTTTAACATAGTCATTTATTACCAAGTATTAAGTACTGTACACAATTGTATTTATTATACTTTTAAATGAATGACAGCATAATAGATTTGTTTACAGCAGCATTACCCAAAAAATGTGAATAATGCTTTGCATCAGGTTGTTAAGGTGGCTACAACATCACTAAACAATAGGAATGTTTTAGCTCCATTATAATCTTATGGGACCATGTCATTGAAGAAAATGTCATCATGCAGCACACGATTGTAATTTAAAAGTAATAAGCAAAGGAGAGATATGATAATATTGGTTCTATAGAAAAATCTCTCCAATTGAAATAAAAGTGAGTCATGAGAGGTTAGTTAAAGGGCTATAGAATTTGTTCAAGTAAGTGATGATAGTAACTTAGACAATTTAAACAACTGCTGTCATGGGAATAAAAATAATTCAGTCATAGATTAGACATGGAAAATAAAAGAATTGGAGGGATTGAAGATGACTCATAGGCTTCTATTCGGCTCAAACTACACAAAAGGAGAATATATCAGGTCTGGGATAGATCATTTTGGAGGTATTTTTGGATATTATCAATACCTTGTAGCCAAAAACCACAAAGAGCACAGCTTTATCTGAATAAAGTTGGGATTATTTAATCCTGGCAATGAGGGATGCTACAGTTTGGATGTTCTCTCAAGCATCATGTCGAAATTTGATACTCAATGTTGGAGTAAGGGTCTAATTAGAGGTGTTTAGTTCATGGGGGTGGATCCCTCTTGAATAGATGAATGCCTTCCCTGAGGGAAGCGGTGGTGAGTTCTTGTTCTATTAGTTCCCTCCAGAGCTTGTAGTTAAAAAGAGGCTGGCCCCTCCCGGCTCCTTCTTGCTTTCTCTGGCACTGTGTGCTCCCTGAGCATGCTGGTTCCCCTACATCTTCCACCATGAGTAGAAGCAGCCTGAGACTTTTCACCAGATGCCCAATCTTCCAGCCAGCAGAATCTTGAGCCAAATAAACCTCTTTGTAAATACCTAGCCTTGAGTATTCCTATATAACGACACTAAACAGACAAAGACAAGGGAGAGCACACACTATGGAGAGCTGTGGATCATCTCAGTAAATGCATTTGAAAAGGGAATTATTCGTTGTGTGGTTTGTGTTGGGTGATTTGAGGAAGGTATAAGAAAGCAGAGATTTGTTCTGAATTGGATACTCTTTGTCAGAAGAAGCAATTCTATGATCATCTGAATCATTCTTCTTTAAGATAAAGGAAGAATGGAATAAAACCAACTTGGTTAATAAAACAGCAGTGATTCATATTAATGAGGATATTGAGATGTATGGTCATTTTTGTGGTTTGGAAAATTGTCATGTTTTTTTCTGTACTCAGATTGGATTACAAAGTGGCCTTATTGTGTCTTGATCCACCAGAGTCACAGAGTGGCCTTGTCTGCTATAGGCGTTCTGTAAAATTGTTTATGGTGAAGAGGAGAACACCATGGTCCCTCTGTGAGTGCCAGGCCAGCTCATAGTAGCTTCAAGACCCAGCAGGTGATAATGCCAGGTCAGGCCCTGGATATTGGAGGCTGGTTTTCTCTTTCTCAATAGAGTAAGTGAGGATGTCTTTGAGACAACCAAGTAAAGATTTTGAGGATGTGTTTGGATATATAAGTCTAGGTCTTAATGAAAATATCCTGATAGAGAAAAAACAGTTGAGTCAGTTTAGCACTGAGTAGGTAGTGATAATGTAATAATAATAACAACTTCAATGGGCTTTATGTGTATTAATTTAATCCCACAGAATCTCTAAAAGCTAATTACTACTATCTCATTTAGTAGTAAGAAAATTGAGGCATAGACAGTCTAAGAAACATTACCAAGGTGACATAGCTAGTAATTGACGAAGCTGAAATTTTAACTAAGGCAGACTGATTCAAGAGTGTGTGATCTTAACTGCAACTCCACAGTATGGCATATGTATGACATTAGTGAGATAAAAGACTAATTAATTATTGGACAAAAAGAAGCCTCAGTCCTGTCTCTTACACTTATTAATTACATATACTTGGAGAAGGTCATTTAACCTCTGTGAATTTCATTTATATTCTTTGCAACACAAGGAAACACAAAAGACTGTGTGCATTCAAATGTCAACTGTATATGAAAGTGCCCAGCATTGTGTATAAGACCTAATAGACTCACTTTAAATGGTCTATTTTAGATAAAAGTTAAAAACATTTAGATAAAAAGTTATCAGCATGGTTTGGACCTTTTCCTAAAGCTAAATTATACCAATGAAAACAGAATATTTAAGGTTGAAGGAAAATATATCTGGAAAGAATTCCATTTTCAATGTCTTCCAGACAAGTTAGAGACAAAAAGGTCAAGGGCCTGAGAACAATAAAAGAAAAGAAATATTGTGCCATTATTTTTTTAATGCTCTGATAAATTAGTGAAACTAACATTTTATCATTTTTCTGAAAATGTTCCCATAAAATGAAAAGATAAATGAGACACAAATATTTGCTTATATGACCACAAATTTGGGAAGCCTGAGTTTGATGATAAATAATGTTATCTTTTCAAAATATTAAGAACTGTCAAAACATGAAATTCATGTGGTAGTCGTGGAACTTTCATTTTCCTTTTATGGCATGTAAACTTTAAAAAGTGATTATGGTCTCACGTTTCAGCAGAATTCATGGTGGTTTGTGACTTGGTACATATAATAAATATCTGCTTGTGTTCTTAATAAAATAACACGTTAAGAGAAAGAAGTTTGTGGGTGGAATAAAGTATTTATTAGGTCTGCTTTTCCCCTTGAAGTCTGCTGTCAGTATGGTAGTGGCCTTCAGTGATGTCTTCAGCTAACTGACAGGGAAACAGACATCATTCAAGAACTGAGAAAAGTGTCTTTCACTGGCTGTCAAGACCATTTGCACAATTAGCATCTGCTAAAATGCTGGAAGAGATTGTCCAGAACCTATCATTCTAATGTTTCATCAACCCATTCAACACTCAGAACATATTATACCTTGAAGCTATAAAAATATTTAAATCATCAAATTGTCAAAATGAAATTGAAAAAAGTAAGTGATTTGTAAAAGGCCATGTATTTAATTTAACCCAGGCCATTTTTTTAAAAACTCAGAGCAATGACTTATAACTCCACTTGATGTGTGATGGAGTGTGCATCACTTCTTTGAGTGCAAGTCATTTTTTTATGTCACTTTTTCATTAATAGGGAGCACACTGAGCACATCTCCACTCATCACCAGGAGCCATAACATTGTCAGCCATTTTTGGGAGGTTATTTTTTCCTTAAGAAAAAAAAATTAAAAAAGAAGATATCTAAAAATTGTGTAGGTAGGTACCAAATTGACCTAGTTGTTTGTATATAAATCACATTATCATTAGTATTTTAGAAATTTCATTAAATGCAAAAGGAATAATAGAAGATAGTTATCAAAAAACTCACCTGATAATTGATGTAAATAAGTCAGATTGCTATTCACAATCTAAGGTCTTGAGACAAATTTGTCTGTGATTGACCATGATTATGCCATGGAAGCTCTATTATCTCTTATAGTTTTACACATTTTATAACTTATCTGCTATGTATACAGTGTACTTTAAACTTTTTGAGTACATAAAATTGTTTTATACTTTAAATTTTTATATGACAAATCCAGCATAGTTTTTTTGCAATAGGTATATAGAAAATAGTAGAAACATAGTAATTAGAACAGCTCTAGTTTGGAATCTCGGTTCTGCTACTACTAACGTATGGTCTTGGATAGAATGCGTGGGGTTGGAAAGGTTGTTCATTTAAACTAACCAAGCCTTAGTTTTCTCATATGCAAAATGAATACGTACCTGGAAGGGTGGCTGTGAATACCTACTAAAGGAGCTCAATAAAAAATGTTCACTTTCACAATTTGCTTCATAAATATCAGCTGCTTTTTTGGAGGCAGAGTTAGAATATAATACGTCCCTACAACACTCAGATTTTAAAAGATTTCTACAGGAAGAAGCAGACTCTTCCCTTCTTTCTAAAGATCTCTTTAATCTCCTCCTTGATCTACAAGGCTCAAAGAGTATAATCCTCATAAAATATAGTATTTTTAAAAGAACATTCCAAATTCTAATATCTCTTATTAATAATGTTTGTTAATTGTTTTCACATTTTGGAGTAAACAAAAGGTGCTCTAATACCAAGTACAGAGGCTGAGTTCTCACTGCTGCTATTAAATGAAAATATTTCCTAAGTACAGGAAATTTCTTCTTACCTGTCCCGGGGTCTAAGGTGTTCATTTGTGTTTAATAAAAGAGGCAATTGCAGCATGTTTTTTAAACCTGTGTTGGTGAAGCAAGTACAGTGAATTCATGCCTCATGACTGTGGAGTAAAAACAAGGTTAAACTGCATGCAGCATATTGTTGGATAATGCTCTCTGCCAGTGGCTATCCCAGGTACCAGGGCTGTGTCTTATCCTGCTGTAGAAAAACTTTCACAATGAACAGATTCACTACTCCCTGTCACACTCAGTGAAGAAGACTCTTTTTCAAGCTGGCAAATGTGAATATATCATGAAGCTATTGAAACTTCATGGAGGAGAAGAAAGTAATAACAGCTGACTTTGGGGAGCTTGGCTACTTAACCAAATTTGGTCTTGGATAGAATGGTTCAATGTTTGTGCTTTCTAAAGAAAGGAGAATATTAGAAGACGCATGTTTATTTTTAGATAACATCTCAGTAACATGGAAATCATGGATATTATTTTTGTATGGCAACATTAAAGACACTTATTAAAACAAAAATGGAAATTACATGTCTCTGTTGCTTGAAGTTGGAATGATAGTAACAAAGTAAGGAAAAATAGTTTGTTTTTGTTAGTTTCCTTGCTTGCTTATTTTGTGTTATATTGTGTAGTCCAATGATTAGATTCTCAACCAATAATGTAATTATGGAAATCAGAAAAGTACAAAGTTTTGATGGATATAGAAATTTTATGAATACTACAAAAGAAATGCAGACTACGATTTATTTTTCCTGTGATTTACCAGTAGTCTCCAATCTTTTGGCAACTAAAATTGGATGTTGGAATAGAAGTGATCATAGATGATGGAATTATTTATCATTCTGGCTATTTCTATGCAGGTACAAAAAGCTGCTACTTTATAGAAACTCAGTGGAGCTGAGTTTCTATAAGCTGACCCAGGGTCATTGTCACCTCCACCAGCTGCGCCCCTGCTCACATCCTGTCTGGTATCTTGCAGCCTGTTGTAGGATATTGGCACAAGTACAGTGAGGGGGGTACACCTTGCATAAGAGGAAATTGAGAAAAAGCCACTCCCTTAATTCTGAAACATATGGTGTGATCTCAACAAGGCACAAATGCAGAATTCAGCAGTTGTCTCTCAAAATAACTCAGAATAGGATAAAAGGCTGAAGAAAGAGAACAGTTCCCATGTGTGAGGTCAGTTCAAGAAGGTGTCTCTGTCCCTAGACTCTGATGAGTGGGAAAACTGTGAATCCTCAGGATCCCCTAGGCCAAAGACAGGCAAGTCTCCACTGCCCCAGGTTGAAACCACTCTCAGGAACTGGTATAGAAGAAAGATGGGGTCAGCCATGGCCCCAGAGTATAGACACAGAAGACAAGATGAGTGGACCCCAGAGCCAGAGAGTCCCCTGCTCTTCAGAGGTGGGGTTTAGAGGGTCATCAGAGACTAACTCACTCCACTCCGTGGTGACAGGACTGTCCAGGCTAGGGTGCTTCACTTGGCAGGTGTAGATGTCTCCCTGCTGGTGGCTCATTTCCAGCATCACTGGGATCTGGAAGGTCTAGTCTCATTATGAATCATGTTGGTGGACACAACCCCAGCTATTTCCTCCTTTCCATTCAGGAACCATCAGACTTGAATGCTGCCTGGATAGAAATCTGTCACGTGGCAGACAAACAGGTTGTGGTGCTTCAGAGGACCCTTCTTGGATGGGGAGACGTTCACCCTAGGCTTGACTAGGAGTAAGGAAGAAGAAAAATGGAATAGCTTTTGAGATTATTATTTCTTAGATATTCCATTTTCATTACGGATTTGGATTCCAGATGTTGAAAATAGGAATAATGTGATTAGGCTAGTGGAGAAGGGTGGTACTGAAAAGAGAAATGGATCTTCAAATAGAACATGCATGATTTTGAATAAAGTAATAAGTTTTGAGAAGAATAGGAGGGAGACAAACTTAATAGTTTGTAGCACGTTTGAAAGAAATGTTAATGATAAGTCACTGATTAACAGCCTTTGGACAAAGAATATTTAATGAGCAGTGACACCACCTACCTATTCAATGCAAATAATGCAATATTTGCTCAAATAATTTATCAAAATTAATATATATCTAAACAATGACATTCTTATGGATTATTAATCTAACAACTTTATTTTATAGAAAATATAAAGATAATAAAGTGAGTTTTACATTAAAAAAACTCAGTGGAGCAATATCTTCAGCAGAGAGTATTGCACTGGGTCAATACTGTACTTTATAGTGCCAGCTTTTTCTGATAAATAGTGGTAATACTTACCTTTGCATTGGATTTAGGGCTCACTCTAATCCTGCATGGTCTCCCATCTAGCACGATATCTGCAAATATCTCATTTCCAAGTAAAGTCATGTTCACGAGTACTGGGGCTAAAATATAACATTTTGGGGAACAAAATTAAACTCACGACACTTCTATAACTCTAATACTGTTCAATCAAAGTTATATGAATGGAAATTGAAAATACAAGGCATATCTCACATTTTCAATCATCAAAGAAGGATTTGGTTATATTTATTTTTTCTACTTAATAATAACAGAAAAGCAGATTGCTGCATTTACCACTGCACTGAGTATCAGAACATATAGATTTTAGTTCCATCATTGTCTTATGTGAATTTGAGCAAGTAATGAGACTACCACAGTTGTAGAAATTATAAATAATACATTTCTTGAACAATATGCAATAATACATGTAAACTAGAAAGACAAAAAAAAGAGTTTGTGATCATCCTAAGTGCAAAGGAAAGTGTTCTGGTTGTTGTGAATGGAGCAACCTTTGGCCTAGGCATTACAAAATTTAATAACTTATCTAGGGTCAGCACCACAAATAAGCTGTGAGAAAGTGGTTGAGTCAAACTTTTAGAAGCCTCTGTTTCTGTATTGGTGCTCACTTTAGAATTAGCTGTTACGAGATAATTGTTCAGATCTTTTATGCCTCAAAATTAAGATTTAAAAATATGTCGAAATAACCACAATTTTAAAATGTTAACGTTTAATTTTTTAGTATCAATCTGATCACCATATTCACCAAAAATCTAACTTAGTCTCAATTTTTCTATATCTTTTTTGTTTAACCAAAGGATATGTTATTCCTTTAATATAAAAGTAATAACTCATGGGTTCTGTATGTGGCCCACAGCATCCATTGGAAAATTGGCTAAAGTTAATAAACTCTAGAGATTGTTTTCTGCTTGGTAACTTGTACTTTTGTCCACTCTAATAAGTGTTAGCAGTTTAAAAGGACTTCAGTTAGACATAATTCTCTTGAACTCCACCAAAGCAATTACTAAGCACAAAACAACAAAAGCAAATTCTTCCTGATTAGTTTTCTTTTTTCTTTTCTATTTTAATTTTAATAATATGTCTATTATAGTTTAAGACAAAATTCTCCAAAGTATATAAGGAAAAGAATGACAACAAGAGGAATCCCTCTGTCAGATCCACAACTAATTAGGTTCACCTTTGCAGTAGAGGAGGAAAATGTAAAAAATTAACTAAGAAGTGATTGTGAACAGGCTTGAGTGTAAAAATCAATAGCTTTATAAAGTCACTACACATCAAATGCAGAAAGAATAACACCTATCACTGTGACTAACACATTGTAGTTGCCCAATAAATATTTTGTCAAAGGAATTAATTAACTACTTAGTTTCTGTGACATAGATAAATTTACTGTGGTATCTCTCTCCCTTCAGGAAAGAAAATGAATTGGCCTGTTCTTGATACCCCTATCCCATCATTCTGTCCTAAGATGCCTGAAGTAGACTCTCCAATGTGATAAGGATTTGTAAAGCACTCCTTCTTAATGTTTTTGAAAAACAAATATTTTCTCAATTTCTACTGTCCACATTTCCCAAATGAACTTCCCCTGATACATGATTTCTTGTAAACTCATGTAAACAAACAAGTCTTTTTTAGACAGTGTTCCTCATGATTGTGTGACAGGAGACAAACAATACAGATTTACACCCAGAATGAGAAGCTTGATATTTTAAGAAGGTGGTATGCTCATATCAGGCAACACAGCTAATGATGACAGCAAATCCTGTCTGTGGTAATTTCAGAGGGCTCCCTAATAAGGCTTCTAAGCCCCTCTTCAATCTCATCTTATACCACCCTCCAGCCTCCCAACTGAACACCTTATGCTGTGGCTCATGGTATACTTAATCATCCTTCTCTACCTTTATTATATCATTCCCCTGACTGGACTGCCTTCTTCTTCCCCGGGAGTGCTTTAAGTATTATTTGTCTCTCAGTCATGACATCTGGCTTAGAAACCTTTTCAGACTTGCCCAAGTCGAAGCAAGTGGTTGTCCTCTGTATTTCCATAGCACCTCGCACACACATGTTACCATCTCTGCTTAAATGGATATTGTCTTAGAAAGATCTTACCAAAGTACCACAATCCACCCAATCATTGTATTCTCTGTCTCAGCCTCTTATTTTTGGCCTTAAATCACAATTATTTATGTATGTGTATGTTGATGTGTCTGCCTGTCTTGCTAACATGAAAGACATTTTTTCTCTCCTGCTCACTTCTGTGCCATAAAGCTTAGAAGAATGCTTGGTGTAGAGTGGGTACTCAATACCTGGTTATTGAGTGAATGAACATACAATGGATGAATGGATTTGAATTCATCTTTTTATTTCTTAAAAGGAATGTCGGATGCATAAGGGACTACTGTTTATAGTTTCGAATCCTCACTACCTACCATCGTGCTTGGCATAAGATAGGGGAGCAACAAATATTAGCAAACAGTTTTATTTAAATGACACTATAATTCAAAGAATCTCCTTCTTACATGCAGTGTAGAAATAAACTATTGCCTTATTTTAACCCAGTTAAACACCTTAATTTTCATAATTATAAGTCTTGAAATGTTTGACACTTTATTTTCTCATATAATATATAGAGAGAGAGATACATAGATATATACATATAAATATATATATAAATATATATATAAATATATATAAATATATATATATATATATATATATAGAGAGAGAGAGAGAGAGAGAGAGAGAGAGAGCCATGATTCTTTAGTCTAAAAATCTGTGGCTTATTTAAAATAATGGTGTGGCGCTTATTGTGAAAACTGAAAGAGCCTAAAAATGTTCAGCTTTCATTATACATCAGACTGTATGAGACCATGAATACACTGCTGATTAACTTTTATTTCCTTAACAGCCTTTAAACATGTTCATATGACTTCCAAAGTCCACAAGTGAAGTGAAGGGGTCCTCAAAACTCAATGAGGTCCAAGTAACTGATTAAAGATTTGTATTTTATTGAATAAAGCATGATGAGAAAGTGTCCAATTTCTAAAATTTTGTTGTCTCCTAAGGAATCGTAAAAGCTGGCCAAAACTTAGCAAAATTTAGCACCCACTTATAGCTAGTTCCTTTGATTCAAGAGATCACTTAATCACCTAAGACAGAACAATAAATTTCATGGCCACTAATAAATAGACATAATTTTAACCAACACTCATCATCAAGCATTTTATCAGTTCCGATGGAAGAACTGAAATTGCTCAGTTTTCACTTGGAGAAAACAGTTACCATAATAATTCTGGGCACTCTCTGACCTGATATATGATGGGCTTATGAGGTTGAACATTGTGATACTTTTCACAGGTCAAAATATATTTAAAATCTCTCCACTTCCTTGTTTTTATTTCTTTGGCTTAACTTGTCTTTCTTTTAAATCTCTACCCTTTTCTTTCCACTTTCTTACTGTCAGGCAAAATTGGTTCTTCCATAACTGTCTTTTCTTTTGACAAAGATTTAATGATCTAATTCACATTAAGGTTGTATTGATTAGAGGAAGCTTAATATTTGAAACTAGGGTTACTTCTCTTTGTTAGACAACAAGGCATATTCTAAAAGGAAGGGATATGCTTTTTACACAAGATAGGACATTCTGAGATCCCTTCAACCCATAACCAAGTGTTCTTTGTTATGCTGTAAATGAAAATGCTCCTTTACGTGGAAACTTCATATTACAATAACTAGTTTCATAATTTCCTAGTGTCTTACTCTCTGATTACTTTGAATTCATAGAAACATAAGTAGGAAAAAGAAAGCACATGGAGAGAAGAAAACTCACAGACATGCCCTCTCTTTCTCATTGTCTCTCTCCTCTCTCATACGCACACCACAGATGTACATACATGCATACACACACACACCACACACATACATACACACACACCACACACATACATACATGCACACCACAGACATACATACACATAAGAAAAAATTTAGTTCCAAACAACATCTCTTCTCTGGTGATTATATATATATATTATATATATATGGGAGAGATATATATATAAAATCACCAGAGAAGAGATGTTGTTTGGAACTAAATTTTTTCTTATGCGTATGTATGTCTGTGGTGTGCGTGTATGTATATGTGTGTGGTGTGTGTGTGCATGCATGTATGTTATATTTGGAAAAGCGTGGATTGAAATGTGTGTGTATATATACACACACATATATATACACTCACACACATATATACACACACACATATATAAAAAACGTTTTAGCTGATGTTAGGGTCTTGGTGACTAAGAAATTAAAGACATAACTTTATCAGGGCTATAAGTTGTGGAATAATGAGAGGAAGGTATTTAGCATTATATTAATGGGACCAAAAATTGCAATGAAAGCAAAGCATCACCAGTGAGACTATATTAGAGGAGAAAGCAAGCATGTTCTGAAGATGGTCACAAAAAATTCTAAGATGCAAAGCCAAAAAAATTACATATTATATTTCACATCCCAAATTATGGGTCAGCCACATTTTTCAATATATTCAGCAGAGGTTTTGCAATTTGATTCAGCACAAAATATTATATATTCCACTAATCAAATGTGTAGAAGTCATGACCCAAACTTGAATGAACCTACTCCCATTATCAGATTCTTGGGAAGAAACAAAAGTGCTAAAGTTGAATTGCTTTTCAGGTGCAATTTCAAAGATGTGAAAGGCCAAATTTCGTCTTCCCTGATATTTCATCTGAACAGTCTCAAGCAAGAGAGGTTTTGTACTATAACTCAAAGATTTGGTCTTTGCCATTTCAATCCATGCTTTTCCAAATATAACATACTACAAAACTATGGACCTTAATTTTAACATCATCTTCTAATTTTAAAGAAATATATGTATTGTTTTATTTATTTCTACTAGCATTTATCTTACAAACTAGTGTTTTCTTGGATGACATTGGAAAGTAGACAAATAATTGATGGTTGCCTCTAGAACTCTTTGCCAAAGTTCCTTTGACAGTCTGTCCTCATTTCATACACATTAGTGGCTGAATGTCACTGTCATCTGATTTCTAAATGAGGCATTAGCTAATAAAACCTTAAAGTGTGGCCTGTGAATAACATCAAAATCTTCAGGTCACACATATTTCTCTAAAAGTAGAATAACTGAAGTTATGACATAGACCATTTTTTTTAATTCTAGGAGCTTTATCTGATAGTCATAATTATTTAGCCTACTTCTATGTATGAACTGTTTGTAGATCCCAGGCATTCAGAAATTCAATGTTCCATGTTTGAAAAATTTGTGAGCTCCCCAGAAAGTCATCACATACCATTTCTCATTTTTCTGAAGCATGAACTGGAATCATAAAAGCAGCAAGATAAATGAGGGGGAAAAACATAGTTAATATATTTGTGAGACCAACCAGGGGAACAAGATATCACCTAACACAATCAAAGCCAGGGGATCTCTTTGAAGTAAGGACTGTGAAGGAAGCTGTCTTAATTGGTCACCAAATTGGTTTGGGTAACTTGCAGCGGGTCTTGACAGGCAACAAATTAGGAATTTAGTTTTATAAGAGGAGGCAGCAGTACCTAAGCTCTGACAAGTCTCTCATTTGGGAAAGGTGAAGCCTCATAGTTCCATATGTGCTTCCCTATTTGGAGCACATGATAACCAGCAAGTGGGTGATAGAGACAAGGTCTGACTACCATGGGAATGGGAGATTGCAATAACCAAGGACACTATCAAACCCATTATTCCTCCATCCTAGATACAATAGAGTAAGCCAAATGCTCATGAAGAATTAAGAATGATACACAGACATAGAGAAAGAACCAATGGAACAGTCCAGGCAGGTGGTAGCTCTTTGGGTATTTTGAGGCCCATGTGCAACCTTAGCTGACTGTATACAGTAACAAATTTAATTTACATTTCACCACTACAGGAGGTAGAACATGCACTCAAAACTAATGGAGAAACTTAATAGGGTGGAGCAGCAGGTGAGAAGCACCCGTAGCCTCAACTGAGTAGTGCTGGAGCCAGGAGGAATTGACATATCGTAGGATGCTGTGTAACTATCAAAAAGTGATGTATTGTCACTGCAATTAAAATTTCCACAAGCATAAAATATAAGGTCAGGTAATCTTTCAAGAGAATGCTATTTGTTAATAGACATAAAAGTAATAAAATAAAGGAATTATCATGCCATGCAATTACTGAGCACCTCTTCATTCATTATATACTATACCCTGGCTTACATATGATTTATTTTTATGATTGGCCATAATTAATCTTTTGTCATCTCCCATAGGCCAACCTTTTTAGAATGTCCTTGACATTCTTGAAGTTTATTATTCCATGTGAATTTTATAATCTATTGACTTAATATTCCTTTGACCATGCTTAAATTTGTAGACTAAGGAGAAATGACATATTTACAATATTGAATCTCTATATAAATGAATTTCTTCAAAAGTTTTTTTAGTCCCTTTAATATTTTAAAGTTCCATTCATATATATCTTATGTATTTCTTATTGAGCTTATTCCTAGTGGCTTTATCATTTGTTGATTCTGTTAAAGTATCTTTTTCCATTGTATTTTAAAATAAATTATTCTTTTCTATGAAATTTATTTTTTAAAAAATCAATTAGGTACATAGAGACTGAAGTAAGTTATTATGGTTTATGGAGAGTGTATGAGGGAATAGGAGTGAGAAGTGAGCTTGGAAAGATAAGCAAAAGCAAAATATAACCCTATTTGAAAGCTTGGATTTTCTACTATAGGCAATGGGTAGTCTTGCAATTGTTTTAAATAGAGGACTCACATGATGAGATTTATATTCCAGAAAATTTTACAGTGCCTTGTTGTCAGTGTGAAGAACTGTTGATTTTCTGGGGCAAAACTGAAGAAAGGACGCCTTCGGCGATATTGTTCTAAGTAAAGAATGGAGCAGGGACTGGACATGAGATTAGGAATTGAGAAAGGGTGCATACTTTGCTTTCTTATAGGAAAGAAAATGGACAGGCCTTCATCACTGATTGGATGGCCTTCATCACTGATTGGATGGGGAAGAAAGAAAAGTCTGTCAATGAAGGAGGAAATAAGCTGGAATTTAATTGAGTCTCTGTAAATCACAAAAAGGAAGATGTTAGCAATGACCTAAAATAAAACAGAATGTGAAAAAGAAGACTTGGAATGCCATTGGACTATCAATAAAACATTCAAGTGCCCTCTAATTCTAGACCTTTAGTCATGCAGATGCATGGAAGCCAGATTGCAGCAAGCTGAGGAGCCAATGAACGGCAGGGAAAGAGAGTAAGCCAGTAAACAAAGCCATAGTTACGTGAAGCTTAATCAAAGAAGAAAATACAGAATGATATCTGAGGGGTTATAAAAGTCCAAGGAAAAGAAAGCTTTTGTTTTTGTTTTGTAAAACATGAAGTTCAGAGATGTATGTTTCTGTTTGAAATGAATGAAAATAACACGTGGAGAGAACCTGAATTTTCTGAGGTCAAAAAGAAGCCAAATCCTGGAGAAATTACAAAGGATGTGCTAGAAACTGAAAGAGGTAGGAAAGACTGCTGCTACAACTGGCTGTTTCCAGAAATAATACAGTACAATAAGATCCAGAATAAAACGAAGTCAATTTGATCAGGCTTTGAGAAACATTAAATTTCTTGCCTCTGCTAACTAAAATCATAATTCCTGTTAAAAAAATTAGTCATGATTATTCTTCTATAGGAAGATTATTATTTATACTATATTCTCTCTTCTTTTTTTTTTTTTTTTACTATTTTCTAGTAAAACAAAAACATAAAAAAGCATGCTTAGGAATTTACATAGCAAAATTATTATCTCCAACTATTTTAAACATACCTTTAACATTTAAAACCATTTCATTTACATTTTTGAAATATACATGTAGATGATACGTAGATATAGATATAGAATCTTTGGCCATTTTTAAATAACAGCAAAAGAAGAGCAATGTTAACTGAAAATCCCATATTTATTTACTCAAAAGATAATAATAGTTATGTTTAATATTAGTAGGTTTAATAGTAGTTACATTTAATATTCGTTAAATATATCTGTGATAAAAGCTATGTTCTCAAACCTTTGATTAGTCTTTAATTCTGTGCAGTCCACTTGCATACATAGTCACTTAATGCCATCTGTCTCATCTATATGTTTTGGGGGTTTTTGTTTGTTAAGTGATATTCCAAGACCCTGCTACTCCCTGAGTGTTCCTTGGACTTGAAGCATCAGGATAATCTGGAAACTTGTTAGAAATGCAGAATCTCAGACTTTATCCCAGACCTACTGAATTAGAATCTACATTTTGACAAGATCTCAGGGTGGTTTTTATGCCATATGGCCCTTAAAGCTGAGAAGCACTGATCCAAAATAAAACACTCATTATTTAGAGCAGTACAATACTGACTGTACTACCAAGATAGAAAAAAAGCTCACAGAGCCTTATAGTTCTTTGCACATAGATTTAGTAAGATTTATGGCACCGAAAATTGTAGCATTAATGTGAGATAATTTAAGAATAATGTAATAGTAATTATGATTTATAATCTTTGATATAAAAAGTTACATTATTCAGTTTTAATACATATTGAGTAAAAAAATTCTAAAAACCACTCCTTTATGGACATTTTGCTTTGAAATAAAACTTAATAATATCACCATTGAATATGTCCAACTCACCATTTAGAAATCCAAGATTCCAATATTCTTATAATTAAATATTAGAATAGTATTCAAAGAAAACTGAGAAATAGTTTGTGATATAATGCATCTATTCTCCTTACTCAGCGCTACAAAATTCTGCAATTTTAAAAATATAAACAAACATCACCTGCTAAAAAGAGTTTGAGAACTATGTAAGTCATGTTTTGCTGAATAATAATCTCAGTATCTTGGTAGCTCACAACATATATTCTTCCTGCTGTGCAAATCAACTGCCTATCCATTGATCTAAGTTGAGCTTGGCTGGTTTAGGCTAGACTCCAGGCTTTGTCTTCATTCTGGTCTCCTTCATCTAAATGTATTCTGAGACCTAGACTGAAGCAGCTATTGTGGAATGCTTGTTTGATCATGGATCATAGGAGTTATGAAAAAGCACAGGATGCTTCGAGGCTTCTGCTGACAACTTGCTCACTGTTACTTCCATTCACATTTCATTGACCAATGCAAGTCATTTCACCAATCTCCAAGTCAATGAATTAGGAAAGTACACCCATAGTAAAAGGTGTTGCTAAGTTACATGGCAAAGAGTGTGGATGCATAATTCCAATACAAAAAGGAAGCAACCCAATAAATACTAGAATAATTAGCTTCAAACTTTTATTATTTTTGACATGGCCTATGTGCCCTGCTCAACTATAAGCTTTCTGAAAATGAGATCAAAATACAAGCATTCCATTCCAATCTTCCCTAACCCTCACAAAAAATAAAGATTAAATCCATTGTGTCAAATGCATTTGAGAAACTTAAAAAAAAAATGGATTGGTGAATTTTTTTTTTAAGTTCTAGGGTACATGTGCAGTATGTGCAGGTTTGTTACACAGGTAAACACGTGCCATGGTGGTCTGCAGCACCTATCAACCCATCACCTAAATATTAAGCACAGCATGCCTTAGCTCTTTTCCCTAATGCTCTCCTCCCCAACCCTCTCCTGACAAGCCCCAATGAGTGTTATTCCCCTCCCTGTGTCCATGTGTTCTCATTGATCAGCTCCCACTTATAAGTGAAAATGTGCAGTGTTTGGTTTTGTTTTCTGATCCTGTTAGTCTGCTGAGGATAGTGGCTTCCACCTTTATCCATGTCCCTGCAAAGGATATGATCTCGTTCCCTTTCACAGCTGCATAGTATTCCATGGTGTATATGTACCACATTTTCTTTATCCAGTCTATCATTGGTGGGCATTTGGGTGATTCCATGTCTTTGCTATTGTGAATAGTGCTGCAATAGACATAGGCTTGCATGTATCTTTATAACAGAATAATTTATATTCCTCTGGTATACATGCAGTAATGGCATTGCTGGGTCAAATGTATTTCCAGTTCTAAATCTTTGAGGAATTACCACACTGACTTCCACAATGGCTGAACTAATTTATTTTCCCACCAACGGTGTGACAGCATTTCTATTTCTCTACAACATCTGTTGTTTCTTGACTTTTTAATAATTGCCATTCTGACCAGTATGAGATGGTATCTCATTGTGGTTTTGATTTGCATGTCTCTAATGATCAGTGATGTTGATCTTTTTATCATATGTGTTGGCCGCATGTATGTCTTTTCTTGAGAAGTGTCTATTCATATCCTTTGCCCACTTTTTAATTTTTTTAATTGTAAATTTGCTTAAGTTCCTTGTAGATTCTGGATATTAGATCTTTGTCAGATGGATAGATTGCAAAATTTTCTCCCATTCTGTAGATTGTCTGTTCATTCTGATAATAGTTTCTTTTGCTGTGCTTTCGCTTAATTAGATTCCATTTGTAGATGTTTGCTTTTGTTGCAATTGCTTTTGGCGATTTTGTCATAAAATCTTTGCTTATGCCTATGTCCTGAATGGTATTGCCTAGGTTTTCTTCTAGGATTTTTATGGTCTTGGGTTTTATATTTAAGTCTGTAATCCATCTTGAATTAATTTTTGTATGATGTGTAAGGAAGGGATCCGGTTTCAATGTTCTGCATATGGCTAGCCAGTTCTCCCATCACCATCCTTTCCCTATTGCTTTTTTTTGTCAGGTTTTTCCAAGATCAGATGGTTGTAGATGTGCGGTTTTATTTCTGAGTTCTCTATTCTGTTCCAATGGCCTATGTGCCTGTTTTTGTATCAGTACCACGGTGTTTGGTTACTGTAGGCGTGTAGTATAGTGTGAAGTAGAGTAGCGTGATGCCTCCTCCAGCTTTGGTCTTTTTGCTTAGGATTGTCTTGGATATACGAGCTCTTTTTTGGTTCCATGTAAATTTTAAAATAGTTTTTTTTCTAATTCCGTGAAGAATATCAATATTAGCTAAATGGGAATCATATTCAATCTCTAAATTGCTTTGGGCATTATGGCCATTTTGACTATATTTATTCTTCCTATATATGAGCATGGAATGTTTTTCCATCTGCTTGTGTCCTCTCTGATTTCCTTGAGCAGTGGTTTGTAGTTCTTCTTGAAGAGGTTCTTCGCTTCCCTTGTTAGCTGTATTCCTAGGTATTTTATTCTCTTTGTGGCAATTGTGAATAGGAATTCACTCATAATTTGGCTCTCTGGTTGTCTATTGTTGGTGTATAAGAATTCTTGTGATCCTGCACATCGATTTTGTAAACTGAGACTTTGCTAAAGTTGGCTTGTGTGCAGATGACATGATCCTATATCTAGAAAAGTCCATCCACTCAGCCCCAAAGCATCTTAAGCGAATCAGTGAATTATTAAAATTACTAAGATTTGCACATTAGGTTTAAAGCTTCCAAGTTCAATCCTTAGGCTAAATAATCATCTACAATGTTTCCCAGTCCATCTTTTTTCATTTCAATGTTTTCAATAACCATTTTCTTGTCTGCAGAGAGTTTTCTCTTAATTTTTTTGTTATTATTTTGGAATTAATCCACCTGTATAAAATGGCAAATTACTACCTCTTTAAATATCTTAGAGAACTTGATGGAACTAAACAAGATTATTTAAATAAAAAACTTTGTAAAATGCCTTGTACATAGTGAATGTTCAAAAAATGTCAATCTCTTCCCCTTTTCCAAAATATACATTTGGTTTTTATGTGACAATATTTTTCATGTAATGCTAAAGTATTTGTTCACTAGAATGCTGGTATTATTTATGCGTACCTTGGATATAACTTTTCCTTTGTGACAGGGTCTCAGTCTGTTGCTCACGGTGAAGTGCAGTGGCACAATCTCTGCTCACTGCAACTTCTGACTCCCATGTTATAGCAATTCTTGTGTCTCAACCTTCTGAGTAGCTGGGATTACAGGCATGCACCACCATGCCCAGCTAATTTTTGTATTTTTTAATAAAGATGCGGTTTCACCATATTGGCCAGGCTGGTCTCGAACTCCTGGCCTCAAGTGATCCACTCACCTCAGCCTTCCAAAGTGCGGGGATTACAGGCATGAGCCACCTTGCCCAGCCAAACTTTTCTATTTTCAAATTGGAAGAGACTGTATCTAATTTCAAAATATCATTTTACAGATGAAATCATTTGTGATGATAAATTCAATGTCAACTTGACCAGGTTAAGAGATGCACAGGTAACTGGTGAAATATTATTTCTGGGTTTGTCTGTGGGGTGTTTTTTGGAAGAGATTAACATTTAAATCAGTGAACTGAGATAGGAAGATTTGCCCTCACCAATGTGGGCAGGCACCATCCAACATATTGAGTGTCCAGGCAGAACAAAAAAGGTGCAAGAAGGATAAGTTTTCTCTTCCTCATTGGGATCAGACTTTCATCTTCTCCTGACTTTGAACATTGAATGTCTCAGTCCTTGGTCCTTTTGACTTCAAGACTTACACCAACCAACCCTCCAACACCAGACCCCAACCAACCCTCTTCTTAGGCCTTCAGCCTAGGAATTAATTATATCACTGGCTTTCCTACATCTATAGCTTGCAAATGGCATACCGTGGGACCTCTCAGGCTCCATAATTGTGTGTGCCAATTCCCATAATAAATCTCCTCTTCTATCTATCTATTTATTTCTATCTATCTATCTATCTATCTATCTATCTATCTATCTATCTACCTACCTACCTACCTGTCTACCTGTCTATCTATATCTCTTGTTGGTTCTATTCCCCTGGAGAACTCTAACTAATACAACCTCTATGCTATAACATGATAGGATATTATTCAACAACATTCAGAATATAAGAATTAATAGCCAGGCTTGGTGGTACATGCCTGTAGTCCCAGCTACTCAGGAGGCTAAGGCAGGATGATTACTTAAGCCCAGGAATTTGAGGTTGCAGTGAGCTATGATCACACCACTGCATTCCAGCATGGGGAACACAGTGAGACTCTGTCTCTGAAAAAAAAAAAATACACACACATAAAAGCATTTAGATTGGGACAACAACTGAGACAATTTAACGCCAGTTAAGTGTTTTCTGTCTACTAGACTGTATTGGAAATAAGTATGTATGTTGCCACCATCTGCTTCCCCAGCTTATCCCCAGGGTGCCTCTAGGATGCACCTAATTCTCTAACACTTTCAATTCTGTCCCCTAAATGCATATTCAATAAAAATATACCAATTCTAGGCCCTGCTTTTTGAGAGTGCACTCTTTAGGGGCTCTGCTCTATCTTTTTTGGAGGGCAATAGTGAATTCAATAATCTTTTTGCTAATATTTAAAGATGCTAATGGCCATCTCTTATCAACTCACAAATAAAAGCTATAGAAAGGAATTATAGAAGAAAGCTGGTGCCTCTTCAATGTGATGTCCAGCCATGGGTATTTTCCGGGTAGGCTTGACAGTGAAGTGTCTAATTTGCAGTAATTTGCTTAATCATGGACACAAATTGGAAAATTTCCCTCCTTGGCAGCAATATAAAGAAGTAGAGGGTCTTTTATTCTGTAAATGGAAATAAATAGGCTTTTGCATTACCTTGGTACATCTGTTTAGCATATATTCTTGAAGCATTTCTCTTAAGCATTAGTGCAACTTCAACATCCATGTACTCTCAAAGATACTTATAAAATGCCCATCTATAACTTTCTGTTTTAAAATTACAAATAGTTTTTAATTCTCTTGATGTTTGTTTAATTCTCTCTTGCAGATGATCTATGAGCACTTATTCACTTCCTAAGAATGGCTATTTAGAGACAGAGTATTGCATGCACGGCAGTGATTTCACTCAAAGAAATATCAGGATAAAATCTATTTAATCTTACATTGGTGTCGTTTAATGAAAAATATATTTTAATATTAAAAATTCAAAATCTTTAGGAGAGTGTCTGCAGATATTTGCAGGAACCAGTACATTAAGAAAGACTCAATAACAGAATATTGCCTTTATATAGAACTTATATAATCATAACCTTTTGTACAGCATCAACTACAATATTTAATTTTTAATATGACAGAAGCATTCAAACAGATCCCCTAACAGATTGCCTGAACTAAGCACATGTTCCAAGAGGAGCACTGTGGCTCACTATCTCCCTGTTTCAGCAATGATTATAACCAAACAGTGGCAATAAAACCTTAGGAAGTTTGAGTTTTGTGGTACATATTTTTTACCTAATTTTATGAATTACGTAGTTCAGGAAGCAATATTGCCTCCACATTTTCTCAGTATGTTATGAATAATGCTTAACAAAGTCTGTAATAAAAGTAGTCTATTGTTTGCTTGGTTTTGTGTAGAAAAATGCGACATTTACCTGCTCTATCATACTTTACATTTTCACTTCTTATCTAAGACGGTTTATTACATTCACCTCTACTTTAGACTTATCATGTATAAGATAAGAATGAGAATCACTACTGTGCCACCAGGGGTAATGTGTCCTACAATTGATGGGACTCAGCATGGTGACCCTGCATGCACATATCATGTGTCTCTTGGATATCAAAGGAAGGAATATAAAGAAATAGATTAACTAAGGCAGAACACAAGACTTGAACGTGTCGTGTGGAGGGGGGGATGGGGGTGTGCTTGTGTGTGGTAGACTAGAAGATTTTTAACTACCTAAAGAAAAAAAAAGGATGAAATAAAATAAAGTTATTTTTATTTTCCTATGAATGTTTTTGTTGGCTACATGATTTCCAGAAAGAGAGAAAAAACAAGAGGGAAGGCAGAGCCTGGCATTCCTGCCTGACTTGGGTCTTCAGAATAGAGCTAAGTCAGGCACAGAAGGACAAACATTGCATGTTCTCACTTATTTGTAGGATCTAAAAAGCACAACAATTGAACTCCTGGACATAAATAGTAGAAGGATGGTTATCAGAGGCTTGGAAGGGTAGTGAGGGGTTTTGGAGAGGTGAAAATGGTTAATGGGTACCAAAAAAAAAAACAGAAAAAAATGAATAAGACCTACTATTTGATAGCACAACAAGGTGATTAGTCAATAATAACTTAGTTGTACATTTTTAAATAACTTAAAGATCATGACTGGATTGATTGTAACTCAAAGGATAAATGGTTGAGGGGATGGATACCCCATTCTCCAAGATGTGCTTATTTCACATTGCATACCTGTATCAAAACATCTCATGTACCCCATAAATATATACATCTACTATGTACCTACAAAAATTAAAAATAAAATTCCTTAACAAAACTCAAAGTACACTTCACTTTAAATCCTAACCAACCCTAACTCCAGTGAACCATGACCCCTCTCGTCTCTCGTTTCAGATGTTAGCACAATTTAATCTCAGCAGGTAAATTCAACATTGTATCTGATGACTTCATATGTCTGCTTTTGTGGGATTAATTATTTAGTACCATGCATGCTGACTTGATTCTGCCCTAGGTAAGTTTCAGATTCTAAGATTCATCCCATCTTTCGAAGAAGAGATCAAGTCACATTCAGTTTTGCAAGTTTAGCTACAGCATATGTAGGCACACACACACACATGCACATGCATGGATTATGCTCCCCACATGGCCATCTACCTTCTTTCTGACTCCACCTCACATGACCTTCAATCTTTCTGGCTCTTCACTGCAGGCTCAGCTTCCTCCTCAGCCACACTCCAGTCACTGAAATGCCTCCCTACTTCTTGGCAAGTCATCCTGCCTTCCAGTTTGCCTTCCTCAACCATCCTACAATTTTATGCATACTATTTTTTATCATATTACATCATATTGCACCTTCATTTTCTGTCATATTACATATTAATTTTTCATCACATTTCTCCTTCTTTCAGTATGACCTCCTGACTCCCTCTACCCTGAAATCCTATCCATTAGCCTCACAGCTGTGTCTGATGAACACTAAGCAAGTTGTACTCTCTTGCTTTCCTTCATTCAAGCAATTAATTCTGAAGAAAAGAAGAAACAGACCTCCTTCCCTCTCTGATCTTCCCTCTTTTAGCACAGACACACACACACCAACACAGACACCATGTTCTCCATCAGGCAGAATCCTATTCCAATAACAACACGTGGTGGAAATTTTGCCTTCTAATTAGATCATTTATGCCCATACTATCCCTTAATACCCCAACAGAATTACTTACTCCTTTCTCTATGTTGCTCTAGCATTTTGTTGCTGTGATTAGCATAATACTTGTTGAGCACCTATTCATCTATTTATTTCTGGATACTCAGTTATAAATAAGAAATTTGATAAATACTACTGAAACAATTTGCTTTTTCTATAACCCTTTATACTGTTCCAACAAAGTTTGAACTAAAAAACCCTCTGTTTCTCCAAATAAAAAGTTTCTACATTTTAATGTGATACTCTAGATCAAATTTTTAATCAATAAAGCCTAGGTTGTTATTTTATATTCCTAATATAAATTAAGAATTTTTTTTAATTCTTTCATTCTGGGTCTTTTCCTTCTTTATAACTGCAAGGAGAAGTATGCCTGTACCATTCCTTCACCTGCTTGATTTTTAGTAATTTTAGAATGTGTCTCCAGAATTTCAGGTACTTCTCAAGGTAAAGTCTTCTTATTGTCCCCTGCTATAACTACTATCTAACTTTTCCACTAGCTTAGCTATCAAAAAATATGTAGGGAAAATTGAAGGAAGAGAGAAATAAATAATTGTTATTTTACTTTATTTATTCTCAAGTTCTTATTGAATCTTGAATTTTCCTTTAATGTTTCCATGTTTTGTTTGCTTGTTTAATTCTGAATCAATACAGCACGAGGTATCCCACTCCTGAAGGAATTCTTTTCTCAGCTTTTATTACCTTATATCTAAAACAATATGCTTCAGTTATTCTTCATACTCCATGATTCCAATTTCATTGTGCATTCTCCAATTTTTGCACTAATATGCTTTTTGAAATTAGATATATTGATATTACAATTTCTCTGCTTGATAGTAACTCACCTCTACCTTTCTACCAGAGTTCACTTTATTGTCCATTACCTAAGTCTGCTTTCGCTATATAGGGCACCTTCTCTTGGCAGTATCCTGCCATGAGCAATTATCTTGGCTAATTCCTAAGCTTCCTGTTTATCAGAACCAGCCAGTTCTCTAAAATGTATTCTAGATGAACTAAACAGGAAGGACATATTAAGCAAATAATGCTAATGTACCACATTTATCAAAGGAAGTTTTGGAGCTCTTCTTTCTCCATTTTCTATTATTGCTCCAAATTGAGAGGTGATAATTTTCCAACTTACCTACTTTTTTATTTTTTACCATTTTAATATTTAAAAACAATTTTTGTGGGTATATAGTAGGTATATATATATTTATGGGGTACATGAGATGTTTTGATACAGGCATGCAATGTGAAATAAGCACATAATGTTTACCTCTTTCAGAAGTTTTCTCATCTTCCCAATCTGAAGCTACCATCTCCAACTCTAAATTCCTGAACCTCTGACCTAGAGCAACGTACCTCTGCTTTTGCCTAAAATATTTATCTTTTCAAAATGTTGTGTGGAACAAAGAACGATGCTCACATATTCCCTTAGTTGATTGAACAGCCTTCACAGAGAACAAGTGTTTAAGACAAAATTCAATCCCAAGTTGAATTATTTATCAGAGGGTAACAGATAAAAATCTCAGAAATCTATAATTCCAAACTCTCTGAATTTTATGTGGAAATAGCAAACCATTCTGAGTGTATTTCAATTTATTTATGAAGTTCAAAAATTAAGAAGGAGAATTCAAAAATTAATGTATAAATGACATATAAATGTTAATATTCTTCTAATAGGAAAGATGATACTAAGATCATTCTCTAGGGTGCTGTTTTCACGTCAGCGACAGCACAATGTGCCAGGTGTTTGTTGAGGTTTATGTGTTTGTTTGTTTGTTTGTTTGTTGCCATTCAGTGAAGTATTACTCCCATGCCACTCCAGATACAGCTTCCTGTGGTGCTGTCTCTATTAGAAAATACTTTTCTCTTTTCTTATGTGAATTGCCCCTCTCAACTCTCAAACTCAAACATAATGCAATATTGCTGCAATGTTGTTTCAGTAACATGAACACGTTCTGAACTTGACAAGTAAGTTTGTTCTTCTTAGATCTGTGGCAGTTATGACATTGAAATGTGGCCTGAACTTACTAGACTAGTTTCCTTGAAGTCTTAGAAATGACATTAAACAACAGAAACAACGGGTGGTGAACTATTCTTGTAAGTTTTTCTGTCACTGGTCCAGATTTTTCCTCTGCCTCATTTACCAGACACACATCTTTCTGAGCCTCCAGGATTGTTATTAGGGCACCTTGCCGTTTATAGGACATTTGGCTTCCGTGTTTTAATACCTGAGCAAATGTTCAGTATGAACCAACAATTTTATTTCCCTTAGGGAAGTTCTATCCTTTAAAGTGTTACCAGTTTTCATTTTAGAAAATCAAAAACAATTTTTTTTCATTATGTAACTCTTCTTGAAATTGAACAAGATAATGTATGGTAAAGTGTAGACCCAGATTTATACTTCAAGTTCTCAAGTCTGTTCCATAAAAGTATTAAGTTATATTTTTACTCTATGGCAAAGAAGAAAATATTTAATTTTTCCTTCACTGGAATAGAAGCAAACTAGAAACTTATTTTCTGCTATGTCAGTGTAAAGTGGTGATTTTATAAATATGCCTTTTTTCTTGGACTAAATATTTTAGGTCAATTCTAGAAAGAGTGTTCTAAGGCCAAGTTTACAATTTATACCAAACCTAATAAAATGTGAAAATGGTCCAAATACACAGAAACTTTTATAATTGTGCTTGTCTATCCAATGTCAAGTACACATTCTCAAAACACAACACAATACAATTTTGGAAGCAAACAGATGATAAGTTTTATATTTACTCAAATGCAAATTAAATCAAACTTCTTTAATGAATTTGAGGAGTTCTTCAATTTTTATTTAGCTTGCAGACATTCTAATAACGAATAATTATTTTCTTTGAGTCAGATTTGATTAGCCAACTTGTCTTTTCACATCAAACTCACCTTCCTAAAAAATGTTTGCTAACATATGCATACATTATTTACTATTCTTATGCTAATAGCATTATTACATATGTTGTTTAATTTTGACTAATAACAGCACTTGAAATTAAAGACACTTCTTTTTCTTTTAAGATGTTCAAGTCACATAGTTTATTAAATCAGTCTAAACTATACAGTGAGATGTGGAGGAAAGAGATTACATTAACCCAGGAAGAATAGGTTACAAACAGATGAAAGGTCACATCACCTGAATATTGGGTCACACAGTCTCATATGAGCTGTCTGAATTAGTTCACTTTTTTGTCTTTTTCCCATCTAACTCAGCCACATCAACTTTCTCTATTGATGGTATGGTTACAAGAACCAGAATTAAGGTCTGAGAGCAAAGTTGCCTAATAGATGTGAAATACTTCGGGTCACCTGTTCTATTAGAAAGATGAAGGGGCAATGATGCCTGGCCAATAAGCAACTATGTACTTTATTTGTACTTTTCGGACAGAGGGTCTGTGGGGCCAGATTGGATGTCACCAATAGGTGGTTGATTTTCAATGCAATAAATATTGAGTGCCTCATATACGTCATATGCATATTTAGTGAATCATGAATATTTGATGCATACGCAGTCCTTCCATTCTTTGCCATGTATGAGTAATTTTCTCATTTGTTCCGCCATTTTTATCTATTCATCACATAGGTACTCTACTTACTTCTATGTCTCACAAGCTATTTTCTTCTGCACTTAGTATCATACATCCTCCTTGTTTTCACCCCCCCATTCCATAGCAGAATTAGATATTTTTTATATATTCAGTCTACACTGTCACTATATTCTAGCCTGCTTCATTCAAAGAAGGTAAAGAAGCAGAATATGTGGTTTTTAGAATTAAAGTGTTTAAGAAAACACAATCAAACTTTTTAACACTGTTATATGAAGACACAGGTCAAAAAAGACAGTGTGGTATAATCATGAAGAGTATATGCTTATTGCAGTCATCTCTGAGCACTAATCCCAGTTCCACAGTAGATAGCTGTGCAATCTTAGTGCAATTACTTAGCAATTTGGTGTCACCATTTCTTTCTCTTTCTTTCCTTATTTCTTTCTCTTCCTTCCTTCCTTCCCTCCCACCATCCTTCTCTCTTTCTCTTTTTCTTTCTTTCTTTCTTTCTTTCTTTCTTTCCTTCCTTCCTTCTTTCTTTCTCTCTTTCTTTCTTTCAGATAGAGTCTCTCTTCATCACCACTTTATTCTTTGTTTGTTTCATTGAGGTAGAGTCTCTCTCTGTCACTCAAGCTGAAGTGCAGTGATGCAATCATGGTTCATGGAAGTCTTGACCTCCCAAGCTCAAACAATCCCTCCTCCTTGTCTCCCAAAGTGCTAGGACTATAGGGATAAGCCACACACTTGGCCCATCTTTTCTTATCTCTAAAGTAGGACTGATAACAAGGCTGCCTGGTACATAGTAAGCACTCAGCAATATTGCTATTATCTTTACTTGACAGTAATTTATTCTATCAATTCACATGATCAATATTATAATTCATGCATTTGTCACAATCAAGACGAAAGAAATAAGTTCTTATTAAAAATAAGTGGTTTAAATATAATTTGGAAATGTTTATTCACAATTAAGAGAAACAAAAACTTTACACAGAAAGCTTGAGAGCATGATTTGGAGACAACACACTATTGTAAAAATCATCTTTCACCCGGCCAGGCGAGGTGGCTCACACCTGTAATCCCAGCACTTTGGGAGGCCTAGGCAGGCGGATCACAAGGTCAGGAGATCGAGACCACCCTGGCTAACACGGTGAAACTCCATCTCTACTAAAAGTACAAAAAATTAGCCGGGCATGGTGGTGGGTGCCTGTAGTCCCAGCTACTCAAGAGGCTGAGGGAGGAGAAGGGCAGGAACCAGGGAGGCGGAGCTTGCAGTGAGCCGAGATCGCACCACTGCACTGCAGCTTGGGCAACAGAGCGAGACTCCGTCTCAAAAAAAAAAAAAAATCATCTGTCACCCAAGAAGGTTCTTGAGCTATCTCTGTAAAACATAAGAACTCAAAAAGTAAGCAAGGGCTAAATTGATTAGAGTTAATTGAAATAAAGTCTAAGATATTTCATTGACCCCATACTGGTAGACATTGCCAACATGTTTGCATCTTTATAAAATAGAGAATACAAACGTTTCCATTCTGCTGGGAAAAATCTCAAGTTTCTTACTGTGTTTAGTATATCAAACATTACAAATCAGTTTGAGGCAGGGGAGGTGGTGTAGAAGATCCCCAGGTATCCATGAGTTAGGTCAACATCTTTGCACTACATTATATTATTCCTTAAAAAATCATTAGAGCAAAATATTTTGGTACAAATTCTCATTCTCTTTTTCCACAAAAGTCTTTAACATTTGATCAAAACTATGTTAGGATAGCAGCATTTGGAAAAGTAATGTATATTATGAATATTATATGAACTAAAACACAAATAACTAGCCTATGGATATTTAATTTCAGAATGACGTATAGTAACAGTAGCCAACATATTTATTGAAGTTTATTAAATGCACTGGTACTGAATTATTTTATTTAATGCTAATACAATTCTACAAAGTGGAGACTGGGGTTTCTGAAAGGGCCCAATAACTTTCCTCTTACTTCCCACATTCTGTACATGCTGATTAGTAAAAATAAAAAAATACAAAGTTGGACTACTAAAGTATCACCTTGAAAAGAGGCCAAATTGAAGTACACAAATTTTGATCTGAGAAGAAACTAGGCTTGTTGACAATAAACCCTAGAGTCAACTGGAAATACCTTCACAGCTCCTGGATGGAGCGTTCTCTACATGGGGTCACTGTCCCCAAGAGGAAGAAGGGAGGAATGATATTCACCATTACATTTTATTTTCCCCAACTCATCAATCCAATAATTCACTCTTGTACCCACTGGGAAGAGTGAGTAAAGAGACCCCAATTTTTCCAAAATGAGTTGTAGCCACAGAAAGCTTTTCTTATTTTATTTTATTATTATTATTATTATTATTATTATTATTATTATTATTATTATTTTGAGACAGAGTCTCACTCTCTCGCCCAGGCTGCAGTGCAATGTGCAATGGCGTGATCTCCGCTCACTGCAAGCTCCGCCTCCCAGGTTCGTGCTATTCTCCTGCCTCAGCCTCCCGAGTAGCTGGGACTACAGGCACCCACCACCACGCCCGGCTAATTTTTTATTTTTATTTTTTAGTAGAGACGGGGTTTCACCGTGTTAGCCAGGATTGTCTGGAACTCCTGACCTCGTGATCTGCCTGCCTCAAACTCCCAAAGTGCTGGGATTACAGGCGTGAGCCACTGCGCCCTGCCAGAAAGCTTTTTTTTTTTAAGAGTAGACCACAATATTATTATCCATATTTTTGAAATGATGCCTTAAAGATATTTGGTATTTTGTTTGGGTCACATAATAATGGAAGGGGTAAAATTCAAATCAAGGGTTTTTGTTTTCTTGATACAAATAGAAACACTGCTAAATAACATGCTGTACTACCCTTCTAGACACAACTTTAAAAATTTATATACATAACAATACAATTTTCTAGATATTGTGAGTTCTTAACATGCATCAAGTCTGCTTCTTCAAGTACAACCATAATGATGTTGCATAACTCTGTGAAGCACTATGGCTGCAAAGTGGCAGCTAGTGAATAATCTGGAAGCCTGTTGCACTTGACCACATAAGTGTAGACACTTGTAGCCACGTAAGGATTGAAGGATTAGAAAAGCACATTGGGTTTTGACAGCTATGGATTTGTAAAGAATAAACAGCTAACAAGTAGAACTTCCCAATCTCTAAACCTTCATTACATACATATTTCTCAGTTTCATAACCAGGAATCCAAACTCTTTCTGCTTACTGGAACACAGGCTCAGAAAATAGGTGTTTATCATTTTTTTTCACAGAAACATTTTACATGGTCATTTAGGTATAATTGGAATAGAAATAAAAATAAGAACAAAATATATAACTTTAATTCTACTTCCCCCACCCACCTCCCCAAATAAAAACCTGTTTTATGAGTTTCATTAAGTGCTGGATTGGTCATTGTCAACTTGGCATTATCACCACCTGTCTCTTCTAAGATCAGAAACTGTGTTTCCCAGAACCTTTCCCTTGTACATTTTTAAGTTTGAATTTGTCAAAGGGAAGAATATTCATGAGTTTGGGAAGCTCAGCAAATCAGAGCCCATTATTATCAGAGGCCAGAGTGGTTAAATGCAACAAGCTTCCAGATTCTTCACTAGCTAATACTTTTTGCAATCACGGTGGTTCACAGAGTTCTGCAACATCATTATGGTACAAGCATTTCGTGCATTCTTCTCCGGCAAAATTTCTTATTCTGCCTCAGTACTAAAAGGCTGCTGCCAGGTTGGCTTTTTCCCCAGTACTACAGCCATAGGTTTTCAGGTATTTGCTCCCCTAGCTCTGTCTTAATATAGGACAAAGATTCTTATATTAAGCACCATATTCACATAATACTTAAGCCCCGTTTTCCTAACCAGATACAGATATATCATCCAACTGTGTTACTTCTGGAATAAATAAAAAAAAAATTGTGAGACAGAAAGCAAAAGCTACTAAGATTTCAGCATGGTACTCACCCAATATACTAACATAGAGCACATAATTTAAGTATATGTTTTATGAATAAGACTATGTTGCTTAATTAGTGTATATAAATTTACATGCATTCACATCTCAATTTTGGCAATGAAATAAATTCACTATTTTCAACGTGTAAAGCGATATCACCTATGGTAATAACTTTTTGTTAGCATATATTTTTACATTTGAGGACAATCCCTTTTTGTGTGAGTATATGAGGAAATTCAGTGTAGATACACTATTAACATTCCTTAATGTTATCGATGTCTTGATACATTTTTTAAAACTACAATAAAGTAATTACTTGCTTAAAAAATTGATCATTTTAAAACATAAGACTCAGTTCAAAGATATAATTCTTTGCTCATGGATGTGCTGACTATGCATTAGATGATGATATTTTCATGAAAAAAGATGCACAATATTTATAGACTGTGTCAGGAATCTATTCAACCAATATAATTCCATTCAGTACAATATGACATTCAATTTCAGTTCTTGCTTGAATCATGAAGTTCAGAAATTTTTATTAGCCATCAAAATTACATATTTAATGTTTATTTGGAAGTCAAATGGTACTTAGTGAGTTTTAAATGCCACTTATTTGTTACAAGTAAGCTCTTTAACTTTTAGGAATACATATGTTAGCAGGTAGATAATCTGCCTAACTCTATTCTGAAGATCTAAATTGTTTACAAATCTCTTGGCTTTTGTTGACTCATCATTAATAAGCAGAAGTAAAATCTATCAGCTGGTATTCTTGATTCCCTAATGTTCTTTTGGAGGTGATCATTTGAATAACCAGGTTAGAATTCAGTATGCAGATGTGTACATAATGAACTGATGGGTTTAGTTTACACAGTTGATGCTTGTTTTGCTTCAGAGTTCTCCTTAGATACTATGTATGATTCTGTTTTGTGATGCTGCCACTGCCAAACCCTATTGATATTTCAAGAAATGTATTTAGTACCAAATTTATTTTTTATATTCAGTGAATACAAAAAAGTGAAGTCAAAGAACTATACAATAAATGATAACTGGAAGTCCATATGCTGTCATTTCTGTCAAATTATATTTAGCATAAAAGCAGTTTCAAATCACATCCTGGCAAAACTCACATATTAAAATATTCCATTTTTAACAACATTGAGTTCGATCTATTTTGCTTTCTGTTACTTCCAATAAAGTTCAACCACTTTATATATCCAGATTGGGTGGACTGTGAAAAAAAATGAATAGATTGATTCTGACCAAAATGTCAGGTTAGAAGATTATATTCAGTACTCCGTCTGAGTTTGCTTAGGGCTGTTAGCTGGTATTTGAGTAGAGAAGAAAAAAATAAATTTAAATTACATTTATAAATATCAAACATTGAATTGAAGATTTTATTTAAAGTTCTTATTGAGTATTACATTTCTTAGTTTTCATTTTGGTAAAAGTATTTACAAAAATGGTACATTATAAATACTATGAGCTAGATATTACCTAGCTTTCATCTGCTTTCATCAGTAAGCCCTTGAATTTAGTGGCCATGGCCTTTGATGTGCATAGACCTGTATTTTAAAGTTATAGTTAAAGAACGAGTCAGGCTGGGTGCAGTGGCTCATGCCTTTAATCCTAGCACTTTGGGAGGCAGAGGTGGGTGGATCACTTGAGGTCAGGAGTTAGAGACTGCCCTGACCAATATGGTGAAACCCCGTCTCTACTAAAAATACAAAATTAGCCGAGTGTAGTGGCGCATGCCTCTAATCCCAGATACTTGGGAGGCTGAGGCAGAAGAATTGCTCGAACCCGGGAGGCAGAAGTTGCAGTGAGCCCAGATCGAGCCATTGCACTCCAGCCTGGGCAACAAGAGCGAATCTCAGTCTCAAAAAAAAAGAAAAAAAAAAAAAAGAACAAGGTCAATCTCTATTCTTTTATTTAATGGGAATGAGATAGTACACATCTTATGTGCAGCGGGGAAAGTTTTCGAAATCATAATTTAAACAATTATAATTTAAACAAATTTGTAGTATAGTAAGGCTAATTGCTACATTTCAAACAAAACCTTTGATAGCACATGTTGAAAATCATTGCAGTTTGTAGCTTTTCTACAATGTACAAAAAGCTTTAATATATTTTGTCTCACATCAGCCTCATAGCAATTCTGTGAGAAAAGCAATAGAATATTGTTTAGCCACATTCTGCTGAGAAGAAATTAATCAAGTCATTCAAGATCACTGCAGTCATGTCAGAGTCTGGATTAGTAGACTGTGCTTAGTCTCTAAGACTCCAGATCTGTCCACATATACAGGTACATTCTGCAATGCACCTGATGGTACAAATTGAAGAAACAACAAAAACCTTTTTAGAAATAAAGAAACCTTTTGAATTGCTTATAAGGAAATCATTACAGGAATTTAATGTGAATTTCAATGAGTGCTTTTTTATTAAATGAGTATTTGTATGTGCTTCTTGTCTTGCATATATAATTACCAATGTATGGAAGACATAATTTACAATATAAAATGAGCATCTCATCTTGCCCTTAATGTCACAAAAACTTTTTTTTTATTATTATACTTTAAGTTTTAGGGTACATGTGCACAACGTGCAGGTTTGTTACATATGTATACATGTGCCATGTTGGTTTGCTGCACCCATTAACTCGTCATTTAGCATTAGCTATATTTCCTAATGCTATCCCTCCCCCCTCCCCCCACCCCACAACAGGCCCCGGTGTGTGATGTTCCCCTTCCTGTGTCCATGTGTTCTCATTGTTCAATTCCCACCTATGAGTGAGAACAAGCGGTGTTTGGTTTTTTGTCCTTGCGATAGTTTGCTGAGAATGATGGTTTCCAGCTTCGTCCATGTCTCTACAAAGGAGAGTTCACGAAAACTTCTTAAAGTGAAGCCTCTTCTTATTTTAAAGCAAGCTCTGAGTTTCTGGTTTTAAATCTATGCCATGGAACTCAGAGACAGATGGAGGTCTGATTCTTCGGGTTTTAAAATCCAATTTAGGGTTGATTTAATCCATCTGATTTGGATTTAAAAGCTTAGGTCATAATTTCTTTTTACTTCTGGAAGTTAACAACTGAGATCAGTCGGTAGTTATTTTTTCCTAAAGGCTGAATGAGTAAATGTTTTCGGGGTGTGTAAGTGTACATATTTTTTTTTTTCCAAAATAAAGTAAGTTTTTCAAAAGATTTATCAATGACTGTAAGTATGCTTGCACTATTATTGATCAATGACTTATGTACACTCACTGTCTACTTCCCTCAGCAGGAGAGAAACATGAAAAAAAAAATGCCTCCCTGTCTTTTTCACCTTAAAAGGTGCACAAAGGGAAAGGTCAAAATAAGGCCTTTATTTCCTCTGTCAACATTGACTAATCCAGCATGAAAGTACAAACACCAAATCTACGTGTCTGATAAGATAGTGAGGCAGAACCTAATTAGCTATATTTTAAAAACTCAAAGGAAAGCAGCACTAAAGAATATTATTTAGTCTATGTCTATATATAATTACCAAATTAAAATTAGTAGCTTTAATTGGTCCTGGAAATCTACACTTTCTGTGTGATACCCTCCTTCTGAACTCAAGAAATATATATGCATATACACACCTACACACCACAGATATTTTCACACATCCTGGAATCATCTCATCCCATAAAGAGCTAAGTTACCTCACCTTTCTTTTCCTGATGTCTCTCCAAGACTTTCTAACAAGGCCATAACAACCATTCCTTATTACCTTACTTGGGTAGCTTATATTCTTCTTGGTACTTTTAAAAGCCTATCCAATCTGACAACTATCTTATTAATATTACAATATATAACACTATATCTTCTATAAGAATATCCTTCAATATGTGCCTTCTCAGAGAATGTACACATCCAAAAGAAATGTCTTTAATGGTGAAAATTCTTCGATATCAAGGCATCAAGGCAATCTGATAAGTGAATTATTAATACTAAGGAACAGATTCTATGAGACTGATCATTCACAGAACTGTAGAGCTAAAAGGACCTCAGAAATAATTTTATCCCTCTTCCTTATCTTAAAGATAAAGAAACTAAAAGTCAGTAATATTTCATGCATTCTTTTCTACAAATATTCATGTTACCCGTATTAGTTCATTCTCATGCTGCTATGAGGAAACATCTCCAGACTGCATAATTTATTTTTAAAAAAGAGGATTAATTGACTCTCAGTTCCACCTGGCTGGGGAGGCCTCAAGAAACATACAGTCATGGTGGAAGTCACCTCTTCACAGTGCAGGGAGAAAGAGAATGAGTGTTAGCAGGGAAAATGCCAGACACTTATAAAACCATCAGATCTCATGAGAAATCACTCACTATCACGAGAACAGCATATGGGAAACCATCCGCATGATTCAATTACTTCTCACTCGTTCCTTCCCACAACACATTGGGATTATGGGATTACAATTCAAGATAAGATTTGAGTAGGGACTCAGCCAAACTATATCATTACTCATCTATAGTAATTACATAACATAGAAGAAGACCTTGCCTTGATCTGTACTTGGTTACCTATCAGTTGGTCTAAGTCATACATATTACTTGTCTGTAAGACTAATTCAAGTGCTTATATATAGAATACAAGATGCTTTACAGGTTACCTTCAAATCTCTCATTACTGGGTGCTACCCAGCCATGTTCTCCATCTCATCTGCCATCACTGAGTACAACCCAGACATATTCTCTGCATCCATGGAGAACACTTTGTACTTGAGGTACAGCAAACTCTTCTCTTTTTTATGTTTTCACAGAATTTGTTCCTCTATTTAAAATGCTAAATCTGGGTGTTTCCACATTCTACCTTCTCTGTAAAACCTTTTACAGCTTTGAAAGCAGATGTATTCTTGCTATTCTGCTCCCATAAAACTTGGAAGAAATCTCACTTACAACATGAGTCACAATGATTTGGGATAACCTGTTTGTTTGTCCCTCTCAGTTTACCAGAGGATTTTCAAACTTAGGGCCATTCCATGTTCATGTCTCTATTGTCCAGCATACTGCTTGGCACATAGTAGGGCTTCATTAAATGTTTTCAAGAACCAATAAACAAGTCAAACCAAGAGGAAAAGCCATGTATTTATAATATAAATCTAGAGAGCTTTCTCTACTGCATTGTGTTGACTTGATTAATCCTAAAATCCATCTTGTGGTGGCTGGGTGTCTTCCTTATGCCAGCCATTAGTATATGAGGCCAATTCATTCTCAGTTTGAACTTTCCTTAACTCAAATGGCATGAATCCAAACCTTTATTCACTTCAATTGGAAAGTTTGGTTTGAATTAAAATGGCTTCATTTACTTATTTATTAAACACACACTTCAGTGCCTACTAAGCTCATTTGAGGCAGGAGCAGCTATCTCAGTGGCAGTTTCTGTTCCAGTTTTATTTCACTGCTCCATGTAGATACATAAGCTTTAGAGAACTACCAAATAGGCGTTTCAGACAAGCCAGTGTGGCTCTTCATCATTTTTTCCATGATTATTTTTTGCATGTTTAGTAGTCTAACGTAATAATAGTCTAAGTGCAAAAATGCATTTTTTCCTATGGACTACATTACTCAATTATCTCAAGTTTGTTACTTGGCCTTATTTCCTATAACTTCAGAGAAACCAATTACTAAGTTATAGAGCATTAAATAAGGACATCGTTACTAGGCATGTTATGATAAATAAGAATAAATATTTGCAAATTCCAATTTTAATATAAAATCATTTAATCAAGTCACCTTGATGATTCTTACAGAATTACAGGATATTCTATTCCAGGAAGGAAACCCTACCACCCTGCCCCCCACCAAAACACCATGCATTTTAAGATAAACAGGTATTTGCAGGTAGGATATTTTTCTTGCCAATATGTTGTTAGAACCAAATCCAGAGAAAGTCCATATCGTAACCCCCTCATTTCAGAGAACAGGAAAAATTTAAAGAAAGTAGTGGAACAAGCCAAATAGAATTCATAGCATCAAGAAATTAAGTCAGTGCCAATTTTTTTTTAGCTGAAACAAGAATTAAAAAAAATCAGTGGACATATGGCTTGGAGACATATGGCACATCATTTTTTACTAAACCTAGAAAAGGAGAAAAAGAATTGTTTCACCCCTCACCTCTCATTTTTCTCTTCTAATTTCAATGAAATATACATGGAAGTAAAATATTTAAATTATTTATCTTTTTAACACACATGGTGAAAATAATTTTGCATGACAGATTTGGTCAGTCTTTTCTCAAACTCTATTCATTTCAAACATGGCTAGTATTTTTACACTGAACCTGGCAAATATAGGAGTAATTTGGATTTTTTTCCACAGGCTGTAAGCCAGCTGGTTCTCTGAGGCCTTGTTTCAAGGTCTTTTGATAAGCAGAAACGCTCCATTTTCACAGGTGACTAGTAGTTCTGTCTTTCCATTAGAAATTACCTGCAAATACTATATTTTATCAGGTGTAAAGTGGCAATTTTCCCTCTCAATTACAAATCTCAGAATATATTCAGACATCAGGCCAACCAAGAAAGAAATTTAATAACATTTTCATTGTAGAAACAACTGTTTCCCAAAGATCCATATGAAATAAACAAGGTAAACCAACCATTCCCCTATGAAAGTGGTAATTCCCACCAAAGGTAGCATTGAGCCTTTTAATCATACTCTCCAAACTGTTAGGACTCTGTCCTTCTATAACCAGAAAGTCAACCTGATATAACTGATGAGAGGAAACTCAACAATGAATGTGTTGAGGGTAGCAATTTCATCACAGTCAAGTCGCTAAAGGAACAGAAACAGGGTTCTCTTTCATCATACCCGATCAAACACATTGGGCATACCCTTGCTTTTCTACCTTTCCCCCACCAGGATGCCTTTTTTCTATAACCTTTGTTTGTCTATGGTGTACTTGGACTTGAAAGCACGAGTATAGTTTCATTCTTCCAGTGAAGCCATAACATTTCTGAGAGATGATTATCTTTCTGAACACTTGGGGATACTTATTCCCCTTCATTCCTTTATTTATTTATTTATTTTTGCAATTAGCACATTTACAAACATCATTTAATTATTTAGTTTTCAATTCTCTGAGAATTTACAATTTTTTCAGCTTTAATAATATTTAACCAAAGAAGTAGTATATATTTATGATGTACAAAATAATGCTTTGATATGTGAATACATTGTGTAATGACTAAAGGTAATGAACACATACATCACCTCACATATTTATCATGTTTGTGTGGTAAGAACATTTAAAGTTTAATCTGTTAGCAATTTTCAAGTACATATTATATTATTATTAACTATAGTCACCATGCTCTGCAATAGATCTCCCAAATTACTCCTCCTGTCTAACTGAAACTTCATACCCCCTGACCATCAACTCCCTATTCCCCACCTACCAATTCCCAGACCCAGGTAATTACCATTCTACTCTCTACTTCTATGAATTTGACTTTTTAAGATTCTACATATAAGCAAGATCATGCAGTATTTGTCTTTCTGTACCTGGCTTCTTTCAGTAGTATAATGTCCTCTTCCAGGTTCATCCATGTTGTCACAAATGACAGGTTTTTCTTTCTTTTAAAGGCTGATTAGTATGCCATTGGATAGATAGGTAGGTGGATAGATAGATATAGATAGATAGATGATAGATAGATAGATAGATAGATAGATAGATAGATAGATAGATAGATGATAGATAGATAGATAGATAGATAGATAGATAGATAGATAGATAATCATATTTTCTTCATTCATTCATCTGGTAATGAACACTTAGGTTGATTTTATATTTTGGCTATTGTGAATAATGCTGCAATGAGCATGAGAGTACAGATATCTCTTCTCTTTTATTCTTGTTTATTCTCTTTACAGACTTCTTGTTCCCCTAACCATACTTCAAAGCCTGTTATATTCTTCTTTATGTCTGTAGTACTCAGAACAGAGTCCTACACACAGTACATAATTATGAACAATATTTTTTTCATCAATTCCTCTTTGAAGCAGTATTGCATGATGGTTAACAGCAGAGCTCTGAAATCTTATTGCTTAAGTTTGAAACCTGGCAACACCATTTATTCACTGTGTAACCTTGGGCAAATTGTCATGCACCTAGGTTTCCTCATCTATAAAGTGAATATAACAATCACAGATTCTTCTCAGGGTTCTGGTGAGAATCAAATGAGTCAATACATAAATAGTGCCTAGCACTAAGTAAATGTTTTATAAGAGTTAGAAACTACAAAGTTAGAAATTACAAAACAAAAGGAACAGCTTCTGTATGAAGCTGTAATATATATCTGGCACTGTACTAAGCCCTATACATATATTATCTCATATAATTTCCAGAAAAGTATGATGAGCTTGATATTATCAGGATTTTAATGGTGAAAACATTGATGATAAGAGGACACAGAAAATAAGGGAGTAAATAGTAGAATTGGGATTAGAATCCAGATATGCTTGCCAAAAAATAAAGACTTTTTCCTGTAATACACTTTTATCTATGAGTATATATTGGTTATTTTGCTTTAAAGTTTGTAGAGCCTTTTACATATGTCATTTCAAGTGAACTTCATAATGATGTTGGTGTAATCATAGTATTGTTATTTTTATTTACTGATGAGAAAATAGATGCTGGAGAAAACAAGTTTGTTTAAGCTCAAAACTCAAATTATGTATTTCAAAGACAAGATTGTGAACCAAGTATCTCAACTGCCAGTCCAGTGGTCTCTCCACCACATTAGGCATGATGATGCCTCTATCTCTTTGTGTATTATCTGTGAACGCTGCTTTCCTGTTTATTTAATGAGTGTGAGAACTTTATATTTCCCTTGAGAACATCTTACCTGAATTGTGTAATGTTGCCATAAATGGCTGATTTTCTTCTCTTAGGTCACATGGAGGCAAACTATTACTACAGTGCTTAGTTTCGCATGTTTCAAAGCTCCTTAAAGCCTGCTGTTTGCGAATCACAGACGACCAAAAACTTTATGCAAGAATGACCATCTATTTCTTTCTAACTGCACACATTCCAGGTAATATATCCAGACCTCATTGTCAGAAGCAGTTTTTAAATGCCAACTGTATCAATCACGCCTATGTCCTGTTTGCAGAACTATTATATCCATTAAGGTAGACACAAAACAAGTAACATTATATTTTTTAAATCTATAAAGCAAATAAAAAATTTGTGTAGGATTACTTAAACATTTTTAGAAGCAAAAAAGAACATTTTATATTACTAACTGAAAATCTATCTTAAGTAATAATCATGGTTCTTAGCAGTAAAGTTGTTTTTAGAAATAAATCTATAATATTAAATTAATATATTTTTCTTCTAACAGAAATGACTGAGAAAATGCTATTGAACTTTTTTTGTTTTCTGTTTTTGAGATGGAGTTTTGCTCTTGTTGCCCAGGCTGAAGTTTAGTGGCACAATCTCAGTTCACTGCAACCTCCGCTTCCTGGGTTCAGATGATTTTCCTGCCTCAGCCTCCTGAGAAATCAGCTGCCTGAGCCTCTGATTTCTGTCCCTATAGTAGCTGGGATTACAGGTGTGCACCACTACCCCCAGCTAATTTTGTATTTTTAGTAGAGACAGGGTTTCACCATGTTGACCAGGCTGGTCTTGAACTCCTAACCTCAGGTGATCTGACCACTTCGGCTTCCCAAAGTGCTGGGATTACAGGCATGAGCCACCACTCCTGGCACTATTTAACTTTTAACAATTTCTTTCTTGATTTTATCATCTTGACTACTAGTAACCTCCAGTGTACATTAATTTATTCATATTTCTGTATCTTTATTTTATATGCCAACTCATCCCAAAGTCAGTTTTATTCATTTGACCAGTGATTAATAGGTTATTTGTTACCATCTTTAAGCAGGTATACATAATATAAAAATTCTTGCTCAGGAAATGCAAAGATGACTATAATTTTTTCTTATTACCACCATAAGAGTTGTATATGGTGGCATAAAAAGAATAATACAAATTGTAACTGCATTATGAATATTGACCCAAGTGTTAATGATTGAACCTTTCACTTAGATAGCTGTTCTCTGAACTCTCCTCAGAAATACCAACTACAGTTACAATCTCATTAGCATTAGTTTCATATAGTTCTATAATTTTTGTGTAAGATCTATGTATAGTTTTTCAATTTGTTTCATTGTGTACATATACCCAAGCCAAAATAATATGTAATGAACTAATTCAGATAAACGATCCCAGATACAGTAATAATTCTTTACATTTACATCCAGCAATGTCCTTCTTCCAAAAATCCTCTTAGTGCAACAGTTATTGTATATTCAGAGATCTTGAATACTTTAAAACCTCTAGTGTCCAGCCAATTTTTCCTCACTCAATCAACCTTATCATCTCCCACGAAGTGTGGATACTCGAGTTGAGTAATAAAATAGAATAGATACTAAACTCCATCACACAAAATGTGTAGCATTTCAAATTGGACTGAAAATAAACTTTCTGTAATCTATACCAACAAAGTTAGCTAATTAAACACCAAATATTTACAAATGTATCATCTTGAAGATTAACCAGGATTCCAGAGCTTGTAGTTCTCCTTTTTCACAGATGGGATCAGTGCAACCACACGACTTGCTCAGCATGGCTTTCATGCCTGGGTATTAATTTGAACTAAAGGCAAATGTCGCTGAGTAGCTCTAGTCCCATGCTCCTGTTAATCTGAGGTCTGCCATTGATATTTACTGTTGAATAAAACCAGAACCAGACAGCAGTAAAACTGTAGTAGTAAAGTGGAGAAAAACCAGATTTTATTCAGGAACTATTGCCATGGGGAAAAGCGACCTCAACATGGAACTAGGCTCAATTCCAAACACAGCAAAGACAAGTGGGGATGCATAGCCAAGGAGCAGGTTGGAGGTAGGGTGATTGTGCAGTAGAAAATCATCACTTACAGCAAACATCCAGAGTAAGAGGAGACTCTGGATAAACTGCTTGAAAGGATTCTAGCTGAAGGCAGGCCAGGATGATCAGATACAAAGGGCAGGTAGGAAAGAGGAATTTGACCAGATATTGAGGGTAGGAGATTCTCACTAAACTGACTTAGCAAAATTCTTGTTAAAACTATGTTATGTAAAGATGAACATGGAAGGCCAAAGATCAAAGAATGTGACTAATGTTTGGTCAAGGAGAGAGCCTTTGTCAGCACTCTATTAACTTGACAGGACCTTCACATGAGTAACAGGGCAACTTAGCTTTGCTATGTTTAGTTCCCCTGGAGGGAGTACTGTCCTATCATGAAAAATCAGGGATTAGGCTGCTTACTAATAGAAATTCATTTTAAATGTCTTCCTGAGAAGATGGACTTTCCTGAGAAGTAGATCCCAGGCAAGATGTATGTAAAAGTGCTTATTGAGCAGGTGATCCTAGTAAACCCCAGTAGGACGTGGGGAGTGAAGGAAAGGAAGAAAGAGAACAAACAGTGCTTTATCAAAGGATACCCCTGTGGGTGCTGGAGCTTGGTCCTCATGGGGGCCCTTTGGAGACTATGTAGCAAGAGAGCCAGAGTATTTACCCACTAACTCTGGTAAATCATTGGTTGAGAGCTGTCCTGTGGAATGGTCAACTCCTGATATTTCATTCCTGCCATGTGCATCAATAGAGTGGCCTCCAGTGGCCTTAGCAAACCCTCAAAGATCTGCTGTTGCTTTGAATAGGAAGCCATTGGCCTATAGAAATAAAGTGGGTGCCCAGAAGATATGATAAGGCACTGATAGAGTCTACAGTATTTTTAAACTATTTCCTTTCTTTTATATACTCTGTTCTGAGATTCACCTGCTTATAGTAGAAACTCAGTATTTCTTTGTGGGCAATTAATGGCAACTATCAGCCTAGTCTGTAGCAGCCTGTTGTGGCACTACATTTTTTAAAGACGGGTTTGTTGAGGTATATTTTACATGTAGTAACATTTACTTCTATTGTAATATGTCCAGTGTTATAATTTTGGCAATCACATATAATATAAACATGATTATATATATGATACAGTTAAGATATAGAACATTTCCATCAGCCCAAAAAATTTGCTTCTTTATATTCAATCTCCCTCTCCCACACCCTGACCATAGAAACCATTGATTTGATTTCTGTCCCCATAGTTTTGCCTTTACCAGAATGTCATATAAATGGAATCACTCAACACGTAGTATTTTGAGTCTGGACTCTTGCACTTAGCATAATGCTTTCAAAAGTCATTCATGTTGTTGCATGTAACATTAGTCTGTTCTTCTTTATCACTGGAAAGTATTTAATCATATGAATGTACTAAATTTGTTTATCCATTCAACAGTTAGTGGATATTTGTGGCCATTTCCACTTTGGATGAAGTTGCTATTGCATTTAACTAACAGAGACGAAAAGGAAAAAATAACTTTATTGATGTCATTTCAACCATATGATCAAGGTTTACTTCATGAGTAATATCATGTTGATACCATATACCCCCCAATATAACATGATGAGGACACTTCACCTCTATGATCTTGTTCACAAAAATGCATACCCCTATCTAATCATGACAAAATATCAGACAAACTAAAATTTAAGAACATTCTACAAAACGTTTGACTTCAAAACTCTCAAGGCCATGAAAACAAACAAAAAAAGAGTCTAAAAAAAGAGTCACAGACTGAAGGAGACTAAGAAAATATAATGACCAGTAGATCAAACCACACCCCTTCTATTGTCCAAAGGGAAGGGCAGATCACTCTGATCAGGCCAATTGCTCTCTTTCTTTTGGGAAATTAAATTTAGAAAAATATGGTTTGAGATCTGAACTAAAAGATTTCCAATAAGAAGCCTCCAGAATAGACTGTTCATTGGTAATGCTGAAGACACCACAGATGCCCTGGCTCCAATCCTTACCACACTTTGATTGCTTATTTACTTCATTCTTCAATTCCGTGAGCCATTCTGTATTAGTTTAATAAATTATCTTTTTGCTATAGTTACCCAGATTTATTTGTGGTTTTCACCTGAAGAACCCAAATGCCTACAGAAATTTTCAGAAGTCCTCCAAAGTAAAACTTTAATAGAAAGATATGTAACCCAAGTTTCAGCTGGGATTTTGTCACCCCTTGAGCAATACTTTATTGTTCCCAGGCCCATTACCTGCCATGTGGAATAAAAAAAACTGGCTTCAAGATTTCCCTAAGTTTACAGGGAGCCAGAATTTTTATTCCAACCTTTGGCTGTGACCTCTGATTTACCTTTGTAATGTCTTTTCATTCATTCAGATACGAAACTCATTCCACTTATTTTTTTAATTTATATTAGACCAGCCTGTTACATAAAGTATGTGTATATGTGAAAGACATTATTACTAAAAGTGATGAAAAAATTATAGGGGTTACAGTACAGCAACTCAACTTAAAACCTTGTCATAATGATTTTGAGTACTAAAGGGCCTTAGGATATTTCTCCATTTTATTCCCTGCCTTCTGCCTTGTCTGGCAATAGGACACCCTATTTCGTTTCTGCCCTCTTCTCTTCTCTCTTCTTTCACCCCTACTGGCACCCACCAATTTTCCTCAAATTTCCATTCATTTCTGAAAGAAGAGTTTGGTAACTCCTCTCATGTCTTGCCCCTTAATGACCCAGTGATTCTCATTGCTTCATCTGCCCACAGTGGTTCCCTACTCACTAGTAGTTTATCAAAACCAGGTACTTTGTTGTTTTTCTTTTGTTTGTTTTTGTTTTGAGATGGAGTTTCACCCTTGTTGCTCACAAGAGTGATCTCAGCTCACCGCAACCTCCACCTCCTGGGTTCAAGCGCTTCTCCTGCCTCAGCCTCCCGAGTAGCTGGGATTACAGTCATGTGCCACCACGCCCGGCTAATTTTGTGTTTTTAGTAGAAAGGAGATTTCTCCATGTTGGTCAGTCTCGTGTTGAACTCCTGACCTCAGGTGATCCGCCCGCCTTGGCCTCCCAAAGTGCTGGGATTACAAGCATGAGTACAGATAACCAGGTACTTTCTTAAGAGGAATGATTTTTGTTATTCGATCTCGGCTCACCGCAACCTCTGCATCCCGGGTTCTAGCGATTCTCCTGCCTCAGACTCCCGAGTAGCTGGGATTACAGGAGCCCGCCACAACACCCGGCTAATTTTTTTGTATTTTTATTAGAGACGGGGTGTCGCCATTTTGGGCAGGCTGGTCTCAAACTCCGGACCTCAGTTGATCCACCCGCCTCGGCTCCCAAAGTGCTGGGATTACAGGCATGAGCCCCCGTGCCCAGCCTAATTTGGGTTTCTTTATTAATTAATCTTGAAAGTTACATTTTGGTTTATCTTTGTCTAGGAGAATACTTTTCAAAACTAACAGAAAATTAAATATTTTGGAAGAGCATTTTCTATCTCCAAATAAGTTAAAACATACTGTTAACTTACAGTGTCTGTCCTATCTTAAGCTCTGTGTCTAAAGCATACACAAGTCTGTCTCATGAAATAGAATGTTAAACATTTATTAGATTTTTCCTTGAAGCATGAAATTTACATTTATCTCCAAGATTTTTTTTTAACTGCTAGACTTGTTTTTATGAAAAAAGTTTTCTCCTGTTTCCCTCATTTTTGCAATATTCATACACTTGAATTTTCAATGCAGGCATTTTTGAAAAAGCCAATTTATTTCATCTCAGTCAATTAGACACAATGTGTCATCAGTTCTCCTAGAGTAGGATTTTGGTTTTTTACCACTGAATTAATCCTTGGAGAACTGAAGTGCCAACCTAAACCTGAGGCTTTCATCTCAACAGTATATTCAACCAAAACAGTAGCTGCAAGAGGTTTCAATACAGAAATATTGAACTTCACTGCATTCATAAATGTCTATCTAAAATATAATTTATTGCTGAATACCTAGTCTCTTGCCCATTATTACCTTTTCAACACACACTGATTCATGTGCGATCTCTGAAGTAATAAGTCTTAAATAGATAAAGAAGTGTACTTTCACCTTCCTACTTGTAAACTTATAGATGTAGACTCATGCTATCGAGTCATTTGAATGGAATTATAATGTCTTCAGAAAGCATTCATTATGAATTTAAATGCCACTCATATTTTAAAATGAATACTGTTTAACACTTTTTGAACATATGAACATGCTTTCAGTGTAACACTGCTCAACTTTTGAACAAACTAAATAACTTGAGCTTTGGTTCAGATTCCTTATTTAACATTCAATGCTTTCTACAATCTGGTGCCAACATAACTTTTCAGGCTTATTTCCTATAATTCTCATGAATTGAAAATTAGTTCTGTTTAAACTGGTCTGTTTGTGATCCTCTAAACACCTTGAAGTTTCTCACAACCTACTTTTATCCTTACATTTCTTCCATCTGAATAGTCCACTTTCCTCTCTTTACCTTAATTAAATTTTATACATACTCCAAGACCTAAGTCTATTTCCACTTCTTTGGATTGTCTTTTATTTTATCATCTAAGGTGAAGTGATCTCAACTTTTCCCAAAATCATGTAAATATTATGTCCATTTAAATAAACATTGTTTTTGTCTGTTGTTATATTACTTGGAATAACTTGGGAAGACTTTCACCATATTTAGTTGTTATGTCTGTGAAGTGATACTATAGGCTAGATGCCCTATACAAGCTTAGGACTTTAAGAAAACCTTTCCTAAGGGCTAGGCTGTCATCCTTCAGAGAACGAGAAACTGAAGCACTGATTTGCACTCACTCTGGAGGATATGCGAAATCTGGTCTAACTTCTATACTGTGTGGCATAAGACAATTAACTACGGATGGAAGAAGAACTCGGAAGTATCTTACAGAGAGAGGCAGTCATTCCTCTGGACACCTGCAATGGAAGTAAAACAAAGTTCTTGTCTATAGGATGTCATTGGTGTTAAGATCATTGGGAGAGAAACCGTATCAAAGTTTCAAATATGGTTTTAAATTTTCAAATCCAAACTGAAAAATATAGATGCTCTGAATTGCAGACAGAAGGTAGCAATTGAGCTCTTTCTCACATGGACAACTCTGTACAGCATGTTTCAGAATGGGGGAAATTGTTTATTTGACCTTAGTTGATATTGAGAAGGTCAAAAGTGATTTATATATTTTCCAATTACACAGATACTATATTAAAATATTGCTTGTATTTTTGTCTTGAATAATTAATGTATACTCTTACTCAACTTCTGATGGCCCCCCATGTTACTCTTCAAATATATTATACGTTGTTGAGCGGTCATTTTTTCTGCACTCTCAGAGAGCAGTGATTGAACTTTATAGGTCTGTAGTTTCATTGACTAGTAAAAGTATTTCCATTAGGAAAATATCTAGTTAAAGACAGAATTAAATATACATTGGTTTGGGAAAGCATAAGAAAAAATCTATTTATTTATTCATTCATTCATTCTACAAAGACATTAACTGCTTGTCATATGCCAGGAACTCTACTAAGAACTGAGATAATTTTTATAACTTGTGTTGTCCTGCCTCAATTTCCTCAACTGTTAAATGAAGATATTACTAGTGATTACTATTCTATGAGTTTCCTATTGTGGTTGTAACAAATTTCCACAAATGTAGTGGCTGAAACAATGCAAATTTATTATCTTACAAGCTCCATAAGTCAGAAGTCCAACGTGGGTCTCATGGGGCTCAAATCAAATTAAGGTGTCAGCAGGGATACATTATTTTCTAGAGCCTCTGGAGGGAATCTATTTCCTTCTCTTTCAAGTTATTGGCAGAATTCACTTCCTTACGATGTAGAATTGAGACTTCCATTTCCTACTTTGCTTCTAGCTGTGGGTTATTCCCAGCTTCTAGAAGCAAGTGCATTCCTTGCCTCATGGACCACCTCCTCCATCTTCAAAGTTAGTCATTTGAGTTGAGTCCCTACTGTCTCTTCTGTAGTTGCATCTGTCTGTCTGACTTGCTTTTCTGCTTTTCTCTTCCGCTTTTAAAGACCCACCCAGATAATCCAAGATAATCTGCCTTTATAAAGTCTTTAACCTTAACCTCAACTGCAAAATCCCTTCTACCATGCAAGGTAACATAGTCACCAGTTACAGGAATTATGGGATGTGGGTATCTTTGGTGACCCATTATTTAGCCTTCTACAACCTCCTATGTTTATTATGAATATAAGTTGTATTTATTCCTTAAGGCCCTCATAGCATGGCATGGCAGACATGAATTGTTCAGCAATTGTCAGTTATTTACTGCAGTGGTTGCTGCTGTTACCATTACTATGATGTATCTTCAAACAGGCCATGTATTGAAAAAAAAATAACTGTAATGAAATAAAAATAATTGAAATCCATAAAAAATAATCTAACTGTATATTTCAGGGCTAGATGAGCTTTAAACTAATCTATTTTGCAATAACCCATGAAGGCAGATATTTAACCAAAATGTTTTATCAGTGTTTAACCATAATATATGAACTGGTTTTCTCCCTGTTTTTCCTTCAGTCTGAAAGAGGAAACACTGTCATTGGCATTGATTAAGAATGGCTATTTCTCAATAAGAATTCGTAACTATTATTATTAGGCTATTAAAGTGGGCAAGAAACATAATAGTCAGCAAGCATCATAAAATTATCCATGTGGTCCTTGGGTATGTTCCCAATATTAGACTCTATATAAAGACAGGGAACAAGAATTTGACCTAAGAAGCAAGAATCTTAGTAATAAAGATCAGATGGTTTTTCCAAAAACCAAAAGCTATTCATAGAAAAACACTAAATAAAAATATTTTCTTCTTAGTTTTGTGAAAAATACAGGATCACTCTCACAAAGTCACAATAAAAATTTTAATACTTAGATTAGCTTTTGTGGAAACTAGAATATAGTTATGACAATTTTTAGCCTTGTTTTACAGGAAGAAAAGGATTAAGAAGGTTAAGTGAAGTTTCTGAGATTAACTCTAAGTCAATGCTACCACAAGAAATGGGTGACACAATAGATATTTCTACCTCTTATCAGTTGCCTAACTTGGACAATCTCATCCCCTTAGTGAGAAGGCCATTAGCCTCTGCCCAAACTTGCCCATATTTATAGATTGACTGAAAAGATGAGGTGGCAATTCAGTCAATAACCTTTGACACAAATTCAGACAAATCTTATGCTCCTCACAATGACAAATTACTCTAGAAAATTAACTGTCGAAAGTGCAGCAATATGATGAAGATTGATTATTTTACTCTTGCAAGTCTGCTTTGAGTTAGAGTAACAGCCTCATTTAAACACAGATGGCACTTATAGGAAAGGACAGATCAAGTCCTCATATCAGCTGAAAAGGAGAAGATGAATTTTCATGGGATAACAAGGGTGATGATTCTTTTTCCCGGAGAAGGAGCTTGTGTTTCGTGAGTGCCTCTTTAAGATTATCTTTCACAGTCTCTGCAAAGAGGAAGATCATATTTTTAAACATTTTGCCACCACTTCTGAATAAGCCACATAAAGGTAATTTTAGCCACAGGCTTCAACTTTTGTAAAAAGTAGAGTTTGAGAAATTTTCCTTTAACTTCATATATTTTACTGATACCATAAAATTAATTTAAATATTTGAAATTGCATATAGTATTTTCATAAAAGACATAGAAAGCTATGTACTAGAGTTAAACTTTTTTCCCAAATGGTATATATAATAGCATATAAGCTAAAGTCTATGAGAAACTTAAGTCTTTCCTTGAAATTCAAGTGGGCATATGGAAAGGGATATTAATCATTTCAAACAAAAGATCAGTAAAACTGTCCTTTCAAAAATTTTCACAATCTATTATTTATTTTATTTCACATTAATACTTTATACTACCAACAGCCTTATAAGACATTCTTTTATAGAGGAACTATTTGAGAATTTTACAACATCCCGCTAAAAAGTAACGGTAAGCTCACTTAAGTATCACAAAAGCAGATCTGAAGTTACTTCTCTAAGGGAATGCTTCCCACTGTATGTTTGCCCCATCAGAGGCCTGCAAGCAGAGAAAGAACAGGAAAAGGAGCAAATGGAACCATGTTACTGCAGAGGCAAAAAGTAAAAAAAAAAAAAAAAAAAAAAAAACCTTGTATCATGGAGGGTTGCTTGGAAAAGGATCTTGAGCTGGGAGAAAAGCCGGGGGCTGATGAACTACAGACAAATGACATCGGAAGGATACTGCAGAACTGGATGTGGTGGAGAAGAGCTTCTAAGAGAAATAAGCAATTCGTAAGCAGCAAACTCTTACGATAAGCAAACAGGGCATTATTGCCGCCCTGTGCAGGCTAACTACTAACCAAAGGAGTCGGATCTTATCAATCGCAGTCTTCCAACAAGAGAAGAAAATACAGCAGCAATCATCAGAATGCATGGGTTTGTGTAGTTAAAATACCTGGACACAATACCTCCTCTGGGAGATTTCTGACTGGGTTGTTTTGGCAGAATGTGGTATTAGCAGATGCTATGGATGGTACGATGTACAGCTATTAAAAAACAAATATAAGGCTGGGTGCAGTGGCTCACGCCTGTAATTCTAGCACTTTGGGAGGCCGAGGCAGCAGATCACGAGGTCAGGAGATCGAGACCATCCTGGCTAACACAGTGAACCCCCCCCCGTCTCTACTAAAAATATATTTTAAAAAATTAGCTGGGCATGGTGACTTGTGCCTCTAGTCCCAGCTACTCGAGAGGCTGAGGCAGGAGTATCGCTTGAACCCGGGAGGCGGAGGTTGCAGTGAACTGAGATCACGCCACTGCACTCCAGCCTGGGAGACAGAGCGAGACTCTGTCAAAAAAAACAAAAACAAAAACAAAAACAAAAACAAAACGAACATACTGTGATGATTACTAGAAGAAATTATCAAAAATCTAGCAATTTTCACCTTTTTATTTGATTATCCTTTATTATCAAATCAAATGTGATGATAAAAGGTAGTGCAATATGGTAAAGAGAGAGAGAGAGAAGGAAAAAAGGAAGGAAGGAGAGAGAGAAAAAAAGAAAAAGAGGAGAGAGAGAAAGAAAGAAAGAAAAAGAAGAAAAAGAGAAAGAAAAAAGAAAAAGGAAAGAAAAAAGGGAGGGAGGGAGGAAGGAAAAAGGAAGGAAGGAGGGAGGGAAGGAAGGAAGGAGGGAGGGAAGGAAGGAAGGAGGGAGGGAAGGAAGGAAGGAGGGAGGGAAGGAAGAAGAGAAAGAGAGAAAAAGGGAAAAGGAAAGGAGAGAGAAAGAAAGAAAAAGGAAAAAAAGAGAAAGAAAAAGGAAAGAAGGGAGGAAGGAAGGGAAGGAAAAAGGGAAGGAAGGAAAGAAGAAGGCATGGATGGAAGGAGGGAGGGAGGAATGAAGGAAAGGAAGGAGGAAGGGAGGGAGGGAAGGAAGGAAGGAAGGAGGGAAGGAAGGAAGGAAAGAAAATCACTTGGTTGGCTTTACAAACCAGAGAATCTCAAGCTTATTGCCTGGAGATTCTGATTCAGTAAGTCCACATCAGGGTTCCAGTATTTTCTACAGAGGCTGTGATTGACTCTTATCATTTGGCATGTCTGCTAAACACTGGTGTAGATCTGTCTGAGAGTCAGACAGATGCAGTTCTTGCAAATAGCAGCTTCATTATCTGAAAAAAAAAAGCCTTTGTTTTTTTCCTCAATTCTCTGATTTGAAGAATGGAACTAAACATAGTACTTGTCTTAAATTAGGTAATTTATGCAGAATATTTGGCCCGTTACTGGAATAAACATAATACAATATTGTCATGCTGATCATGTTATTGATGATAGAACACTACCTTTCTGAGTTTTTCTATAGGAACGTCCTATTCGCCACTTCCAAGACCCAATGAGAGAAACAAGTTTCAGCAAAGCCACCTTAGCAGATACTGCCCCAAACATCTGCTCCCTGCAGGCACTTGGTCTCTGTTACAGAGTTACAGAGTTGCAGCCAAAAGCAAAATGGGCCTTTGGGCCTGAGAACGACCACATACCAGGAGCTGCATTGATGTTAGAAGAGAGAGAGAGCACATGGAGATTCAGCTGTAAGAGATTACAATACAAGAAGGACTTATTATTATATTAGGGCTCCAGCCTGAAGTCAGACACTTACCTGTTGTATCTTCTCCTGCCTTTCACCACTGACTCACCTTTGTCTGTTAAAATCCCATTTTATTGAGGGATTGTAATGCTGTTTTTTATCCATTGTAATTTATTCTCCCACGGTGAATCCTTTTAGAAGACATTTAGTTATATAGCACATCAATACCAGTAAGTTCAATGCAAGGACCAAAAATTCCAGTATTTACAACTGGCAAATTTAGATGTCATTGGAACTATAACAAATCATTTGCCTTACAAAATAATTCATCCAAGGAGCCCTTTGAGTAACACGTGCCTCATGGCTTTTAAAAAGTATTTTGCTTTACAAAAAAATTACAGTTACTTTGATTTTTCTTTTTTCAAACATATTGTGTGAATTAAAACCCAGAAGGCTATCAAGGCCCAGACCTCATCATGACCAACTTAGCTGGTGGCGCATATTATTTTTTAAAATAAGATTCCTGTTACCATTGTCAACTGCAGGTTTAAGCCAAGTTTGTACTGCAGGTCGTCTGAAGACAAATGTAGGCAATGATGAAATCTGTCAAAAGACAAAATTACAACAAACTTACTTTAAAAATCTTAATTGGCTTTTATTTGTGATTTTAGATTCAGATTATACCTCATTCTATAAAGTAGAATGAGTGTTCTGATGTGCTGAGAAGAAGTTGGCTTTACAAAAAGTGCTGAAACAGAAACAGGAAACAAAAAGCAGACTGATCATTCCAAAGTTACTTTCGTATAAAGGCTAAAGTGGAAGGAACTTTCCTATCATGCCAACTCAAACTAGCATATTTGGGGATTTGACTGTTATCTCTTTCTCCTGACTTCTTGGAAAGTCAGATAAACAACTTAGTTTCAGCTTGGTGGCATGGAACTTTAGTATGAGATACTACATTTTGGTTTGGTCTGCCAGGCCTGGTGCAGCTCACGCTAAACCAATGGTCTTCTACAAATTGTATTTAACAAATCAAAAGATTATAAATGTTAAACAAGATGTGGAAATTAAATGAGCATATTAAATAAGATAATGTATATAAAATAGATGTACACAGACCTTAACACATACTGAAAATACAGCAGTTTCTCAATAAATGTTTGTTAGGCAAACATTAGGAATTTTGTAAAAGAAAAAACAAGAATTTTCAATTAAAGTGGTAGATTGAGAATATATATTTATCTGTACTTTCTCCCAAAACCTCACTCATATAAAAATACATAGAAAGTGACTTTAAAAAAGGGGGCACAAAATCCTCAAAGCAATGAGAATGGGATAAAGGTCACCCTGATATTTTAGATGGAAAACAAGTCAGTGTTTGAGAACTGATTTAACAGATCAAAGAAGGCCAAATCCTTAGCTGGCAGGGGTAAATCCAAGAAACATTCAGATTTGATCACAAAGCCACAGAAGACATTTATACATCTGAATAAGGAAGTGAAGTCTGGGCTGAAAATAGAAGGATTGGTTAAAAAAAGTTAAAGTTACTATTAGATCTTATAGTGTTTTTATAATATGGTGGCAAAATTTTTGTGAGTCCTCCCATCAAAAAATAAGATCTGTGTGCCCTCTACTTGAATTTGGGCAGTTTTGTGGCTGCTTCCACAAAGAAATTTTAGCAGGAGTGATGCCATGTGACTTCTGATGCTGGATTATGAAAGACCACACAGCTGTTGCCTTACATTCCAGAACACTTGCTTTTGGAGCCATGTAAGGTGTTCAACAACCCTGATACCACCATGATGGGGAGACCACAGGTAAGCATCCTCACTGACAGTTTCAGCTGAGTCATTCTTCGGAGATCCCAGTCAGGGCCATAACTGGAGAAAGCATCTAGGAATTGGATTGTCCAGCTGTTCTGTCCCCTTGTCATTCAAGTCACCGCTGGTCATTATGCCACCTGCACTGAAGCCACAAACATTACAGAAAGAAGAAAGACTTTCATGTTTCACCCATTCTCGATTCTTCACACACAAAATTTGTGAACATAATAAAGTAGTTTTTGCTTTTTATTGCTAAATTTGGGGGAAAGAATAGAGTTGTTATGCAGCAATATATAACTAAAATGGAGGTCCACATAAGGCAAAAACCTCACAGAACTCTTCTCTATGCTGGGCAGCTGCCCTTTTCCAAACCCCAGCAGTTTACTAAAGGGTAAAACAGGGTCTGGATATCAGAGGGAGATGACAGGCACATCTGAGAGCAGAAGTATAGCACTAAAAACCTGGTATGCATGAAAATGTATCTACTAAATCTTAATGCTGCCAATTTTCTTACCTCACTGGGCACACACAAAGCTGGCAGGTGACGTGCAGCTTCCAGGCTTTATCTTGGAAGAAAAAAGCAAAGCAAACAAACAGGGAAGAAAAAATTATCAAAACAGTAAATACCTAGGGATATAAAAACTTAGAAAACAAATGAAAGCCTCATTATCATATTCAGAGAGAAAAGATGACATATCCACAAAATAGGAGAGATGCTAAAAAATAGCATTATAAAATCTGTAAGTCTTAGAAATAACACAGCAGAAATAAAAATATTAATAGAAGGGCTTGAAAATAAAGTGTAAAAATTATCTAAGAAGAATAGGCAAAAGAATAGAAGTGGAAAGTTAGATTAAGACAATTTAAAAATGTTCTCAGTGGTCCAAAATTTTAAAATTATAAATTTCCAAAGAAATGAGAAAATCAAAACGGAATCAACCCAAGAAACTACTCAAACTGAGTACAGGTTATAAAAGATCCTAAAGCATGTCCAGCCCAATAGACACAGACAGAACCATCAATAAGTTCCAACATTGTGAAAAGTAAGAGCACCAGAAACAAATAAAAAATCTGAAGAAATTTCAGAGACAGAGAGTGAGAGAGAGGAGAGAGAGAGAGTAAGATAAAGTGAACACTGGTCTATATGAGATTCAGAGTTCAAAATAACAGTTAACTTCTCAGTGGAAATATTGTATATTAGCTATTTATTGCTGCACAACAAATTATACCCAAAGTTAGCAGCTTAAAAAAAACCCCACATTTATCATTTCACAATTCCTATGGGTCAGGAAGTGGGAATGACTTGGCTGGATGCTTCTGACTCATTATGACTGGGGCTGTAGTCATCTCAAGGGTCAAATGCAGGAGGGTCTGCTCCCAAGCACACCCCTGTGCTTGTTACCTGGTCTCAAGTCCTGGCTGGCTGTTGACTGGAGGCATCAGTTCCTTGCCAAATGTGCCTTTCCATAGAGCAGCTCAAAGCATGGCAGCTGGCTTCCTTCTAAGAAAGAGAGAGAGAAAGAATGCCCCAAACAGAAGCCATGGACTTTCATTCTAGTGTCAGAGGTGGCATCCCACCACTTTTGCCATGTTCTATTCATTAAAACTAAATAACTAAATTGAGTTCATACTCATGAGGAGAGGACTACAAAGGTGAATACCAGGAGGTGAGGATCACTTGGGACTGTTTTAGAGGCTACCTGAGAATACAATTGAGCAATACTTTAGAATTCAGAAGGAATAAATTTGTCCAAGCCAGCATTCTATACCCAAACTAATTGCTATAGAACAACTGGATTTTCTATTTGCAAGGTCTCAAATTTTATCTTTTACGCACTTTTTCTGTGTCATACATTGTACACATTCCCCAGCTTCTGGAAATATTGTTTGCTGACTGCTTACAGTTATGTCCTTCTTTGGGATTACTCTTGACTGAAGGAGGCATGTCCCCACCTCCAGGACAGCCTTCATCCAGGGACTGATCAAGGAGAAAGGGTACAAATACTAAGCCATCTATCTATCCTCAATGTACAATAACTCTGAAGGGCCATTTCAGCTCTAGAGCTTCCTTTTGGTTCAGCTAAGACCTATGTTCTGTGCTGTACTTTAATTTCTCTTTCTATCCACCACCCATGTCTTCACAAGTGTTCCTTAGAGCATTCCTGAATAATCTTTCTGCATATAAATGTTCTTCTTGAGACAATTTCTGAGGAACTCAATTAAAACAACTGTTAACAGAAATGATTGAGGAAGCAGAGTCTAAAAATGAGAGTTTAGAGCTAGATCATCACCAGCTGGCTGGCAACAAGAGCTTTATCATGAACATGGGTGGTAATTGGACTGATGAGAGCAACTGGCATATTATAGCTGTGAAATTTTTAAAGCATTCATTGATTGTAAAGTGAGATGGGAAATCAATGAAAGAAAATGTACCAGCAAGTGCACTATCTCAGACATTTGATAGGTTCTAGAGGAGTACTTATTATGAAGAAAATGCAATAGGATGGCATTTGCTCATGCTATTATTGCATTGAAGAAAGACAATGAAGTCTGGGTGTGGTGGCTCACGCCCACAATCCCAGCTCTTTGGGAGGCTGAGGCAGGTGGATCACCTGAGGCCAGGAGTTCAAGACCAGCCTGGCCAACATGGTGAAACCCTATCTCTACTAAAAATACAAAAATTAGCCAGGCGTAGTGGCACCCACCTCTAATCCCAGCTATTCAATAGGCTGAGGCAGGAGAATTGCTTGGAACTGGGAGGCGGAGGTTGCAGTGAGCCGAAACACCCTACTGCACTCCAGCCTGGGTGACAGAGTGAGACTCTCTCTCAAAAAAAAAAAGAAAAAAAAAAAGACAATGAGGTTCTTATCTGCTGATATTAGAGGCAAAAAATGGTCAGAATCAGATTTAAGACTTATTAGCAAAGCAGAGCTCCAAAGACAGTCATCACATCAACTCTGGCAATTGTGCTATGTAAAAATTAGGGCCCAAGTTGAGAAAGAGTGAAATTTTAAAACTTTGGGTAAAGATAGATAGGTTGCATAAAACAGTCAAGAATCTTGAGAATTCACATTCCCCTGAAATGAAACTTCTAGGCTTTCAAAAGTGACTCACTCCTCCCCATTAGTAGTCATCCCTCTCCCATTATTTTTTAAGATGATGCAGAGGACCCTGCTTTGTATAAACACACATATCCCTTTCAAAATCTACCTCCACTTCTCCTAGTTACCAGAAAAAAATTAGGGCCAATCCACAGTGCAATTTATGCACAACATAATCCAGAAAGATGCTGGCCCATTAACCAAGAAAAAGTACTAGACCAAAGGACCTCTAGAATATAACAAACACATGTCAGCAAATCCCACAATAATATATATGGTTGTGGAATCAGAGAGGGCTGGATCAAGGTGGATTATGTATAAAGATGAATATAAAGAACTTATTGATATAGGGACGCTCTTGCCCCTTATTAAAATGTGATACAAGTGAAGGAAGATCAAGCTCAGTTAGTAAATGGGTCAGTTAGTATGAGTACAATAACTAATCTTAATTTAATTAAAGACTAATATATTGCTGACATAGGACAGAGCCACTCAGAATGGCCCTGAAAACTATAATGTTGGCAATCATTTCAGCAAAAAAGCTTTTGGGCCTGCACCTGTTATTCTACATTGTTTGGAAAAAGAAATTTTCCAAGGCAAAAACATGCGTGTATTCATGGTACAAAATGACTTGATTTCTTGGTCAGAGTTTGGAAAGAGAAAAAATAGCAAATAAGAAACGAAGAGTTCTAGAAGAGGCATGTGAATGGACCTATCGGAGTGGTCATGAAGTGCAAAAATCTTTGTATCACATGTCAATACTCATCAGAGAATATCTACCATGGAAAAGGCACTAAACAACCAAGTAGATACAATGGTTTAGCTAATTGACTACGTGATTCAGATAGTCTCTGTCATTGAACATCCCCATCTTGTAACAATAGTGGCAAAGATGGGGACTATGCATCGGCCCAGTAACATGAGGTTCCACCCACCAAGGCTAATCTGCCTAAACAAAGACCAATTCTGAGTACCCATATAGTGACGTCTCTTCAACCATTCAATTGGTTGGCAAGTTAATTTCACAAGACTCTTCACTCTAAAGGGACAGCTATTCATCTTGAATGAAATAAACACATACTCTACATATGCATTTTATTTTCTTTCTTATAGAGTATCAGCCATTCCCTCAGGGATGATGAACTAGGACACTCATGATATGACTGATGCATGTGTTCTACAAAATGAAAAATTAAATCAAGAAAAAGGAGCTTATAGGATTCAGTGACCACAGGTCCCAACAAAAGAGAAAAATGAAGAAAATCCCTGGGTCATTTTTGATTAAGAAAAATTAAAAATGACCATTGTGCAGCCATCCTAAAGAGTTATAAGTCCAGAATGATGTAAAACTCAAGCCTCAGAAGAGAAATACGTCTTCAGGAAAATTAAAATGACATGAAGACTATGTATAACATGGCCAATGTTTTTGATAAAATGTTATGAACAAAAACAGGTTACAAAGTAGTGTGCATATGTGTGTGCATGTGTGCGTGTGTGTATTATTCTACACTATAAAAATTTATGGAAACTTATTTATTAGAAAAATATTGGCAAGAAATATATTAAAACAAATAATTCTCCACATAACTTTTTCTAATGATTTTGTGAATTTATGCCTTACCTTATTCTTAAGTAGATTTGGTGAGTTCAGCTCACTGTAACATTTTTATATATTATTTCTAATTTTTACTCTAATTCAGCCATGTGGAAATTAATTTTATTCTTGCCTGTTTTCAAGTATAACAAATGTCTCTGAGGGGTTAAATAACTTGTTGAAATTCACCCAAGGGCCTAAGTCATACTCAAAACTATAAAAGTAGTTTTGTTCAGTGATTAGAAGTGATTTCTACTTACATTTTTCAAAGTTTCAAAAATATGGTTATGTTGATTTTATAGTGAAAATAAGTTTGTAAAATAAGGAAAAATGGACTCATGAGATATTCAATACATATTCATGAATTTTCAAGTGGATAAAACACAGAACAATTGTCATTCAAGTTCCCCTGGTTCTATTTTTAAAATACATGGTTAAATTTTATGCTAGGAAATTGTGTTGTCAGCCTAAATCATCCATACAATTTCAAGCAAATATGTCATTTTCACTCCTTAATCTATTAACTATGAATTGTTGTGTTTAGCAACTTAGCTATCTACATTTTAGAGCTGTCTGAAAAAAATCTTGCATAAATAGTATAGTTTTTAAGTAATACATAGAGTTTTCTGTAATAGTAGAACAAAAAGCTTTTCAAGTAAAAGAGGAAAATATTGTCATAATAAAGAATGTCACATCTATCAGTTCCATTGGTAAGTTTTGGGTCTTCCCTTCTTACTTTTAATAATGTGCTCTATGGACACTTTAGACACACATAAGAAATTAAAATGGCTTTATAATTTCTGTGTAAGTAGCTTCATTCATTAAAAAAAAAAAACTGAACGTATTCACTGAGAGATGAAACAATACAAGAGCTGGGATGAACTAGAGAACATCCTGAGGCAGAAGCCAATGCCATAACCCTGTCATTCCTTCCTCTTCAAAACTATAAATGCATCTTATGGGGAAAGAAAGGTAAAATTGTTTTAAAGACTATGCATCATAATTGGGTTTACTTACTATATTAAGACTTCAAAATGCTCTCATAGCCAGGTACTTGAACCTTAATAAAGTAACTTTTTTTCATTTTTGCCACTCAAAATAACAAAAGGTAAGTACTAGACAGTCTAAATCAGATTCATTTCTGTTATTTAAGTGACTGGAAATTATTAATTTAGTAAATGGAACAAATATCTCTTGCATAATGTCATGTACAAAAGCGTGTGTTGGAGTTTAAGTGGTCCTCATAACTATTACTCTTCCCCCTAAATGAAGGTCAGAACTAACAGAGAGATAGGCATAAGAGTTACACATATGGAGATCCAGATATCACATTCATTACCAATAAATCCAGTGTTGAAAAATATGAGTTAGAATGAGTGCTAATGTAGCTAGCTAGTGTTTTTCCCCATAATTAGAGAACCAAGTAAGGGGACAAAGAGAAACCAAATGTGTTACTCAAATGGAAGATCGAGTCGCATGGAAACATAAGAAAGGAAAGATGGTCCCTTCCAAACACTTTGCCCTGAGCACTTACACATGATCAAAAACCTACAAGACATAACCACCTCATGAGATATAGTTAGTGCTATGAGTGAGGAAAATTATAGCTCATTAATTGACTAATATGTTTGTTTCCTACCTACATTGAAAAGTTTTGGTGACATAAATCTTCAAATTTTAAGCATATTTTAGAAATAATGAGTAAAGAAATAATGAGTAAAATCGAATGAAAAGTGAAGGATAACTGGATAACTAATGATTTGGAGGAATGAGAGGTCACTGCTTGCTGGACGCTTGGGACCAGTGTTCCCAAAGAACACTTGTTCCCCAAGTTAGATTTAGAAAAATCAGTGGAATGCAAAGAGTGAGAAAAGAAGTGAAGAAGATTTTTCAGGTAGAAAAAATAGGTACAAGTAAAACCACAAGGGTATATTAATAAAAATTATATTTTGAGAAAATGGGTAGGCCTTCTAAGTCAGAGGAAAGGGGTCACATTGTGATGAAAATGGAATATGCAGAATAAAAGTCTGGAACTGGACCATTGAAGAACTTAATGATTCTAAGAGGCGTGCTTTGTATATACAGAAGAAAGCTAGTGAAGGTTTTTGAGCAAAGTTATAACATAAAAATAGTATTTTAGGGGATAAAATAAACTAGGAACAAATGACCAAATGAATCAAAAGAAAATCAAGTTTGGAGAGGAGAGAGAGAAAAGAACAAATGCTTCGTTTAGCTCTATTCACTCTTATTATTTTCCCAGTCTTAGACATCTAAATCTACTGTGATAGTCAGATTAAAGGCATATGTGTGTATTCTGCAGTTAAATTATTTTCAGTTCTAAAAATTTACATCAGAAGCTGTTTTTCTTTCATCATTTAAGTTTGTTTTAGTTGGTATATTTATTTTCAACATTTTAAAATTGAATTCTGAAAACAGTAGGGAAAGGCCAAAAAGATTCTGATACAAAAGGCTCTTCCTTGATTATTTTCCCTTTTCCTTTTATCTCATATTTTATTCTACTTAAAAAATAGTCTCTTAAAAGACATTTATTGGAAAGTATCTGGCTGCACATGTGTGCATTGGCCTTGTTCTCTATCACAGTGAGATGGCATCATGAGGAAGTGGATGGTGGATCATGCCAAATTGAAGACAAAAGGAGGCAGACGTTTCCCCAGGACAGTACAGGTAAGAAAAATGGAAGGATTGGCAGGCAGAGCTGGACTCTCATCCCCACAAATGGAACCAAGAAATGAAGCAGTGGAAACAACTAACATGTAAAGCACAGCACGAGAAGATGCACCTCAAACAGAATTGTCCTGAGGAAAGTGTTCTGCAGCGACAAGAAGGCAAGAAGGAAGGGAATGGCATTGCTCAGGGCCACCTAAGCAATAATATCAGGAAGTGATATTATTATCATAAACAGCAATAAAAATTTACTGATAGATTACTACATTTAAGGCTCTGAGCTAAACACTTTAACATGCATTATCTCTTTTAATTCTTAAAACAATTTTATACGTTCAATTCAACTGTTATAATGTACTTTATAGCTGAGAAAAAATTGATGCTCAAAAGGGTTATGTCTTGCACAAAAGTCATGCTACTCATAAACAACACAGCAAATGTTTGAACCATGACAGTTCTTCCAGAATTTCAGCCACTGTCATTATGCTTCTTTAGAGACCACAATTCTTAAAATGAGAAAGAAGAAAATACGAAGTTTTCAGAGATTATGTTATCATGAATTAGATGGTAGAAATTAGTGAAACTTTGACTTGATGTTTGTTGCTTCTTTATGGTAGCCCCATCATATTCCTAACCTTACTAGCTGATGGCCTAGGAAATATCCCTTGTATTTAAATTATTTAATCATTCAATTTGTTCTATAGAGTAGGAAAAATGCTCTTTGAGAAAAAAAATACTGCTATTCAAAAAATGTGATATAAAAACAGAAATAATAGGAAATTAAAATGTATTTTAAATTATTTTTTATTGTGTGTATTCCACAATCAAGTTCTCTGTGGTTTTCTAGCCTTTATGAAGAATATCAGTATTATCAGATCTCATAGTTTTTCTTGACACATCTAAATACCAGACTTGTAATGCAGTTGATTAGTTTTGACACAGGTGAAATAGATAAAATCAATTTTCTTATTCTTTGGTTCATTTCACATTTACTGAATACCTACTCAGTGCCTAGCAGAATGGAATATACAGGGGAATTTGTAGCAGAGTGGGAGTACAAAGGTAAATTTTAAAAGTGCTCACACAATAGTATTTATACACTAAATGGAGGAATATAATCATAAAATTGTCACTGAAAGTGCAAGAATAGAGATTTTCTGAGTGTTAAGGAAGGATTAAGGAGAAACTCCTAACCCAGCCTCAAATGGTGAATAACAGATTTTGGGTGGCTGAGTTGAGCACTATCAAACATTAGGTTTTAACCAGATAAAGAGGGTACACTCTCTAAATGAGTATTTCTTCAGTCTCAGTCACAATATCAACAACATCCTGCCTCCCCCAGCTCACTGGTCTATACTGCAAATACTCTCCCTAGTAAGTGTCATACATTTCTAGAACTTTAATCACTGCCTTTATTGTAATTTCCTAAACCTGTGCTTCCATCCAAGATCCTCTCCTTTGCTCTAGATCTAGATATTCAGCTGTCTTCTACAACTTCCATTCAGATAGGCCACATATACTTCTATTGCAATGTGTTTTACCTTTTCAACGTATACATGTTACCCAAATGTGCTCTTTCTCTTTTATTCTTTATTACAAAGAATGGCCCATCAAACACCAAGTGACTCAAGCCAGGGATGGATGAGTCACTCAAGATTCCTTACTCCCTCATCCAATTAATCATCATCTTTTCCTCATATATCCTAAAAGTTTGCCTTTGTGTTGTGATCACTCCACAGAGGCAAGATGGAACTTTACCCCAAATTTGGTTTGCATGTCAAGACTAATGACAACACACACATACCAAGAGGGTATGAAACATTTTATTATTTAAATAATATGGCTTTCTGGGGATATAAGGGCATGAATCCCAAGCTGGTTTGAAAATGACTTGAGAGAGCAGCAAAGGATGCTGCTTGGGTTTTTCTTTTTATTGTGGTTAGTGTCTGGGATCAGGATGATGGTTGCAGTGTATGGACAAGGGCTCATGTGGTTTGAATTACCTACCAGAGACAAAGGAGAAAGCACTAGACTTTCTTATCACTTTCCCAAATGTTGGACACAAGGGAAAGATAAGTATAAAAGCTGTCAGACATCAAACTTTTTATGGCATTATGACATGCCAGCATCATCTCTCATTTGCTCTATTTTCATAGCCTTCCAATGTCTCACTTTCTCTAATCCATGTGATCTGCCAGTTCAACTTCCACCCTCAGGCTCATACACTTGCAAACTGATGGTGATGCCATAACTCTGTGAAAGATTCTTCAGTGACTGTGCATCACTCAGCAGTAATTCCCAAATGTTCTCATTGACAATTTGGAGACTGAATCCTGGGGGTGGGGATTACTCAAAATGGTTCACCCTAAGATTTTTTATATATTTTTATATATTTTATATATTTTTAAATATTTTAAAAATATATCATTTATCATAAATATCATGTAGATTTAGTCTTCTACAGCAGATAGTGTTAGGAGTTTTAACATAAAAAAAACTTTCACGTGTCAATTTTAAAATATACTAAAATATTATAGTTCCCTTATGTTTTCTAGGAGGAGTTGCACATTGATCCAGTAGCTTTTAGTCTTAACCAGGCATACCCTCAGGACACATATATTTAACTTTGAGAATCATAACCTTACACAACAAAATGCAGACTTCTGTTTAATGTACCAGGCCTTTCACTATTTTAACCCATATCTACTCTCAGATCCTATCACCATGGCCCACCCTTCCAAACCACACACCACTGTTGTAACACACTCTCCCTGCTGGTGTAACAATTGTGACCCGCACGTTTCACCCCTCTATGCCTTCACATTGTTCCCACTGTATGGAGTGCCCTGTGTCCACTCTTCACTAGATACATCTGCTCCTGCCCTTATATCTCCAGAAAGCCCTATTCTTTAAGTCATAAAACTTTTCATACCCTCTTGGTTTGTGTGTGGTGTCATCGGTCTTGACATCTAAACCAAATTTTGGGTAGGAGCCCATCCTGCATCTGCTGAGTGATTACAACACAAGGTAAGGTACAACATAAGGTAAACATTTAGTATATAGAAGGAAAAGAAGATGATTAATTGGATGAGGAAATAAGGCAGAGGGTGGAATCATGAATGATTCATCTATTTCTGGCTTGAGTCACTTGCTGTAGGATGGGCCATTCTTGGCAGTAAGGAAAAGAAGAGGAAGAGCACATTTGAGTAGATGTATACACTGAAAATTTTAAACAAATTGCAATAAAAGTACATCTGGGCTATCCAAATGGAAGTTGTAGAAGACAACTGAATATCTAGATCTACAGCACAGGAGAGAATCTTGGGTGGAACAACAGATTTAGGAAATTACATTATAGACAGTAATTAAAGTCCTGGAAATGTATGGCACTAGGGAGAGTATTTGCAGTATAGTGACCACTGAGCTGAGGTATACTCAATCCTTCATAGAAAGGATTTTAGTCCCTCTTTGAAGTGTTCCCCCTAGGTTTTCTCTGAACATTAAACATATTTAGATTGTATCAGGTACTGTAGTCTGAATATTTGTGTCCCTCCAAAATTTGTATGTTGAAATCCTAACCCCTAAGGTTATGGAAGTAGAAGGTGGGGCCCTTGGGAGGTCATTAGCTTATGAGAGCTCCACCCTCATAAATGGAAAAGTGCCCTTATAAAAGCGGCCCCAGGGAAAGCCCTCACCCAATCCACCAGGTGACTTTAGAGTGAGAAGGTTGCTGTCTATGAGGAATGGGTTCTCACCAGATGCCGAATCTGCTGGCTTCTTGATCTTGGACCTTACAGGCTCCAGAAATGTGGGAAATAAGTTACTGTTGGTTATAACCTACCAGTTTATGGTATTTTGTATGGCAGCCTTAATGAACTAAGATAGTATGGATCTTTCTGTGAGTGTGATTTTTGCCTGTCTACCTTCCTACAAGTTTTCATGGACAAGGATGGCATATATTCAATTTCATGAGCTGGCTCTGAGCCTGCTGTACAGTGGGTACTCTGCATGCTTTGTTGAGTGAACAAAGAAATATTTTTGAGGTGACACTTATGATAGTAACCGTTGCAACCCTTTCTTTTAAATGCTGTAAAAGAAATCTCTCTAGTAATAATATGTTCAGAATTCTTAATTTTACCCATATAAAACATGACTTTAAAATAGTTAAAATTATAGGCTGTATTCATTTTAAAGAGCATTATAAGAGATTCTTAAAGAGGAAAAAAGAAACAGTAAAAAAGGACCAAAGGAACAGCACAAAAAGGAAGTAAAATTTTAAAAAGAAGCCTAGAGAAAAAGAAAAGTGAGAGAGTACCCTCCCATCCTCCCCCACCCCCTCACCGCCCCAACACACACATACACAAACTCTCTGAAAACTCCCAAGTGAGGCCGGGCGCGGTGGCTCACGCCTGTAATCCCAGCACTTTGGGAGGCCGAGGCGGGCGGATCACGAGGTCAGGAGATCGAGACCATCCCGGCTAAAAAAACGGTGAAACCCCGTCTCTACTAAAAATACAAAAAATTAGCCGGGCGTAGTGGCGGGCGCCTGTAGTCCCAGCTACTTGGGAGGCTGAGGCAGGAGAATGGCGTGAACCCGGGAGGCGGAGCTTGCAGTGAGCCGAGATCCCACCACTGCACTCCAGCCTGGGCGACAGAGCGAGACTCCGTCTCAAAAAAAAAAAAAAAAAAAAAAAAAAAAAAAAAAACTCCCAAGTGAAAAGCAGATGTAGGGAAATTCACACAGTATCTCAAGGCTGTGTAGAAATGGAAGAGGAAAGAGAATTTACACAAATCATAAGAGAATGACTGGGGCAGGAGAGGAGCCAGAAAATTTAAATGTGAAGCAGGCCCATGAAATATAACTATATTTTCTGATAAGGGGACAGTGGGCTTCAAGTGGGCAGTAAGATAAGTTGAATGCATTATTATGTGTGTGTGTGATGTGAATAAGTAAGTAAAAGCTGAGCTTTTTACTACTGAGGATAAGTCATAAGTTGCTAAATTTTTATTAGAGTAGATTTGTGCAGTGTATTTCCCATCCCTGGACCATTAACATTGTGAACTCAAGGACATTTTTCTTCTACAAGCCCCTTCATGCACAGAGTGACAATAAAAATAACAAAAAGAATGAAAAGAAAATAAGAATCTAAATAATAATATAACATTTTTGAATCACGGATGGTCCAGAAACTCAGTTGTATTAGGAAAATTATATATATATATATAGTTAGTGTTTGTTTTGTTTTGTTTTGTTTTTTGTTTTGCTTTAATGTCACAGAGTGATTCCTATTTTGAACACCACCGTACTCATTTGGGAGGAAACTGTTTTAGTCTTTTTAGATATTTCTTCCAGTCTAACACCAGGGGATCAAGAATCTAATAAAGTGTCAAGGAGTGAAGGGAGAGGAAAGCAAAGCCCGTGAATGTCAGTCATCAGTTCCCACAGTTGGCGTCTGAGATACCCACCATCCTGCACCTAAGTCAGTTCCTAGTCTGACAGCTCAGAGGAACCCTCTGCTCTTAGATGTGCAGCGCTCTCCTTTCTATAGCTGACCACAGTAACTTTCTTTTAGACTCAAGGAGAATCCTTCTACTTTCAGATTATGTGTCAAAATATCTTGTCTGTACCCTGAATTTTCTCTTCCCTCTGTGAAAAAAGAAAACAAGAAGTCAGGAGAACTATGACTACTTCCTTTAGTTCTTAAGGCAATAAACATTGTGTTAGATGATGCCCGGCCGGTAAACTATGAGGGAGAAAAAGATTATCATCTCACAAGTTATTATATCAAAAAATACCTTGCCACATAGTTATTGTTACTTGCATGCTTACTTATATGCCGGCCACTGAGATAATCACTTCATGCTTGCTAGCGTGTTGGGTGGTATTGTTTATGAACAGAATCTCTTGTATTGAACAAGAAAAAATTACCAGGAGTAGCTGGTAGAGATAATATGGTTTAAATTTATTGAATTCAAATACAAGTGTACAGAGAAAGGTCACCCACAAATTGAGGAAAGGCAGAGAGAGCAAGGAAAAGGAGAAGAGTGTTTGCAGGAGTATAGCAAATTGAAGGCATAGTTAAAATGTGAACAAGTTGAGCCAAGGCCATAGCAAAGACTGAAGTAAGAACAAACCACACTTAATAGTCCTGGAAATGGAAGAGTTCAGAATACACCACCCAACATGACTGCTTTGGCATACTGACTATGTTGAGCTGAAGGCACTTGAGAAACAGCAGATGAAGGAAGGGCTCTCTGACCTCCCCTTTTCTGTCTAAAAGCAGGTCATAAAATGTTCCATGAGAAAGGTGACTCCTATAGAAGGAAGAAGACATTCTTATCACCAGAGTCTGGAATTCAATATCATAATGAGCCTGTACAAACAAACCTACCAAAACAACCTTTCTCTTCCATTAGTTTTCCCCATATATGCCCTTTTAACTGTCCCACACTTTGCTACCACTAGCCCAAAGCTCTTCATCTTGTCACGTCATCACAATTTATTGTTCTTTGTGTAAAAATGTATATAAGCTTTTGGCTTCTGTGGGTCTTCATTTTTCTTTTGAAGATCCCTGTGTACATGTAAAAATATTATATAATAAAGATGTCTGCCTTTCTCCTGTTAATTTGTATTATATCAGTTTAATTATTGGGCCAGTCACAGAACCTGAAAGAGTAAAAAGAAGTTTTTTGTCCCCTGCAATAACAGGTATCTCTCCTTATACAAACGATGTAGTGGGAAAAGTTATATGTCAATTAAGTCAATAGAAACCAGTAAAAAGAGTATTTTGTAAAAATATGCAGTTTAGATAGTTAAAACTTGGGACAGAATCTGGGATGAATCTGGGATGAACTTTTTAGAGAATTGTATTCCCCTTGCAAAGAACAATATAAGTAAAGAAAGAATTGGAGTTATTAACAAAGAAAGTAAATTAGTTGTTTACTAGGAAACTTCTCTTTTGGAGACCTGTTTTGTCTACTGATGGACCTTTTAATAGGCCATGTTCATAAACTAAATGTTTCCTGGGTCCACACTTCTTCAATGTCCTTTCTGATGCTATTATTGCAAGGAAGAAAGCCCTGAAGGCAAAAGGAATTTGAAATATACACTTATATGAAATAAGTGTATTTGACTTTCACAATGGGCCCTATGAGTTCTTAATTTTCCCATTTCATAAAAAGTTAAACTAAAAAGTAGAAAAATAATGTAATTTGGCCTGTTGAGAAAAATGTGGTATTGCATAAAAATTTAAAACTTTGGTGTGAAATTCTTAGAGGACTAAGATAAACAGTAGGCTATGGACAAAATATACTTCTCTAATTTTCTGTTGAACACTTATTTTCACCTTTCTCATTACTTAAGGTACAAAACATGTCAATAATTAATAAAATTTGTTTTAGAACTCTCCCTTTCTGAGATAAAATGGGGACTAGGCATGATTCTGGTCATTAAAATGGAAATCAAAGACTGTAAGAAATCTCTGGGAAAGTTTGGTTCTTCCTCTTTATATCTACTTATTTTTCATCTTGCCTGGAATATGCAGTGAAAGGATGGAGGAGAAATAATATCAAAGCAGAATGACAAATAGAACCTAGCCCACTAATGACATTTAAAAAAAACCCAGCTATATCATCCCAAGCCTAATTCTCTCTGAATTTTGTGTTATGTGGAAAAAAAAAAAAAAAAAGGAAACTATCTTTCCTTAAACCACCACAGTTAGTTTTCTGTTATAGTTGCCGAAGCCACTCTTACCTCTTAAGGGACTTTATATCTGGAAGGGAGTTTTGCAAATTCTGAAAATGAGGAAGTGGCTTAATGATGGTGTGAGACTTTGGGCAGGAACATCACAAGCTGGAAAACTAGCAACCTTTGTTATATAACAGAAAACATCAACCTGTTGCCTGCCAAGTGCAGTAGGAAGCCACAGTAAGCAAAATCGAGAGTGTTGCAGTGTGCTGGTCTCTTCTTGCTGCCTTCAGCAAAGTCTTGAAGGAGTGGGCTGAGCTTTGGTTTATGCTACGTAGCTGGCAGGCAGCAATGAAGACAACACAGCTTTGCTAAGGAAAAAAAGACAGCCTTTTAAGTAGGAGCTTTCAGAGGTGAAAAGAGGCAATGCCTTAAACTGAGGTGGTTGTGAGAGGTGGCTGCAGACAGACAGACTAAGCAAAAGATGAAGCAGGAGCCCCTGCCTTTCCCTAGTAACTTCCTGGAAATGTCTCATTCTGTGGCCAAGATAATGTAAACTGTACCGTATCCTCACCAGAGTCTATTGTTTTTACTGGCTTTCAGTAAAAAACATTCTTAATTATGTTTAAAGATATGAGCATAGCACAAAAGCAGATAGGTGAGTAGGAGAATTATATGCTTAAAAACTATATCCTGATACAAGTATTAGCAGTGGTTTTTATGCATAGGATTGACCACACTCAAATGAAAACAAACAAACAAAAAAAAAAGCTTTCTGAGGAAACTGTACTGCCACAGAGTCTCCAGGCTTGAGTGGCCACAGCCAGGATCATTCCATTTCTAAACTATACCTGGACTCCCTGGGATTGACTTAGGAAGCTTTGCATCCCTAATAGCATTATACTATTCAATATCCATCGTTTTTCTGGCTCTGTAGGACAATGTTCAAGGGAATTCTCTCAAAAAGGCAGAAATGGGGCTGCAAAATTGACTAATTAGGAAACATGCTTTGTTACTAGAGCAAGGTGCTTTCCCACTTTTTTTCAAGGATTCTATATTTTCTATTTGCCAGTGTCTGTGTTCTTTTTCCTTCTTAATTTTTGAGTGGAAATGCATATTACTGTCACCTTATTCATCTTCCTGCCTGTTGTTGAATTTATTGAGAGAGGATGTCTTAGTCCATTTAGGCTGCTATAATGGAACTGCAAAGTTTATAAACAACAGGAAGTTATTGCTCCCATTTTTGGAGGCAGGAAAGTATAAGATGAAAGCACCAGCAGATTTAATGTCTGCTGAGAGTCCATTCTTTATAGATAGTACCTTCTATGTGTCCCCACATGGTGGAAGAACCAAACAGACTTTCTCAATCCTCTTGTATAAGGGCACTAATGCCATTTATGAGAACAGATCCCTCATGATCTAATCACCTTCTAAAGGCCCCACGTCTTAATACCATTATACTAGGTGTTAGATTCCAACATGTGAATTTGAGGGAGACACCAACATTCAGACAATTGCAGAGGATAACTGGCCTTCAGTGTCTAGGTTGCTGGACCATGAGAAACCACAGCTAGAGACGATGAAGAGAAATGCAAAGCACTAAATAATACTTGATTCTGAAGTGAGTGCAGAAACCAAAAGAAACTTAAGAGGTGGGTAAATGTATGTGATATACAATGCAATGGATGTATATAGATGCTGGTCAATCAAGAAAAACAGAGGCAGACACTGCTAGTAGCTTACCCAATACCAAATCTCCCCCATTCCTTACTCACAGAACCTCTATTCTGTTCAAGGAAGCATGTGCCCATCTAAAATCTATATTCCACATCTACCTTTGTTATGAAGTAAGGTCACGTGATGATGATCTGGACCAATAAGAGCTGAGAAATAAGGCACTAAAAAGTTCTGTGGAAATTTTTATTTCCTACTATTGTTATTATCCCTCCCTCTAGGCTGCTTTCTTCTGCTTCTTCCTGCCTAGAAATCTATCATGAGATGTGAAGTGAGCAGCAATCATTCAACCTTGAGAATTAAATCAGAAAGCTAGAATGAACTTGGGCATTGACATTGATGATCTGGTGAAGTTGTGAAGTTACTATACCTGCTCTAATCTCCCTAAGTCTGCATTTCTTATGTGGAGAAATTAAACTGCTGTTTTGTTAAGTCACTATAATCATGTTTATTTCTTTCCTTTTTTTTTTTTTTTTTTTTTGAGACGGAGTCTTGCTGTTCACCCAGGCTGGAGTGCAGCGGCCCGATCTCTGCTCACTGAAGCCTCCATCTCCTCGGTTCAAGTGATTCTCGTGCCTCAGCTCCCCGAGTAGCTGGGACTATAAGTGCCTGCCACCCCGCCTGGCTAATTTTTGTATTTTTAGTACGGACAGAGTTTTACCAGGTTGGACAGGCTTGTCTTGAACTCCTGACCCAAGGTGATCCGCTGCCTCGGCCTCCCAAAGTGCTGGGATTATGGGTGTGGGCCACCAAGCTCGGCCATGTTTCTATTTCATGTAGCTGAATGCAATCCTTACTAGTTAACCCTGGGTGTAGTAAAAGTTGTGGATGTCAATGGAGAACTTGACTTTGTAGAAGGTAAAGATTGATCATCACCAGATAGAACAAATGTTTCTATAGGATATCATAATATAAGATCAGCTTAGAGATAGGGAACTCACGAGGGTTGCTTGTGTGTCTGGAAGAATGAGAAATGGAAAAATGCAGAAAAGTTAAACGAGGGAATTCAGTAGGGCAACAAGAGTTCTTCAAATTAAGATAAATGAAAGTAGAAACAAAAAAGAGAAATTATGAAAAGGTTGTCTAAAATGTATGAAAAAGAACTTCAAGGAATATAAATACAGTTACTTGTGTTAGGTTGGCTTAGCTACCTTGCTCCAATTAGATAACACATTGACATTAGAATCTAAAATAAAATTATGAGCTCTACCCAGTCTGCATCTAAATGTGAGGGATGGGGTAACTCCAGCATATCTAGGTTCCCAGTCATTGATGACTGTCACATTTCAAGGTCTTTTCTTGTTTTTGACTTAGTGTCCCCTAAACAAGGTCTTCAGCTGCTCTTAGTACAGTCTTACAGAAATGCAGAGGATGGAGATAAGTTCACAAATAAAACAAAAATGCCAATCAACACTTGAAAGACATATCAGAAAACAACTAATAAAAATATGTTTCCAAAAAAGTATCATTTATTATAAAAGGAGAGTTTTAGAAGTAAATAAAATATTTAAAAATTCTGTAAGTACCAATGTTATTTAATTTGTTAAATTTATCTTAGTTACTATAGACATGGTTTCAGAGGAAGTCTATATATTTCAGAAGATCATGGAAAGACATCAAGTATTTTTTGAACCCATACATGAATTATTAATTTTTAGAGCATGTCAACTAGAGGTCAATGCTGAAGAGCTTCTATGCAATTTTAAGATCTGATCTTGAATATTTTAAGATCAAGTTTTTTCCGTGTGTGTGTGTGTGTGTGTGTGTTTGTGTGTAGAATTTGTGTATTATTCTATAATATTTTAGCAAAATCCATTTTGTTGAAATGGTAGCTTACTATGATAAATATAATAGATGTAGATAAAGTTATGTCTTTTTAGATAAAAATTTAGATCAAAGAAGAACCCAATAGTTGAGAACGATTTTCTTTATCTGATTTTGCTTTCTGTGCCTCCTAACTGAGCAGTGGTAGGGAAGAGGTGTGAACCGTGTGTTGCAGGGGTAGGAAGGGCAATGACATTTTGAGATACCAGAAAAGAGAGAACTGCATAATACAAAGTAAAAATGAAGCTGAAAAATGTCAAACAGACAAAGATACTAAACCTCATTTGCTTCAGCTTGTCAAACTCAATTTCGTCTACTACATGTAAAAAATCTTTTGAAAAATAATTAAATGCAAGAGGCTGCAAGGTCTAAAAATGATTCCTGAAGTTACCAGAATTCTTAATAAAAATTTCAAGGGGTATGGATGTATCTGGGTGGCACAGAAAGCTCAAGCTTTATATCTGGATTAACAAAGAACTACAAAAATAGCAAGAGAGGCCTCTCCTCACACAGTCACTACAGTGCCAAAGAATAATTGAAACTATGAATGGAGGACGGGGATGGAGTAAGGTTTAAGGCCAACACTTTTCTATTTATAATTTTATTGTATTAAGAGATCAATTCCAAGAAACTGATGTTTTTCAAGGAAGCAGACTACTTTGTTTCCTATAAATCTTTTTTTTTTTATTTCTGTTGCGACAAACACAGTGATAAAGGAAAAGTTCACACAGAAAGTAAAGGTTGGTCACATTGAAAATAATATTTAATTCCCTCATAGATTTGCTTAGAAAGGGCCCTACTTGGTAATGATGTGCAGCAACATAGAAAAGACAGTAGATTCATCACAGATGCATAAAGCAATATTTCCCAAGCTGAGATATTTGGACAAATGGTCATATTGGTTATTAAATATTTAAAATATTTAATTTTGGTTGGTAAATAGCTTCTGTTCCATGTCCCCTGAGTAGTCTCCTGCTAATTTAGTTGTGAAGTCTTGGAATTTCTGGTGAGACAGGGTCTACCCAAACCAAAGGATATTGGTTTTCTTCACAGAAATGTGTTCCCTGCTCCCCAAATCTTGTGCTCACATAGATAATACTGCCCAAAGCAGAAGTACTCTGTTTTTTGTTTTTGTTTTTAAGTTGACACAAAAAAAGCTTTATAGACTAGCAAGACCACTCACCTGTTCTGAAAACCAGCTATGTGCCTGTCTGACCATCAATTAAATATGACTAGCACAAAATTACCACAGAGCCATTCTAATAGTTTTCTGCAAGATTGAATGATGCGTCTTTTCCAGCTAGAACACACTTGACAGCCCCAGCTTCGGGCCTCTCTGGGGACAATGGCTGCAATATTTTGTAACTGAGCAATACCCTTTGATTACATTGCACATATTTATACGTGGATTTTTAAGAGTAAATTATACCAAGTAATTACCAAGAATGAGAAGAGTTATTTTCTAATATTTAGTAAATAAGTCTGGCTGCCAGTAGATAGGCAAGTCCAAATGCTGAAATGGCAATTGTCCTGCTCTCCTACTGAATTATTCTGGTGGTTATAAAGACAAAACTCATTTGCTCAATTTAACAAACATGGACTTGGCAGAAAATAGATCGCACATTCAAAAGGTTTACAAGAAGATAGTTTCATGAAGACAGTATTTACACACATGTTTGCACAAGGATAAGAGGAATAATAAGGAATGATAAAGTACACTGGGACTAGTAAGAGCAAGGGACAATTACTTCCCCTAGACCTGAAGGGGTAAATGGGGGAACAATGTTACCAGAGCTCAGCAGGACACAGGGCTACAAAAAAAGACTCAACCACGGGTCTGTGGCTGTGGCTGGCATAGAAGGAGTCAGAAAAATAAACCCCCACATCTGACTTTCTACTAGATTCTCAATCTTCAATCAGTCTAAACACAACTGGAAGCCAAAAGGCAAATGGACACAGGTGATGCAGCCCATAGCTCGCTCTGCAGGAGCCCACATTTGGGCATCAGTGAGCAGCAAACAAACCTGGAGGGGAAAACAGAGAAGTGTGCTAGTCATTTGTTTTCTTTCGGATTCTCAGGCTGCTGATAGATAAGCAGAAGTCATCGAGTAGGACTTCCCAGTAAAATTCTTTTGAGGTGTTACTCAGCAGGCAGGTGCATTTTGCCTTCCCAATCTTTTTAATTTCTTGCTGAATTATAGATGTGATGGCTGGCTTTACAGCCATTGTTTTTCAACCATGAGTTAATCTTAAGCTAGAAGCTACTAGCTAATAATGTCAAAGCAAATAAAAAGTATAAATTTTGAATATTGTCAATACCATGAGGCCATAATATCCTTGATCTGATATTAACACAGGGAACTGCATTCTCCAAACGTTTTTGCTATCTTCTTACTATCCTTGTCTGCTTCTTGAGAACAAGTGGGCAGAGATGGAAGGATTAAAGAAAATCAAGTCACACTGTCTTCCCCCATCTCTCTCTGCCTCAGACATTACATCTGGCAGTGACTGTGTGTTCTCCATGGCCCGGCTATCACTGGGCAGTCCTTTTCCCCACACCTCTATCTCCCACAGGGTAGGGAAAAGCAGGACAGGGCAGGAATTCCATTTCAGTTTCAGCTACAATTCCAGAATTTAGGAATGAGGCATTGCTACCTCCTATGTCCCTCCAGCCTAGGGATGGTGGCAGCTTCTTGCTGTTTCTACTGCTCAGCTTGTTTCATGTTTGCCTGTGTAGATTCTCAGGTCCTCCATCACCTGCATATCCAATTACCAGTATTAATTTTCTTCTATTTGCAATACCGGGAGTCATTTCTGCTTCTGATAGAACTCCGATAAAATTCTGGGTTAATTTGTAATTGAAAGATATTTTCAGACATACACTTTTACTTCCTAAGTAATTTAATAAGTTGAAAGTATTATCTGACATCACAAAAAACAATATAAGAGATAACAATATTGTACTATATTTTCTCAGGCTAATGAGAAAAGAATAAAGACAAAATTAAATGAAACTTCAAGTATTTATTGTCACCTATAAATGAAGTAATAAGCATACGATATGAAGCTATGAAGAAAACTTTAAGAGTCGTTCAAATAGATGAAAATGGTGGGAAAATTCAGTCAATCTGGGACATAAATGGCAGTAGATGCATAAAAATGTGAAAGAAACCTAACACTTTGCAGTCACTATCATATTCACATTTCATACAGGTATATTGTTCAGAGTCTACTTTTCTCATGCCAGACTTTCATCATATATGGGAATTAGATATAGTGGTAGATGATCCACAAAATACAGCATTAGGAAGCAAAGAGAACTGAAGACCCATTAGTAGGCTAATAATGAAGACTTTGCAGTCCTTCATGTCCTCATAATGGTATTTTGAAATATGGAGAGAATAAAAAATATATTTCAATACTGGAATTTTTAGCATATAAAATGAGAGAAACTGGAATGGATGTAGAAAATTATAAAATTGTATATAATTTATAATTTTATGACTATTCCTATCAAATATATATAACTTTATAGAAAATAATAACAATAGTAAAGTTATAAGCATACATATTTGGATATATGCTTATCAAATATATGTAAAATTTTATAATTCACTTGTCAAAAAATGATATACCCAAGATGCTCCTGAAAACAAGGATGGCTGCTGATAGATAAGCAGAAGTCATTGAGTGGGACTTCCCAGTAAAGCTCTTTTGGGGTGATAGTAGGCAGGTGCATTTTGCCTTTCCAATCTTTTTAATTTCTTACTGAATTATAGATGTGATGGCTGGCTTTGCAGCCATTGTTTTTCAACCATGAGTTAATCTTAAGCTAGAAGCTACTAGCTAATAATGTCAAAGCAAATAAAAAGTATAAACTTCGAATATTGTCTATACCATGAGGCCACAATAGCAGCCATCGCAAACTGAAATTTAGACTTAATTATGTCAGAGGAAACAAATCTCTGTTCTATTTAAATTAATAATATTCAGGCTTATTGTTCATATAGATAAATACAATTACGAGTTGATATTAGCCACTTTTATCTCCAGAGAGTCATCACAAAAATATGAGACTTGTTTTAAACTCTACTCAGAAAGTTAGAGAAGAATCAAATAAATGAAAAAATGTTCTTTTTTCTATGAAAGTGAAGTCATGATTGCAAAAGTCTCAGTTATTTTCTCAAATAATGTATATATAAAGCAAAATTCCAATGAAAATAGAAGATATTTTTAACTTGAGAGAAATTATTTCCAAAATTAATTTGAAAGAAAAAATTAAAATGAAATGGGTAAGAAAAAACTTAAAATATATAATAAGAGGTACTTACCCTATTGTAAATTAAAATAGCTGACATGTAATATGAATCTATAATACATAAGCATGGTGATACTGGTAAATTGACCTACCATTGAACAGCACTGTTCTAAAACAGATTCAAGTATATATGCCTTTAATTGATTATAAAGGATCTCCTCCATGGGAAAACGAATAAAAATTACAATGTTATTGTATCTTACTATGACCTTAGAATTTCTCATAACTACTATCCTGAGTCTGTTTCCATTTGGACATCATTTAAGACAGACCATTTGGATACCAGTTAGTTAAATCTAGCCTTGGTGCATATATATATATTTGAGATGAAGTCTTGCTCTGTCCCCCAGGCTGGAGTGCAATGGCATGATCTCAGCTCACTGCAACCTCCATCTCCAAGGTTCAAGCGATTCTCCTGCCTCAGCCTCCTGAGTAGCTGGGATTACAGGAGTGTGCCACCATACCCACCTAATTTTTATTTTTAGTAGAGATGGGGTTTCACCATATTGACCAGGCTGGTCTCGAACTCCTGACCTCAGGTGATACGCCAGCCTCAGTCTCCAAAAGTGCTAGGATTACAGGTAAGAGCCACCGTGCCCAGCCTGGTGCACCCATATTTTTGAATCAAGAGCATTGACATAAATATTGAAACAAAAACACAGCCCTATAATATGAAGTCTGTCCCTACCAACTTCCACTTGTAAAAACAGAACATTATCTCTTTTAAACACGTACTGCTGGGAAAACTCTTCACTGAGAACTGGGTCAAGGAGAGCTGCTTCCTTTGGAGGCTGTTCAAAATATCACTCTCCAAGGAGATATAATTTGAAAAAGGCAACAAATTTGGGTACTAAACAGGCATGATACTAACTAGTTACACAATCTACAACTTTGAAGCCAATTCATCAGCTATGTGGGTTAAGAATGTACCTCATGCATATAGAAAACAAAGTTCAGGGTCATCTCTTGCCTGAGAGCAGGTGCCCAAGGGTTATGACTAAGAATGAACGCACCCACATTAACTTAGGGCAGAGTGCCACACTTTGTGAGTAAAAAACTTTGATTACAATATGTCTGCAGAACTTTCAAAGTCTAAATATCAGGAAAAATGTTCCAAACCACAAACTTACTCTGAAAAAAAGAACAAGGAAAGTGAATGGAATTAAACACAGAGGCAATTACTGATGATGTTGTTTGGATAAATTCAAACACTTCACAAAGGTACACAAAATGTCTGCTCATTGTTTTTCCTGTTGCAAAATAAATATGTATAGGCAAAGATAATTAATTTTATACAATCTTCAGAAATTGCTATTGATTCTTTCAAAGTGAGTTATTTAGAATTTACAATATCAATACCACCCTAGAAGAAAACTTTTGCCTTTATCTTTAGAGCAATATTTACAAGCTGAAATACCAGTTTTAAGCACACAGATAAATATCTGAGTACCTGAGCGTCAATACTTAGGGACGATATTAGAAAACTCTAGTGGGCAGACTCTGATTATTCTACTGTTTTGCCACTGTAAAATTACAACTTTTAATACCGATTTGTAGAAATTTTCCTCTTGAGAATTTTGTGGTTATAAGCTAAGGAAAAGGAATTATACTACCATGAATTTCAGAGGAAGAAAAGGAACACCATGTTAATACTTGCATATGGAGTGTATTAGTTTGCTAGGGTTGCTGTAAACAAATTACCACAATCTCAAAGCAACAAAAAATTATTATCTCACAATTCTGAAAGGTAGAAGTGAAGAATCAAGGTGATATCAGGGCATGCTCTCTCTGATGGCTCCAGGGGAGAATCCTTCCTTGATTCTTCCAGCTTTTTCTGTTCTCTGGCAATCCTTGGCATTTGTTGGTCTGTAGATGCATCTCCCTGGTCACAAGGCCATCTTCTCCCTGTGTGTCTTCACATTGTATTTCTTCTGGGAGTGTCTGCTTCTGTGTCCAAATTCCTCCTTTTTATAAAGACACCAGTCATATTGGATTAGGACCTATCCTAACAACCTCATTTGTAATTGGATTATCTTTGTAAAGACCCTATTTCCAACTAAGGTAGCATTCTGAAGTACTGGAGATAAAGGACTTTAACAGACCTTTTTTGGGCAAACACAATTCAACATATACCATAGACTGAGCACAAACAGCATATTTATTTTTAATTTAAAATAAAAGATAACGCGAGGGAGATAAATACTCCAAGGGGTTTTCATCATCAAGATCCTGCATTATATTTTAACATACCAAATGGAAATGCTTGAGTCTTTCCGTGAATAATATTAGATCAATGCAAAAGTTAATTGCTGTTTCTGCAATTACTTTTAATGACAAAAAGTATGATTTAAAGAATTAGGTATGTCTTCAATGTCAGTACAGAAAGTATTTACCTCACTTCTGTGAGCATTATTCTGAAATTATCAAGTTATTGAAAATGAGCTAAAATTGACAAAGTGAATTTAACAAAGTTAAGTGAAAATTATGCACTCATAATCCAAAAATCAACTACAAAAATGTGTGAGCTGAGTGACAGAAAGCAGTTATAGCTATTTTGAAAAGAACTTAAAATTTCTGCAACTACAAATTCAGTATAAGACAACAGGGTCTGGTAAATACAATGTTTTAAATAAATGCACATTAAACTAACGCATTAAAAATATTAGGGCATAACATTGGAACTGAGTGTCAACAACTATGTATTACATCAAAAATTGGGTACCACCTCTATTCCCATGTCTCTGTTGTATGCTACAGAGAATGCAAAGTGGAGGAAGACTGATATTTACCCAAAGAGATAATAATCATTGTGGGATAGAGTGGGGTGCTGGGAAGTAGAGTGAGGTGTCAAGTACACAGTAGTAAGAATACAAGGTAGAATTAGGATGCATAGTGTAAGAGAGAAGAAAGTGCCATGTGAATTTAAAAGAATGCATTAATAAGGCAATTTGGAAAAAATTAGGATATATTGTATGAAAGACCTCTGTGCATAGAACTCACTTATTGCTAAAAGGTTTCCTTTACCCTAAAATAAATTAGCCCACCTCCTAATTCTTTTTTACAGTACTATAGCATCATATATGTATTTTTAAACAAATAGTCATTGAAATATTATTTGAGTACTTCCTATGTGCTGTGATTAAAACAGTAGTTAATGTGACAGAAACATATTTTGGTGAGAAAGAATAATATTAAACAAGCATTTCTAACTGTAATGAATATGCAGGACATTTTGAGGAAAGGAACAGGAAGACATCATCCAGTGTGAGGTAACAACAGGCTTCACCAACAAGTGGAGTAATAGTGATTAAGTGGTAGGATAAACTCCTGAAAGTCTTAATAAAAATTCGCTTGGAGTGGTGTTACTGGGAATAAGTAACCAGGAAGGATGAGATGATCACAGAGGGGAAGGTCTGGACTTGGTTGTGACAATGGAAGTGAATATTTGAAGTAGGGAATTATTCAGGGTCCCTTCAGGAAACAGAAGGAATACTAAAATTAAATAACTTTAAACTAATTAGTTGCAAAAACTAATACAGGAACTATTTACGAGGTATAGGTAGGTTTTAGGGAAACCAACAACAAGTAGTACAGTATCTGAGGACTAGAAACAGAGGGAAGCTATTATCACACTGTGCCTGGAGGAACAAAGAGACAGATATCTATATGAAGATGGCTGAGTAAAAGGATCTTCAGTCATCAATAGAGGAATAAAGCCAACCTTAGAGGAATAACACCAACATAAAGTGACCCCATAGAGTAGGAACCAGAGGAATTAGAACTCCACCTTCCTCTTCTCTGATCTACTGTATTAGTCTGTTCTCATGATGGTAATAAAGACATACCTGAGACTGGGTAATTTATAAAGGAAAGAGGTTTAGTTGACTCATAGTTCCACATGGCTGAGGAGGCCTCACAATCATGGTGGAAGGTAAATGAAGAGCAAAGTCTCCTCATACATGGTGGCAGCCAAGAGAGCACATGTGCAAGGAAACTCCCCTTTTTAAAACCATTAGATCTCGTGAGATTTATTCATTATCATGAGAACAACATGGGAAAGACACATCCCCATGATTCAATTACCTCCCAGCAGGTCCCTCCCACATTATGTGGGTATTATTACAATTCAAGGTGAGATTTGGGTGGGGACACAGCCAAACCACATTATTCCACAATGGTCCCTCCCAAATATCATTTCCTCACATTTCAAAACTAATCATGCTTTCCTAACAGTCCTCCAAAGGCTTAACTGATTTCAGCATTAACTCAAAAGTTCATAGTCCCAAGTCTCATCTGAGACAAGGCAAGTCCCTTCTGCTTATGAGCCTGTAAAATCAAAAGTAAGTTAGTTACTTTCTAGATACAATGGAAATACAGACATTGGGTAAACACACCCATTCCAATTGGGAAAAATTGGCCAAAATGAAGGGGATACAGGCTCCATACAAGTCTGAAATCCAATGGGGTAGTCAAATATTAAAGCTCCAAAATGACCTCCTTTGACTCCATGTCTCACATCCAGGTCACAGTAATGCAATAGGTGGGTTCCTATGGTCTTGGACAACTCCACCCCTGTTGCTTTGCAGTGTACAGCCCCCCTTCTGGCTGCTTTCACAGGCTGGCATTGAGTGTCTGTAGCTTTTCCAGGCACACAGTGCAAGTGGATCTGCCATTCTGGGGTTTGGAGGACAGTGACCCTCTTCTCACAGGCCCACTAGGCAGTGCTCCAGTGGGGACCATGTCTGGGGGCTTGCACCCCACATTTCTCTTCTGCACTACCCTAGCAGAGGCTTTCTATGAGGGCTCCACCCCTGCAGCACACCTCTGTCTGGACATCCAGGCATTTTCATACATTCTCTGAAATGTAGGCAGAGGTTCACAAACCTCAGTTGTTGTCTTCTGTGCACCTGCAGGCTCAATACCATGTGAAAGCTGCCAATGCTTAAGGCTTGCTCCCTCTGAAGCCATGGCCCAAGCTGTACCAAGGCCCCTTTTAGCCACAGCTGAAGCAGCTGGGACACAGGGCACCAAGTCCTTAGGCTACACACAGCAGGGGGGCCCTGGACGGAGCCCGGGAAACCATATTTTCCTCCTGACCTCTAGGCCTGTGATGGGAGGGGCTGCCACAGAGGTCTCTGGGTTGCCCTGGAGACATTTTCTCCATTGTCTTGGTGATTAACATTTGGCTCCTCATTACTTATGTAAATTTCTGAAGCCAGCTTGAATTTCTCCTTAGAAAATGGGTTTTTCTTTTCTATTGCATGGTCAGGCTGTCAATTTTTCAAACTTTTATGTTCTGCTTCCCTTTTAAATGTTAAGTTCCAATTCCAAAAGATCCAATTCCATCTTTGTGAATACATAAAACTGCTTCTAACAGTATTCAAGTCAACTTTTGAACATTTTGCTGTCTAGAAATTTCTTCTGACAGATGCTCTAAATCATCTCTCTCAAGTTCAACATTCCACAACTCTCTAGGGCAGGGGTAAAATACCACCAGTCTTTTTGCTAAAACATAGCAAGAGTCACCTTTGCTTCAGTTCCCAACAAGTTCCTCATCTCTGTCTGAGACCACCTCACCCTGGACTTTATTGTCCATATCATTATCAGCATTTTGGTCAAAGCCATTTAACAAGTCTGTAGGAAGTTCCAAACTTTCCCACATCTTCCTGTCTTCTTCTAAGCCCTCCAAACTGTTCCAACCTCTGCCTGTTACCCAGTTCTAAAGTCACTTTCACATTTTCAGGTATTTTTACAGTAGCATCTGACTCTACTGGTACTAATTTACTATATTAGTCTGTTCTCACACTGTTAATAAAGACATATCCAAGACTGGATAATTTATAAAGGAGAGAGGTTTAATTTACTCACAGTTCCACATGGCTGTGGAGACCTCACAATCATGGTGTTAGGTTAATGAGGAACAAAGCCTCGTCTTCCATGGCAGCAGGCAAGAGAGCACGTGTGTAGCAGAACTCCCCTTTATAAAACCATCAGATCTCATCAGCCTTGTTGACTATTACAAGGAAAACATAGTAAAACCTGCCCTCATGATTCAATTACCTTCCACCAGGTCCCTCCCAAGACATGTGAGAATTATTACAATTCAAGGTGAGATTTGGATGAGGACACAGCCAAACCATATCATCTCCTGTCAATGCCTGCTGTCTTCCAAAAAGCAAAGGAACCCATGGATGCAGTTCATATTGATTCACCTCCTAGGGTACAGAAAATTGGACAATGATGAAGAGTGACTGTGGAGGGACAGTGATCTGTCCACTATGAAGTAATAGAAGAAAAGATGTTTTGCTGTGTAGAGATCAATATTCTTGAAAAATGCAGGCACTAGATAAGGAAGATGAGAGATAACTGATGTTAAAGGACTTTACACAGTGCCTCAAGCACAGTAAGTGCTCAATTAGTGTAACCTATTGTTATTAACATTATAATTGTTATTATCATTTTAAAATAAGATTGCCATTGCTGGAAATGAGACATTAAAGCAACTAGACATGTCATCTGGCTGGATGTCTCCCAGGATGTTATCAGGGATTTAAGTAGATATAAAGCCTGATTGTGGAGCTAAAGTTTCCAGTGAATGAAGAAATATTCACAGAACAGAGTAGGTAACCAAAATGAGGGCAAGTAAGTGGTAGAGCTGGATGGACGAGTCTCAAAAAAGCAGAGATTTGCATAAGATGAGCCTTGGAAATCTGGTAAGAGTTTAGTTGGTAGAGATAATCAGGCAGACAAAGAAGCATATAAATTAGAAGAAAGAAATGGATCAAAATTACAGACGTGCGTAAGATGCAGAAATGTGAACTAACCCATTCTGGATGAATCATAGAATATGAATAGGAAAAACTGGAGGGGGGTAACATTCATGCAGTTCATTCCCCTGTTTTGCTGGGCTTTTAGTGCCAATGTAAGGAATATTGACTTGGAAATGGAAAGTCTGAATGATTTTGAGAAAGATAGCAATGTGATGAGGATAAAATAAATTGCCTTAAGTGTAATTTGGAAGGAAGATTAGTTAGAATAATTACAGAAGAGACAATACACAGAAAGAACCTTGATGAACTTGCAGAAATCAGACAGATGTTAAAGGGAGAGGATTCCACACTGAGAGAACAGCATGTACAAAGGCACAGGGATGAGAATTATGACATTGAATTAGGGCAGGAATTTTCAAGCTTGGTACTAATGATATTTTGGATCAGATAATTATTTGTTCTGTGCTGTTCATTTTGGGATGTTTGCAGTATCTCTGGCCTCTACCAAATAGATGCCAGTAGTACTCCCTTTTCAAGTTACAACAACAACAAAAAAAAATGGCTCTAAACATTACCTGTGTTCCCTGTGGGTAGAGAGTGGGGAAAATACCCTGTGGGTAGAGAGTGGGGAAAATAGCCTGTGGTCAAAATAGCCACTGAATTAGAGGAAATGCACATACTTAATGGAACCACAAAAGAAATTCTAGCAATGGATTGACTAGAAATAGAGCTAGAAAAATAGAGATAGATAAAATATTTTAGCTTGCTTTGTTGAATATGTCTTATTTTATCCTGGTGATTAGAAGAAAAGCAAGAAGATTTGTATTTTAGAAAGATTACATTGAAGTTGTGAAGGAGCAGTCTGTTGTCGGGGAGGCTGGTTAGAGGAAATTCCAGGAGTCCAGTTATGGTAGTGTCACTGAATATTTAAAGGGAGGAACTGGAGAAATAAAGGAGGTTGAGGAGATTGAAATAATAAAATATGGGCACCTGGAGCATTTGTGTAAGAAAAAAATGGAGGAGTCAAGGATAATTCTGATTTCTAGCTTGGGTAACTGAGTGGATGAAAGTACCATGTACAAAGTGTGTTCTGCTGGACTGATAAGGAATAAGGAATAAAATGATGAATTCATTTTTGGTTAGGTTTAATCAGATTAAACCAAATACAGCTGACCAATAGGCGAATAGATCCATATATGTTTGTCTTGAATATGCAGACTTAGAAACCAACAGTATCAAGAAGTGTTTATAATTAATCAAGATGAGGGCAAGGTACAAAGCTTAGAGAGAAATATTACTGAAGGAGCAAGTGGAAGAAGAAAACCTGGCAAAAGTGTTTCAAAATGAGTGCTCTACAAGACTATAGGAAAAAGTCAAGGGAAGTGATAATTTCAAGAATATTGACATAGGAGGCTGAGTTGGGAAGACCACTTGAAGCCAGGAGTTCAAGACTAGCCTGGACAACAAAGTGAGACTCCCATTTCTACAAAAAACAAAAAATTATTATTCAAGTATAGTGGCATATGCCTATAGTCCCAGCTCCTTGGGAGGAGCAGGAGGATCCCTTGAGCCCAAGAGTTCAAGGCTGCAGTGAACTATGATCACAACACTGCATTGAAACCTTGGCAACCAAGCAAGCCTCTGTCTCTAAAATAAATAAATAAATACATACATAAATACATAAATAAATATTGATGTAATAATATTTTCAAATAATCAGTAAGACAAGTATCACAAAGGTAGGATTTTGCAGCAAAGCCATTGGTGACCTTGACAAAGTTATTTTACTGAGAGAGGCAAACAGAGGGAATTAAAAGTGAGATTAGGAAAATGGAGTGTAGACTATTATTTCCACATGCATATATTTGAAAGCTAAAATGAAAGAGAATGAGTAAAAGAAAATGTGGACAACTAAAGAAAGGGTAATAAGTATTTATAAGAAAGTGGAAGACAGAGTATAAGGGAAGAAATTTGTCTGGTCAGATGAGGGGCATCTGTACCTCTAGGACAAGGAAGGAGGGGACATAAAAATATGCAGAGGCTGGGTGCAGTGGCTCACGCCTATAATCCCAGCACTTTGGGAGGCCGAGGTGGGTGGATCACCTGAGATCAGGAGTTCCAGATCAGCCCGGCCAACATGGTGAAACTCCGTATCTACTAAAAATACAAAAATTAGCCGGGTATTGTGGCACGTGCCTGTAATCCCCGCTACTCAGGAAGTTGAGGCAGGAGAATCACTTGAACCTCGGAGGCAGAGCTTGCAGTGAGCCGAGATCGCGCCACTGCACTCCAGCCTGGGTGACAAGAGCAAGACTCCACCTCAAAAAAAAAAAAAAAAAAAAAAAAAGCGGATAACCAGGAGAGGGACTTGAAAATCGAATAATTTTACACCTTCAATTTGATTTTATTTTACTCGTTTAGTTTTATTTTTCTGTAAAGGAAGACACTAGATAATCTTCTAAAAGTAATAGTAAATGTAGATTATATAAGGAACACAATAAAACATGGTTTTGAAATTATTCTGGAAAATAAGAAAGAAAATTGTTTTAGCACAGTAAATACAGACTCAAGCTTTGTTGAACATTGAGAGCTGATATAAATTTGTTGACAATGAAGTCACAGTGACATTATTTCGTGTAGTTAAATGAATTTTATCAGTGTTTCCCAACATTTCTGACATAGAAACAGAAAAGACAACCAGTTGGATTGATAAAGTTGTCTTTTTGTTTGTTTTTCCTGTAAAGTACGAACAAAGGGAAGGGGATAAAACAGTTGACTCTAGTGAGAAATTGCTTGATTAGATAGTTCTTGGAAGAAAGGCTAGATTGTAAAGCAATATAAGAAGAAAAAATACAAAAAAAAGAGTAGATATATTGGGAAAAAGTGAATCTCTAAAATTACTGGATTTCTTGACTCCTGAAAGACTAGGAAAATTCAAGTGCTGTGAATCATCCTGGTGGATATTCTCCCAAAAATATATGCCTGGAATACAGGAAAGACAAAAAGTTGTTGACATAAGAATTATCTACATATTTTTAATAATTAATGTTTTATGGGTGGATAAAATTATGAAAGAGAATGAGAAAGCACAAACCAGCGAAGGTTAATGTTAAGGGGAAATGCCTGTTAATTTCAAATGACAAAAATACAAATGACACAGAATAAATCTTTTTTTCATTAACATTTTGGATCTTGGTCTTTTGTTCCAGATGCAATATAAGATATAGAGCTGCAAAATTAAAGAATGGGGTAAGAGGAAGAAAAAGAACTAGCAGAAGAAGAGAAGAAACTAGCAGGGGAAGCAACATAATTCTATTTTACGAAAGGGGAAAACAGGTATTTCTCAGAGGTGGAATTAGCAAACAATACTGAAGAAGTTATTTGTGCTGTTCACGAACATTTTGTTCTCTACTCTTGGGCACATGGTAAGATAGTACTTACCGCCCCCCTCCCTTTAATTCAAGAAAAGTCAACTAACTTACTTTAGCTAATAAAATGTGAAAAGAAGTAATGTGTCACTTCCAGGTGGAACCTTTAAATGCAGGAACATGCTATACTCAATGACAATATTCCAGAAAAAAATCTGTTCTATCAGTCAGAGTCCAGAAGTGAGAACGGCATAGATAGATCAGATATCCCAGCTGGCCCCCACTGGACACGGAGTGTGAAAATTATGCCTTTGTTTTGTTTAAACCGTTGAGATTTTGTGTTGTTTGTTATGCAGCACAGCCTAGTCTAGCCTAAATATAATAAACGAAATGCAAGCAAGGGGTCGAGAAGGATGAGAGAAATAAAAAAGTCCTAGGATACGATATCTATGCCAACATTTTTTTCAGTGATACCTATTACTTGTCAAAACTAAGACAAACTTCATATCAAGGGCTTTATATTTCCACCTTCCTTTGGTATTTAAATTTTTGTATTATATTACTTATAATTTATAATACAAAATATAAATTTTGTATTATATTACTTCTCGAAGTTTATCTAGTCTCAAGTTTGATAGTAAAATACTTTGCTATTGCTGAAAGTTTTCCTCCTTTTATCCTCTAACGTATTGTGGTTGCTGTAATTTATGGCAGCTGAAATGAAGTATGTTGACATAGAGAAACTCTTCAAATTTGGAAACTACTCTATAAATGGAATAAATTTACAAGAGAATAAGTAGCTCACCAATGAATATGTTCAAGGTGAAGCTTGATGACCTTTTATGAGTAGGAATACTACTATTTAATAAACAGCTATCGTGTGTTAGATAACATATTGGGTGCTTTATTGATGCCATTTTATTTTACATGCATGGTAGTCTTGAGGAATAGATATAATTAATTTTACTACTGTGAAAGTTTACATAAATTATCTAATGTCAAATAGCTAGTAAGTGGCTGAGCCTGGATTCAACCCTAATATGGATAGTACCAAAACATGTATTCTTGTGTCAGAAAAAGGAAGTATGGGCTGAATGTTCATTTTAGTTCTTACAATCAATATTTCTTTTTTATTTGTCCACATTCATGTCACTGTAGAAGACCATTCTTTGATTTTGCAGCTCAATATTGTATATAGAATCTGGAACAAGATACCAACACCCAACATGTTTTTACAGTAAAATTTCTGTTGTCATTTCCATTTTGAGCCCTTTTCTTAGGAAAAAAAATAACATGAGTTTTTATTTTTTGTTCAAGTTAAAATAATAACTTTCTTTTATAACCTGAATGAAAAACAGTACCAGAAATTCTTCTGCACACTGTGGGTTTGAGTGATCTAGAATTTCACCATAGGTGTCTCTCAAATGAGATTAACTACTTGCAGATAATAATGAAGGCACTGTCGAAATAATTTAAATGATTGAATGAAGGATTTGAGAAAGTCATTGTAAGGCATGTAATTTTCTTTTTCTCTTCTCGGATGCATGAATATAATTCCTTGAATATAAAAGGAGAGGAAAAAAGTATAGTACCTTGAAATTTCCCATATGAAACTTGGTACTATTTCAATGGCAAAAATACCCTGCAGCAAACACTTTTTTCACACAGCCTCCTTCTTGTCATGTTATTTTTGGAAGGTAATGATTTATTAGAAAATGTCTACAGTATGGAGCCTAAATAAATCAAGTTAGCTGGACGTTAAGGAGCTATAATAGTCAAATATAAAGGTAAACTCATAAACTTTTGTCATCATCGTTTCAGCCTAACCCAGGGATTCTCAAAGTGTTGTCCCTGCACCAGCAGCATTAGCAGCAACTGGGAACTCATCAGAAATGCAAAATTGTGCGTTCCTAACCCAGACTGCTTGATTCAAATCTCTAGGGATAGAGTCCGGCAACCTGTGTTTTAACAAGCCCTCCAGCAGATGCTGATACAGCTAAATATTTTTTGTTGTTAATTTTTGTGGATACTATATATATGTGTACATATATAAAATATAGTATGTATAGTATATATATTGAGTATATATAGTATATATATGAAATATAGAGAGTATATAGAGAGTATATATATTCAAGATGTATATTAATTATATCTACTCCTTAATTAATTAATTAATATCAATATATTAATTATAGCTACTCCTCAAGACTGCCATGCATGTAAAATAAAATGGCATATATATTTTTTTTCAAGCATTTATACTTTGGATTACAAACCATTCAATTATATTTTTAAGTTATTTTAAAATTTACAATTAAATTACTTTGACTATAGTCACTTTGTTGTGCTATCAAATACTAGGTATTATTTATTCTTTCAAAGTGTTTTTGTACCCATTAACCACCCCCACTTCCACCCCACCTCCCAATACCCTTCCCACCTTCTGGTAACCATCCTTCTATTCTCTAGCTCCATGTGTTTAATTATTTTGAAGTTTATATCCCACAAATAAGTGAGAATATGTGACGCTTGTCTTTCTGTACCTGACTTATTTTGCTTAACATGATAACCTCTAGTTCCATCCATACTGTTGCAAATAACAAGACCTCATTCTGTTTTATAGCTGAATAGTACCTTATTGTGCATAAGTCCATATTTTTTATCCATTTATCTGTTGATGGACACTTAGGTTGCTTCAAAACCTTGGCTCTTGTGAAGAGTGCTGCAATAAACGTGGGAGTACAGATAGTTTTTCCATATTCTGATTTCCCTTCTTTGGGGTATATACACACCAGTGGGATTGATATGGTAGTTCTATTTTTAGTTTTTGCAGAGCCTCCAAACTGTCCTCAATAGTACAATTATTAAGGCACAGAGTATTTTTTCTTGTAACGCCATTTCTGTATTCTTCTGCTTTTTGGAGGAAGTAATAAGCTGCTGGGCGAACAGTAAGTACAATAAATACCCTGATACACTTCAGCTCATCTGTTGGATAAAGTATATCAACTTACCAGGATTGTTTTATTTGAATTTATTGTCTATAAGGATGAAAAGCCTTATAATAAAGGTGGATAAATGGATCCCATTGGCATATAAATAACTGCTCAATCAAGAAAGCTATGGAAAAATAAGTTTGTTTTCCACCATCTGGTGCATCAGAGAATATTATCAAGGCAGCACTAGGTGGTGGTGGGAAAATATTCATTTCATTTCCATCCTTGAGAAAACAGTAGCATTTGGAAAACACATTATCTTTGTTGGGCCATCTAGCTAAATACTAGGCAACCTAAAAGGTTTTATATTTCTAATGTTTTTCCACTTTAGTGATTCCCATTGTGTTATAGGTGGGGAAAGTGCCAGACTGGTAAACCTGCCATCTAAAATGTCCTGTTTTTCTATATATCAGAAACAGCACCATCATAAATAGAGCTGAAAACTCCAGTGCTGGGGTCTAGACTGGTAGAAAGTGACTGAACGAAGCTTGAGTAGGGTCAGTTACATTCTCAGAGAACTGAGAGAGCTAGCACCCCAAAACTTAAACCACATTAACCTCCATATCACTTAAATCATCTTACATAAAGTTCTCAAATTTAAGTACTCATACCTTGATTAATCCATTTTTCTTATATAATTTATTCATTCCAAACATTTTAATTTAGCACTTCTAAGTCTCAGGCATTTTGAAATCTCATCATGTTTATGATTTTTTTTCTTGCTGAACAAATCTGTTTCCTTCACCAGACTCTGTTCCTTATAGACATTGTTTCTTATAGTTTCATTGGCATAGAATCAAGTTTTCAAACACATTACAATTTAATGTTTTAACTTGTTCTATTTTATGTACTTTTAGGCCTCATTCTGATGAATGTAAAAAACTTAATGAAATCATTTTTACGTAAAATCTTGAATGGAGGGTCAAGATGGGGAAGGAAACATGCTTGTTCATGTCTCAAATTAATAGCTCACATTTGGAAACTATCTACATCCAATTATTCCAGACTTTTCCAGTTTTGTTTTCAAATGCTTATGGTGACCAGCATCTTAGGTAGTAGAGAGTCCACTGAATGAAAAATTGCTGTAAAGGCAGAGGTTCTAGTCTAAAATCTGGTGTTAATGATGTAAAATATTTCACTTTATTTCAGTTTCCACAAGTACAAAACACTTCAATAGATCTGATAAAATCTATGTTTCCCTCATTTCTAAAGGTATATGAATGTATATTTTCCAAATCCTTTGAAAGTTCTTTTATATGCTTATAAATTAAATTCAACTCTGGGAAACAGAAGAAAAATATGTCAGCAAAAGCCTTACAAGTGGCCATACAACTAACAACTTACATTAATTAAGGATTTACCAGGAGCCAGGCTCTGTGCTAAGCACTTTATATAGATTATCTTGCTTTCTAATCACAAAAGCTCTATCTTTATTTCACATGTGAGAAAATTGAGGCTCAAAGAAATTAACTGTTTCTTGTTTCATAGCTGCTAAGAGGTAGTGCTATGGTTTGAAACCAATCAGTTTTCAGATCTTATACTATAAATCACACTCTACACCTGTTTTGTGCCATCTAAAAATATTTTTTCAAATATATTCAAGTCTGTGTTATAACATTTTTTATGCATATTGCTGTAATTTTTATTATGTAATCTCTAAAGTAAGGTAAGACCCTACAAAAATTATGGTTGTTTCAATCTGCTGGCTTATGAATGAGCTTTTCAAACAGTAAGTTACCTACTCATTAAGTAGTTTATCTAGTATTCAATGGTGCCTGATATTTCCGGAGACTGACTTTTGGTCTTGAAGAATAATCTATTGAATCAGGTAACACAGATATAATTCAAAATGTAAACTCACAGAGGCTAGTTCCAGAATCTATTTTGTGCCTTACAATGGGGCACATTTCAATGTTACTTAATAATTGTAGGGCTAGAGCCAAAAGACAATAGGATGATATTATCCAAATACTAGAGAAAATAGCTATCATATTGGCAAAATGAAAAAATATCCTGTGTTTGTGGATTGAAAAAAAAATTATTAAAATGTCCATACTACTCAAAGCAATCTACAGATTCAATGAAATCTCTATAAAAATTCCAAAGTTAATTTTTACAGAAATAAAAAAAATCCCAAAATTTATATGGAAACACAAAAGACCTCAAATAGTCTAATTTTTAGCCAAAAGAACAAGGCTGGAGGCATCACACTACCTGAATTCAAAATATATTACAAAGCTATAGTAATAAAAATAGTATGATACTGGAATAAGAACAGTACAATTCTGGAATAAAAACAGAAATACGGGCCAACAGAACAGAATAAAGAGCCCCAAAATAAATTCATACATTTACAGTCAACTAATCTTCAACAAAGGTACAAAGAGCACACAATGGAGAAAGGATCAATGGAGAAAGGATAGTCTCTTCAATAATTAGTGTTAGGAAAATGGAATATCCACAGGCAGACAAATGAAATTGGACTTTTATCTCACACCATAAACAAATACAAATGCAAGATGAATTAAAGACTTGAATGTAAGACATAAAATTATAAAACTACTATAAGAGAAAAGCTTCTTGACATTAATTTGCGCAATGATTTTTTGGATATGACATAAAAAGTATAGGCAGCAAAAGCAGAAATAGAAAAATGGATTACATCAAACTATAAAGTTCCTTCACAGCAAAGAAAGTAACCAATAGAGTGAAGAGATAACCTGGAAAATGGGAAAAAATATTTGCAAACCATGTATCTGATAAGGGGTTAGAAAACAAAATCTATAAGGAACTCAAACAACCCAACAACAAGAAAACAAATATTCTGATTAAAATTGGGCAAAGGACCTGAATAGACATTTCTCAAAAGAAGACATACAAATAAATGGTGAATAGGTATATGAAAAAAATATGTCCAACATCACTAACAATGAAGGAATATAAATTAAAACCACAATTAATATCACCTTACACCTGTTAAGATGACTGTTATCAAAAATACAAAAGATAAATGTTGGTGTGGGTGTGGAGAAAAGGGAAGGCTTACATAATGTTGGTGGGAATGTAAATGGGTACAGCCATATGGAAAATATGGAGAATCCCTCAATAAATTAAAAATAGAACTACTATATGTTCCAGTAATCCCACTTCTGGATATATATGTAAAGAAAATTGAATCAGTATCTAAAGAGATAGCTGTACTCTCATGTTCAGTGCAGCATTATTCACAATAGCCAAGATGCCAAGATATGGAAACAGCCAATTGTCCATTGATGGATGAATGGTTAAAGAAAATGTGGCATATATCATAATGACTATGGTTAATACTGTACTGTATACTTGAAATCTACTAAGAGAATAATAGATCTTAAATGTTCTCACCACACACACACAAACACACACACACACACACACACACACACACATATAAATGGTAACTATGTCAGATTATGGATATGTTAGGTTGATTGTGGTTATCATTTCACCAAGTATACATATATCAGAGCACCATGATGTAAACTGTAAATATATATATTTTTGTTTGTCATAAACTGTAAATATATATACATATTTATTTGTCGAAGTGTATAAATAATGCCAACAAATAAAACATCAGCACAATAGTAGAAAAGGAACAAAACTCAGAGTTGAAGTTCATTTCAACATTTCAGAGTTGAGGAAATACATATGTCTGATAAATATGTATGAAATATTCAGTATCATTAGTGACCACACGATGCAGTTTGGTTATGTCCTCACCCAAATCTCATCTTGAATTGTAACTCCCATGATTCCCACGTTTCATGAGAGGGAACAAGTGGGACATAATTGAATCATGGGGGGCAGGTCTTTCTCATGCTGTTCTCCTGATAGTGAATAAATCTCACAAGATCTGATGATTTTATAAAGAGGAGTTCCTCTGCACAAGCTCTCTCTCTTTGCCTGCCACCATCATGAAGGATGTGACTTGCTCCTCCTTGTCTTCCATCATGATTGTGAGGCCTCCCCAGCCATGTGGAACTGTAAGTCCATTAAACCAGTTTTTCTTCCCAGTTTTGGATATGTCTTTATTAGGAGCATGAAAACTGATTAACACAGCAGGGAAATAAAAATCAAGAAATAATAGATACTATATTACTTCTATTTCACTGGCAAATATTTCAGTGGTAAACAATAACAATTCTCAGGACAAAGTGAATGCAAAATAGCTCTTCTACATTCCTGGTGCTGGTGCCCTTTCACTTGTTAGTATATATGCAAAAGAAACACTTGTGCAAGCAAAACAGAATCCACATAAAATAATTTTCATAGTAACTGATCACAATAACTGTCCCTTCAAAACAATTTAAATTATCTATGGTGCAGTGATATAAAGGAATATTTTAAAAACAGTCAAAACTTATCTACATGGAAAAAAATTTAAAAAGTGAAAATGAGTCTAAAATATGATGCCCTATTAATGAAATTAAAAATAAATAAAGCAAAATCATGCTTTTTTAGAATACATATAAATTCAGCTAAACCACAGAAAAAGAAAGAGTGAATGAGGAACACAAGCTTCATAATACTGGCTAAGTCTTTCAGGGAAAGTCAGGACAATGAGTTGCTAGAGAAAATCATATTTACACACAGGTTATTGTTGTTATTGAGTTCCCAATTTTTGTTTTTGGTTAGGTACACAGGTACTTCTTATAATGTTAAAAACGACTAGTTAAATAGCTAAATAAAAGCAAACCGTAAATGGATTAGTGATGCGAGTCTGTTAAAAAGAAAATTATTGTAACGAAAAACAAAGAAAGGTAAGAGGATAAAGTGTGAGGTGTGGGTACTTATCTTACATAGAGGATCACAAAAAGCCATTTTCCAATATGTTGCAGATAAAAAGAAGTTTCTCATAGATCAACCTATTCACATTCCTCTTTGTTCAAAACTCCAAAGCCTCCTCCTTTCTCACAGAAGAAAAGTAATCTAAATTCTTAGAATGTTAACACAAGGCCTTTTACGAACTGACTTCTGCCTTTGTATACAGACTCATGACCTTTGATAATCATTCTACTTGAGTTTGCATTTCATACCCCAGAAATTATTGCAATTTCCCTGAACCCATTATGGTCTCTCATGCCACAGACCTTCACTTTCAATCCTTCTGGTAAAAATTCAAATCGTCTTTTTTGGGATGTCTTCTCTGATTTGCCTAGAAGATTCAGAGGCATCTCATTCTGTTCTTCCAGTCATTCACTTTCTAGTTATTTATTAGAAGCCTACTATATGCAGGTACTAGTTTATATTCAATGCAATATTGCAGCAACTTCGATGTTTTTTCAGTATTTGCATGTATGGCTTCTTAGACTCCAAGCTCCTTGATGGCAATGTGGTTCCATCTTTCAACATCTAAGACAATTTCTGTTATATAGTAATTGGTAGATACTATATTGACAATTTCTCTTATATAATAATTGGTCAATACTATATTGACAGTACAATATTTGTTGAATGAAAACTTGAATGAATGAGCAAATGAATGAATGAGTGAATGAATGAATGTCCTCCTAATAATGATCATAGGCTCAGATCAAAGATTTACCCCTATTGACTGAGTTTCCAATTAGTCCTAAGCCCAACAGAATAAACCTAGTGCATACGTCTCTTACAGCGCTTGTATCCATTCTTTATTTAATAAATATTTACTAAGAGGTTATTTTGTTTCAGGCACTGAAAATGCACTCATAGACAAATAGAGTCTCTGCTCCCATGAAGTTTCCATTAATAAACAATCACAGATTGTGCTGCTGCAATGATTAGTTATAGACTTTTTCTATTGGATACTTATGACTCTTAAGGCAAGGATGAACTGTAACTTATCTTTGGACCTACATTTTTCAGAGCCGATTGATACTCAGTTCACCACAATTGGCTACATTCAGATGAACAGACATTTGGTCTGAGCTGACTGGGTAGAACGACTTAATTATGTATATTCGTAGTCCAAATCCTGGGAACTAATAGATAAGAACCACTATCTTATATTTTAGGTATGGTCATCTCTGAGATACAGCACACACATTAATTAAACAAGTAGAAGAACTGTTCACTAGATATTCAATTCTGAGCATCACATTGTATTTTTAACATGTAAATAAAAGCATTGCATACAGACATTTTTAAGACAGAAAGAAACAAGTTTTTAGCATTTAGAATCAGTTTATTACTTAGAATAATTTAAGATTAGTGAAAGAGATCGTGCTTTTCCACACCTGTACAAATTTGGGGAAAATCACTTAAGCTTTTTTCTCTTTATTTGTAAAAAGTGTTATTGATAATGCCTGACGCAACAACCCCATATGAAAACTGTAGTAAGTGGAAAAGAAGAGAAAGAGAAAGCTCTTTAAATCTCAAAAGGGCAATGCAAATAAGGGATTTCACTGAAATACCAGCCCCACCAAGGCAAAAATTTTATTTTTTATTCACTGCTAAATTCCCAGCACCTAGGCCAGTGTGAGACACAGAGCTGGCACTCAATAAATACTTGTGAAATACCTTCATTACATATTGCTGGCATTAATATATCTATTACAGAATTAAATGAAAAAATAATTTTAGTAAACCCAAAATGTTTTCTTGCTAATTGCAGATCTCCAAAATAAACCCTAAAACTGGAAAAGTTTGAGGAGTTTCTAAATTTGAAACAGATTTATTTTGTCAGATTAATCAATGAGTAATTGTACTACATCTATGAAATCAAAATGAAAATTTCTCTGTATAATATTTAAAGTGGGTTGCAACTAAAGATTAATTAAGAGAAAAAAAGCAGGCAATGTTTTGATGATGCCTATTAAAGTTGAGTGTGTGTGTGTGTGTGTGTGTGTGTGTGTGTGTGTGTGTCCTTAGAGAACATCCCTGTTTAATTCAGCAGCTCAAAAGAAGGTTCTCTTTAATCTTAATGCAGTGCATTATGTTTATTGGCATTACTGAGCATTCAAAGCAGCTCAGTGCAATCTGTATTATTAAAACTTCTTAGGCCAGGAGCAGTGGCTCACGCCTGTAACCCCAGCACTTTGGGAGGCAGAGGCGGGTGGATCACGAGGTCAGGAGATCCAGACCATCCTGGCTAACATGGTGAAACCCCGTCTCTACTAAAAATACAAAAAATTAGCCAGGCGTGGTGGCGGGCGCCTGTAGTCCCAGCTACTCGGGAGGCTGAGGCAGGAGAATGGCGTGAACCCGGGAGGCGGAGCTTGCAGTGAGCCGAGATCGCGCCACTGCACTCCAGCCTGGGGGACAGAACGAGACTGTCTCAAAAAAAAAAAAAAAAAAAAAAAAAAAAAACTTTTTGGCCCCTGCTCTGTTTCTGCGATAACTCATTTAGTCTACTCCCCAGAAAATGGATCTAGTTACCTTGTAAGCCTATATCTTATCTTAGTAATATATTCATCTCCTTCTCTTCCTTTCTAAAATGATTATATCATAAGAAAATTCTCAGCTAGCCACACTGGAGTGTCAGTTCTCAACATGTGCTTCAAGATTCTTCTATTTTTTTTTCACCAATTCTCCATGATCTATTACGCAAGAAACCGATCAATGAAATATTTCTTAAAAGACTTATTATGGTTCTCTATATGTCTAAATTTGGGGGGAAAGTAATATTTGAAGGCAGATTCTGCCTCATTATCATGATAGAGTTGTATGAATGGTGTCATTCTCTCAAGGAAAAACCCTGCATAGTATGAGTCATCATATGAATTATTTATCATTCACAAAATAATATATGTTGGCATGCATTGTTAAGACTAAAGTGGTCAAATGGGAAATGTTACTCCAGAGATGGCACATTTAGTCATTCAACAACTCTATTCTTCAAGGGTGCTTATTACAAGTCAATAATTGAAACAAGTGACAGGCTGGGGCCATGGGTCCCCAGGGTTCAGAATTTTATATTCTAATTCGTACTTTTCTTTTTCCAGAGAAAGCAACGTGGCTCCTACTGGAACAGACCCTGGTCTGAAGTCTATAAAGATCTGGCTAAGTAAGATGAATACTGGGGAGTAGCCTTATGTTTCTTTAGCTTAAATAACAACATTCATCGTCTCCACTACCACCTCCTGGTTGCTAATAGCCTCAGCCAATAACAGAATTACATTTTCTGGAAATTTGGTTTTACTGAAACTAACTTGGGCTGTACAGCCTTCTGCTAGATTGTATTTAATGCTTACTGACTTCTTTTTGACCCTTATAAACAAAACCAAACCAATGAAACCTTCAAACATTACCCTGAAATGGTGAGTAGATGACATCCTTACCAAAGGGAAGGAATTCTCTGCAGAGGTGCAGTAGGCATCACATGTACTGAATAGAATCTGTTTTTTCTGCCTCCTACAAAGCAAAGTCAGCATGTGGAAAGTGTATTTATGTGCAGTAATGAGGCTAGGCAAGCATATCCTGAAGGTGCTATCCAATAAATATCAATTATATTTAATAAATAATTAGACCTGGGTAGTGAAAACGGGGCAGAAAAACATAGAACTAGAATCTAATTAGCATAAAAACTAAGGTACTTGATAATTTGAGTAAGCCACTTACTTCATTTATTTGTGTTTGTCTCCTTTATAAAATAAAATAAGACAATGAATAGAGACAGCTTTGGAAAAGAAAACAATAAAAATCCACAAGATTGGAGTTATTAATGGAAGATAAAAAACAACCTCCATGCCTCACTTGCCTTGTGAGTCCTCAGTGCATATGACCACGTGTACTGGGTGTTGTTGATAAAGATGAACCTGAGTCAGTCGTGCATGAATAAATTATATTCAGAATGCACTCATTGAGATGTAATATGTTAAAAAAAATAGCTCATTAGTGTATTTTTCTTTTGCTTGTGTTAATCGATCCTCTGCAGGATTCCTTCATAGATCTTCTCAGAATTTCTTTTCTATTTGCAAAGTTATTTACGTTTGTTGTTTCTCCCATACTTCTCTGTATGGTCTATGAATGTAGGGACGGTGTTGCTTTGCTCATCTGTCAATCTCAATGCCTAGCACAGTTAGTGGATATTACTGTCTAATGTCTTGCTTGTAATCAAAATGAGAAAACAATAATGATATCCTGAGAAGAGGTATTAAACCTCTATTTCTAAGTGATAAGTAATTACCCTAAAGTCTGATAAATATTCAGACATGCATAGTGAAAATACAACAGAAACGATAGAATCAGAATTTCTTTCTAGCTTTGTCACTAACTCACTTCATGCTTTTGACATGACCCTTATTTCACGGTGCTGTTTCTTCATTTGTAGAATAAGTAAGTATTATCTGATATCATATGTAAATAGAAAGGAAGTAGTAGAATTTAAATTGAAAGAAGCTGAGAAAGATACCTGTGCCATCTAGTTGAAAGAGTTGTCTGTGAGACTATGTTTGTGAGACTATGTCCTTTTAGCTTCCATCCCTTTAATAAAACTGCCTTCTCAAAGATGTTTTCATTTCCCTAGGGACGGAAGTTGTATCAACCTTGCTTATTGCTGTATCTCTAGATGTCTATCACAATATCTAGAACAAAGTAGACACTCAAAAATGTTTGTTAATAGAATTATGATAAATAATTGCTAAGTTCATTGTTCCTTTATTCACCCTCTTTTGTGTCCCTGAAACATTGCTAACTGTATCAAACACCTCATCCCTCCTGAAATGTCCCTTATTAATAGCATCTCTGATACTACACTACATGTGTTTTAGTCTCACCTCTTCATCCTTTCCTTCTTGCCTTCTTGGTATCTTGGTCTCTTCTTCCTACATCCTCAAATACATGTGTTACCCAAGATTCAATGCACGATTGTCTTCTCTGTATTCTCTACAGGCTAGGTTATGCAACTCATTCCAGTGATTTCCATTAGAAGCATTACCTAGATAACTTCTGGATTTATGTTTCTTGTCCCATTATTGCCACCTCTCAATGCTCAGTCTCGCATGTCTAGGAGATTTCTGGATATTTTCTATCATTAGCCCTCAAATATCTTCAAGTCAAATTGCCAAAAGTGAACTCATTATTTCCTTTTGCTCCCGAACCAGTCTTCCCATATCTTCAGTATCCTTCGCAACAGCAATATTTGTCTTACTAAGCTTCCCTAAACCTTCACAGAAAACCCATTATAAAATCTGGTCAAATCAATTCTGTGGAATCTTTATTATGTGCCTCTTTTTCTCTTTCCACTGTCACATCCTAGTTCAGACAACTGATGCTGTTTGGATTACAGCATTTTCACTGTTGTCACATCTTGAGGTTCTCCCCGTGGGCCACCATTACGATGAAAGGGAAGGGAGAAGGAAACTAGCATGATATGTCCTTGGAATTTTAATCTATTCGAGAAATGCAAATATGAATCGATCTTCAAGATTTTTACTCTTTAATGGGAAATAGGCGTATATACAAAAGACTGCAATAAGTTACGGCAAGTCTAAGACCAAATTATCCATAATGTGTTCTGAGGAAATCACCTAGATTAGAGGGTCTACATGGAGTCAGGCTTTTTTCCCCTCACTCACACTTCTTCCTACCTAGAAGACAGAAGAGCATCTGTATGAGTTGAACCAAGGACACAATTCAGGCACAGTGTTTTTCAGCCCAAACAGCCATAAGGAAGGCATCAGTGACCTCTGTTAGGGTTGTCTTCGTGAAGTAGGGATTAGGAAAGTCAGAAAGCAGTGGGGTGATTTCTGAGCTACACGAAAGAAGTAGAGACAAGGACTGTGGTAGATGCCATGATATACTGCCAGATATCTTATCAGAAATATCATCAGAAGAATCTTCCCCCTAGGTTCTGGGAGTACTGCCAGAAGACACACCTCAGCTGTCAACCCTCTTTAAGGATTGCCTCAGCTGAAGAAAATTATTATGCCCAAGGTCATGCTTTCTTTCTGGGGCTGTGCATGTTCAATGTTGATCAATAGAAGGGTGGGAAGGCCTAGTTTCATTAGCCCAACATGGGCCATTTCAGCTCCAGAACTCCAGAGTCTCCCATAGGGTGACCTGAGGCCTTTGTTGGGGCCACGTCACAACTCAACATCTCTTTATGTCCAACCCAGCTTTATGCCCTCTAGCCTTCCTGTTAGTGAATGCCTCCAAAGGAACCAAACCTGTGACCGCTGATACCAGGAGTGACCCAAGAAACTAAAATGAGATTTTGGAGCCCTATAAATTGTGGTAGGTAGAGTATTGAATGTCCCTGGAGCATAGTAGCAGGGCAGCTGTTAAAACTTTGTTTGATGATGAATTGGGATGGTACGAGAATGAAAGGACATACAGTGGCTGGCACAATGTGTCAAGAGTTTGAGGAATATTGGGGAAATGATAACTCTAAGGACAATGGCATTGGGTGACTATTACTAAGCCTACTTTATGCTCTGGTGAGAAGATAATAAAACATTGATAGTTATTAGTAGGTGATTCAGAACCAACTGTAAAAACCAAAGGGATTCTTATCTCCTGCAGTGGGTTGTCAGAGAAAGATGATGAGGCACAGGAATGTGAGAGTAAGCATCCGCAAGCACTAGAGAAAACAACAATTCCAACAAAACAGGTCTGTTATGCCAAGGTCACGTAATAATTAAGAAAAAAAATGGGACCCTGACACATGGGATAAGAACATTAATGTGGACTCACCTGAAAATCTTGAAACCCTGGATTCCCGCGAACCATATGAGCTTGCAAAAGCAGCTTATTCCTCCTTATTAAGAGATACCAACCCCCCCGCCACACACACACACCATTGATTGAAGATAATTCAGAGGCCTATTTCCTACAAGATAAAATGCACCTCCACTCAGCATCTGCTCCCCACTACCTACCCTTTTTGCCACTAAGCCAATCACTAATGTTAAGTCAAAATATAACCCAGTTGGAGAAACCGTGCCTGCAAATAAAGGAAAGAGACTATATCTAAAGGGAACTACTGAACCTAGCCAACATAATTCAATAATAAATGGGAAAGTACACATAAACTAGATTCTTAGGGTGCTGGATCAACGAGTGTCAGATATACACTTGCATAAAAGAAGGTGCAGTCATTAACCACATAATGACGTTTTGGTCAACTACAGACTGCACATGTGACAGTGGTCTTATAAGATTACAAAGCCAAATTTTTACTATACTTTTTCTATGTTTACATACCCAAACTCCTACCATTGTTTTACAATTGCCTGTGGTATTTGATACAGTTACATGCTGTACACATTTGTAGCCTGGCAGCACCAGGCTACATTATATAGCCTAGATGTGTGGTAGGCTATACAATTGAGGTTTGTGTAAGTACACCCTATGATGTCTGCACAACAGTGAAATTGCTTGACAACACATTTCGCAGAATGTATTCCTGTCATTAAGCAAAGTATGACTCCCTATTGATATGGGAGCACTCTCCTAAGATATAAGAGTCGATACCTTGGTAAGTTGTTCAGGGATGGTACAGGCATGCCAAAAGATGGCTTTTCTAAGTGTGGAAAAGTCACTGTACCACACTAAATTAAATGAAAAACTAGAATTGTTATGGCAGGGTAATAGGCTAAAGAAAGAAAAAGCTTGAAAAAGTGGGCATGTTAAAGTGGGTATACTATAAAAGACTACAAAAGTCACCAGAGAACAATATTCAACAGGAGAACCTAGATGATACACCATTTACACAAGCAATAAGGAACGTGCTAGTGAGAGAGTCACAAAGATCACCACATTCAGTGGTGTGGGCCAAGGCTCATGGTGGAAGATCCCTTACCCAAATGTTCTACTAGTAATAAAAAACCTAAAAGATCCCCCAAACAAGACAGGGTAGGTGGCATCTTACTTCTCAGAACTAAAATGAGTTCAATTATCAAAATGAGTTTTAGATAGCAAGAACTTGCCTCTCCAAAAAAAAAGGAAAAAAAAGAAAAAATTAGCCAAGTGTGGTGGTGTGCAACCATAGTCCCAGCGACTTAGGAAACTGAGGTAGGAAGATGGCCTGAGCCTGGGAGTTCAAGGCTACAGTGAGCCATGATCACGCCACTGCACTCCATCCTGGGCAACAAAGCAAGACACTGTCTCAAAAAAAAGAGAAAGTCAAAAGTAGTAACAAGATGGCAGAGACCATCTGCAGGGCCTGACCCTCTGAGAATCATGGAGGTAGTTAATAGAGCAAAGTTTTCATTAAAGCAAAATAGATAGAGAGGCATTAATGGTACTGCCCAACCTGTGCAATCAGGAGCAATGAAACAGAAAAGATTAGGAGGCAAGAAGCAATTGTCCCCCAAAGAATATCATAATCTTTTTCCCTCATTCCAAACCTGAGATAGATTTTGGACCCAATACCAAGTACTGAACTCACCACGCGAGTTGATCAGCATTGCACAACTGGTAAGTATTAAAGAAAGGTTTTAAACAAATTCTGATTATGTGATACCACTACTTAACAGCTTTCCCACGGCCACCTCTACTTCTTGCTGTGGCCTCAGAAGGCCCCTGGAATATGGTTTCAATTTATCTATTCAGAATTGTTTTGTAGATGACTTTTTCACAGTAGGAACACTTTGGTTATACTGTACTCCTCAAATCACCTTCCATGATTGCTTCCAAACTCCTCCCTGTTCATTGGCTCCTGCCATCTTCTCACATGGAGCATAATTTCTCCAACGAAGCTCAATCAGGAGAGAAAAAAATGAAGGCCATCTCTTTCATGAAAACCTGTGAGGTTTATGAACAAAAAGTGATTATTCCCACGTTTAAATTATTGTCATACTTATACCTCTCTTATGAGACATTGCTGTGCTTGAGTAACAGTACCAGATGGTAAGTTCTGGGAACAGAAGGTCTTTACCTAAGCTCCACACATAGTATAGAAACCACCAGTAGTAAATTACCAATAAATATGGTCCAAACAAATGACTGGTGGATAAATAAGCATTGTGTGAAAATATAAAAGCTGTGTACAAATAAAAAATATTATGATCTATGTTTTAAGCTCTAAAGATTTTATTCAGCAAATAAATAAAATAGACTCTCACCTGAGACAGACCCAAATTTAAATCCTTGTTTTATAAGATTTGCAAGATAATTATTTCCTCAGAACTTCAGTCCCCTGACTTATCAACCCATATAGGGTCCCCACTAACTCTGAACGGAATACATACATTGACTTATCAGCCCAGAAGTTGCTCAAGAAGACGTATCTTCTTCTATATGCTTCACTCTTCCTCTCTTTAACTCCTTTAACTTCCCTTTGCTTATGAGAACATTTATAACTGAAAGTACATGTATGTTGGTTTTCATGAATCCAAATGTCATATATAACAATCGGGGTACCATCTGGTATTCATTTCTATATACAAATGATCATGTTAATCTATGACATCATACAGATATTTTAACTTGCTGTGTATCTTTTTTTAAGTTTATGGAGTAAAAAGTCTGCACTAGATGATCTGTAAGGCCCCTTAATAATGTCTATAAATCTATACAAAAAAGGTCATCCTTTATATCTCTGGCATTAAGATTTGCATATTGATTCATAAAGAATCATAAGCCTATAAGTAGAAAAACACAGAAGTGTAAAAAAATCAGCTAAAAATAAAGTAATTCTAAGGTAGCAATAGGCAAATAACCATAACAATGTTCACCAACTCATCTATTTCCTTTTGAGATTATCTATGTTTAAGAGGTGAAAAATCCAACCCATTGCACTAGAAGCATTGTGCTACAGTATTTCATGAGGTTCTTTATTGCCACTCTATATTCCTAGCAAACTAAACAGGGAGCAAAAGCAGTCACTTTTCCAGGCTCTGTGCTCAGAGGCTCTATGCTCAGGAAATCTTTTATCTTCCACTGTCAATCAATCCTTCCTTCCTTCCTTCTACTTTCACATTCTTTCTTAAGAACTCTACGAAATGTCTTTTCTTTTTTTTTTTTTTTTTTTTTTGTAGCCAATGCACAATTTAATTCCAAAACATAGGTCAGCTTCTTACTTTGGAATGTTATAGTTTTAATTTAAATTATTGCCAATATTTATTTATTTATTTATTTTTTTAATGTTTTTTTTTTAATTATACTTTAAGTTTTAGGGTACATGTGCACATTGTGCAGGTTAGTTACATATGTATACATGTGCCATGCTGGTGCGCTGCACCCACTAACGTGTCATCTAGCATTAGGTATATCTCCCAATGCTATCCCTCCCCCCTCCCCCGACCCCACCACAGTCCCCAGAGTGTGATATTCCCCTTCCTGTGTCCATGTGGTCTCATTGTTCAATTCCCACCTATGAGTGAGAATATGCGGTGTTTGGTTTTTTGTTCTTGCGATAGTTTACTGAGAATGATGGTTTCCAATTTCATCCATGTCCCTACAGAGGACATTAACTCATCATTTTTTATGGCTGCATAGTATTCCATGGTGTACATGTGCCACATTTTCTTAATCCAGTCTATCATTGTTGGACATTTGGGTTGGTTCCAAGTCTTTGCTATTGTGAATAATGCCGCAATAAACATACGTGTGCATGTGTCTTTATAGCAGCATGATTTATAGTCATTTGGGTATATACCCAGTATTGGGATGGCTGGGTCAAATGGTATTTCTACTTCTAGATCCCTGAGGAATCGCCACACTGACTTCCACAATGGTTGAACTAGTTTACAGTCCCACCAACAGTGTGAAAGTGTTCCTATTTCTCCACATCCTCTCCAGCACCTGTTGTTTCCTGACTTTTTAATGATTGCCATTCTAACTGGTGTGAGATGATATCTCATAGTGGTTTTGATTTGCATTTCTCTGATGGCCAGTGATGATGAGCATTTTTTCATGTGTTTTTTGGCTGCATAAATGTCTTCTTTTGAGAAGTGTCTGTTCATGTCCTTTGCCCACTTTTTGATGGGGTTGTTTGTTTTTTTCTTGTAAATTTGTTTGAGTTCATTGTAGATTCTGGATATTAGCCCTTTGTCAGATGAGTAGGTTGCGAAAATTTTCTCCCATGTTGTAGGTTGCCTGTTCACTCTGATGGTAGTTTCTTTTGCTGTGCAGAAGCTCTTTAGTTTAATTAGATCCCATTTGTCAATTTTGGCTTTTGTTGCCATTGCTTTTGGTGTTTTGGACATGAAGTCCTTGCCCACGCCTATGTCCTGAATGGTAATGCCTAGGTTTTCTTCTAGGGTTTTTATGGTTTTAGGTCTAACGTTTAAATCTTTAATCCATCTTGAATTGATTTTTGTATAAGGTATAAGGAAGGGATCCAGTTTCAGCTTTCTACATATGGCTAGCCAGTTTTCCCAGCACCATTTATTAAATAGGGAATCCTTTCCCCATTGCTTGTTTTTCTCAGGTTTGTCAAAGATCAGATAGTTGTAGATATGCGGCATTATTTCTGAGGGCTCTGTTCTGTTCCATTGATCTATATCTCTGTTTTGGTACCAGTACCATGCTGTTTTGGTTACTGTAGCCTTGTAGTATAGTTTGAAGTCAGGTAGTGTGATGCCTCCAGCTTTGTTCTTTTGGCTTAGGATTGACTTGGCGATGCGGGCTCTTTTTTGGTTCCATATGAACTTTAAAGTAGTTTTTTCCAATTCTGTGAAGAAAGTCATTGGTAGCTTGATGGGGATGGCATTGAATCTGTAAATTACCTTGGTCAGTATGGCCATTTTCACGATATTGATTCTTCCTACCCATGAGCATGGAATGTTCTTCCATTTGTTTGTGTCGTCTTTTATTTCCTTGAGCAGTGGTTTGTAGTTCTCCTTGAAGAGGTCCTTCACATCCCTTGTAAGTTGGATTCCTAGGTATTTTATTCTCTTTGAAGCAATTGTGAATGGGAGTTCACTCATGATTTGGCTCTCTGTTTGTCTGTTGTTGGTGTATAAGAATGCTTGTGATTTTTGTACATTGATTTTGTATCCTGAGACTTTGCTGAAGTTGCTTATCAGCTTAAGGAGATTTTGGGCTGAGACGATGGGGTTTTCTAGATAAACAATCATGTCGTCTGCAAACAGGGACAATTTGACTTCCTCTTTTCCTAATTGAATACCCTTTATTTCCTTCTCCTGCCTGATTGCCCTGGCCAGAACTTCCAACACTATGTTGAATAGGAGCGGTGAGAGAGGGCATCCCTGTCTTGTGCCAGTTTTCAAAGGGAATGCTTCCAGTTTTTGCCCATTCAGTATGATATTGGCTGTGGGTTTGTCATAGATAGCTCTTATTATTTTGAAATACGTCCCATCAATACCTAATTTATTGAGAGTTTTTAGCATGAAGGGTTGTTGAATTTTGTCAAAGGCTTTTTCTGCATCTATTGAGATAATCATGTGGTTTTTGTCTTTGGCTCTGTTTATATGCTGGATTACATTTATTGATTTGCGTATATTGAACCAGCCTTGCATCCCAGGGATGAAGCCCACTTGATCATGGTGGATAAGCTTTTTGATGTGCTGCTGGATTCGGTTTGCCAGTATTTTATTGAGGATTTTTGCATCAATGTTCATCAAGGATATTGGTCTAAAATTCTCTTTTTTGGTTGTGTCTCTGCCCGGCTTTGGTATCAGGATGATGCTGGCCTCATAAAATGAGTTAGGGAGGATTCCCTCTTTTTCTATTGATTGGAATAGTTTCAGAAGGAATGGTACCAGTTCCTCCTTGTACCTCTGGTAGAATTCGGCTGTGAATCCATCTGGTCCTGGACTCTTTTTTGTTGGTAAACTATTGATTATTGCCACAATTTCAGAGCCTGTTATTGGTCTATTCAGAGATTCAACTTCTTCCTGGTTTAGTCTTGGGAGAGTGTATGTGTCGAGGAATGTATCCATTTCTTCTAGATTTTCTAGTTTATTTGCATAGAGGTGTTTGTAGTATTCTCTGATCAACAAAATTGATAGACCGCTAGCAAGACTAATAAAGAAAAAAAGAGAGAAGCATCAAATAGACACAATAAAAAATGATAAAGGGGATATCACCACCGATCCCACAGAAATACAAACTACCACGAAATGTCTTTTCAATGCCATTATATTTCATTGCTTTGGAGTGAATAGCTGAAAAAAAATTGATGCCCTGTCTCTCATTAGCTAGTTACATTTTTGATAACCCCTGGATTTCAAGAATGACTCCCCCAAGAGGAAGTTGCAGGATTAATTACCAATCCTTAGTAAAATTCATATTAACATATAATAAGAAAACAAAAGAAACCAGTTAAGATCCTCATATCGTAGTGGATTGATTAGGTCACATCCAGTGAAGAGTTAAGAATAAGCATTAGAAACCTGTCAACAAAGAGATGAGGAACGAAACTTCTGTGTATTCATTTGAATACATTGAATTCATTTTCATTATCTGAAAAAATGTCACTTTTTAAATTGCAAAGAGAAATTGCACTTGAAGTTTCGTGCTTATTCATTAATATTCTAATCTGTGAATGTATGGAACAGGCAAACAGAAAGCAAGCAGGATTTATGAGAAATGAAGGCTTAATAATGTCAAATATGAATTTTATTGTAAAATTCTTTAGTTCATTAAAAACTAGGCAGCTGGGGAAAAATGCTGAACAAGCACAACTTTAAAATTAACAATTCTTATTGGCAGTGAATGACACCAAAACAGGGAGAAAAAAATGGAAAGATAAAATTATGTATGACAACTCCATTGAATATTAATTATTTATGTAAAAGAATTACTCTTTTTCTAAGGAAAATAAACTCTTTTGATTCATGTTAGTTCTTCTTGGTACCACCTTTTAAACTGGGATTTCAAATATTGTATTCATATTTAAAAATTAAGGAATATAAGGAATTTGATGATTAGCACCTTAAACTTTTCACTTTCATTACATGTTCATTCCCTCCTCCCAGTAAACCTTGCGACAAATTATAAAATATCCGGAATTTGGAAAATTCTCTGGTAATGTGCTTGGAAGAGATTAATGTCTCCATCTGCAAACGTGCATAAAGGCAGCAAGATTCCCAAAATGCTCTGGATATACAAAATGCTGAAATGCAGAGAAATTACTGCATAGTGTTCCTTTTTGGCGCTCAGATTCAAGATGAAAATGGGCTGTGGTTTGATAGTTCAAAATTAAGTTTTGGCAAATTAGATCTAATCATTGCCCTATTTCCAACTCAACTGTCAGCATAAAGTCCTCAGTGAATTCATAGTTCAATGAGCAAAACAAGATACAATATAATATATACATAAACACAAAAATATATGTATTGTTCAAAATTTCATGTTCTCATTTCATTTCAATATTTCATATTGTTCAACATTTCATGAGTACCTACCATGGGCCAGATGCTATACTTTGTGTTGGAGGTTGAAGAAAGGAAATAAAAATATTGATTTTACTCAAGGACTCAACTGGTGTCAGGATTGTGTTAGTAACCATGAGAATAAAGTTATACTCTTTAGTGCTAACAAGTCTCAGAAGAGGAAAAGCCAGAGGAAGAAAATGGATTTGTAAATAGATAGAGATAAAACTTATGTGACTTTCCTGTCTTAAAAAATAGAATATTAAAATAAGGCTGCTAGGGGAAGACATCAATTAACTTAAGAAATGGAAGGGGCCTTAGAAATTATTTACTGAAGTCCATCAATTTTACCAATGAAAAAACGAAATCTAGGGATATAAAATGAATTGGTAAAACTCATAGAGCTTTGCCCATAACTTGTTATCTGTGTAAATTTGGGTAGGTTAGTTACCTCTCTGAGTCTCAGGTTCAGGATCTGTAACATAGCAATAATAATAATGTTGGATTGTTGTGAGTACTGAATAATGAAATATACACAAAGAGGTTGAAATAGTGCCTGGCACATAGTAAGTACTCACTAAAAGTAAACTCTTAACCACGTTGCTGTTGGCAAGAGGGCCAGAACTTGATTTTGATGATTCTGTCAAAAACTCTGTTCATGCCACACTTCCCTCAAGGCATGGGAGTTGACTTTAACACTTGCATAGCACAGCTCCAAAATGGCTCTGCAATAGTATTTTATTAGTCAAAGTGCTTAATAAATATTTAAACAAGGAAAATTATAGGAAAGCAATATTAGAGCCAGAAGCAAAAGTGTGGGAGGAGAGGTCAGTGAGTTTTAGGAAAACAATGAATCTCAAAGTTCTTACTTCATCTAATAGGAGCAGGCATAAATAGGGGATAGACTCACTTTAAAAAACTGTAGGCAACCACAGGGATCACCTGGAGATATGAAAGGAAGAGAAAACGCTGATCTCTTTAGTTTTTATTTTACTTTTCCATCCTCTTTCAGAACGATGAAACAACACTGGTATAGACAAATTGAAATCCAACCTAAGTGAGCCCTTGAGAGAGTACCTTATCTCTCTTGATAAAAATATAATATGCTAGGGATTTTGAAAAGCTTTTATGTTCCTTCACCAGAAAATTATTAGAGCCATTTAGTGTATATAGTATATGGTAGTAATTGAGAACAGAGACTTTAGGGTCAGATAAGAAATCACATTGAACAAAAGCTCTACTCAGTTCTATGTAAGAGGGGGTTAGCAATGGTACCTCCTTCACAACAGATGTTCAAAGGATTAAGCAAGTTAATGTCTGAAATACGTATCACATAATGAGAGAGTCATCAGAAGTACACAAATGTTAATAATTCCAAAATCTATAGTAGATACTAGTCAAATAATAATAATGTTTAACCTACCTGATGATTTAAAAATTAAAATAAAAAAGAAGTGAAGTCTTACTTCTCAAAGTTGTATCATCCAAAAATTAAACCATGACAGTTTTTCAGGAGTGTTTAAAGGCTGGTCCAAGGACAGGGAGAGGGTCAGTGCAGGTGGCACTCATGACGGAGGAGAGAACAGCATATGGGAATAGCAAGAGGGAATATGCAGGAGGTAATATGCGGACAAGGAAAGGAAAGATCACTCTACCCAGAAACTGTACGTGGAACGAAACTAATTCTAAGGAGATCATGTTATCAAAAACTGAAAGAGGGAAAAAAGCCTTAGAGATGCTTTCCTTGAAAAAATATTAAGTATCCTAGCAACACTTCCTATATCAAATTGCAATTTTAATGGATAAATCTGTAACTAAATTAAAATCTGTAGGAGAAAAATTATATTAGGAAAAAATGCCATCACTACAGACATTCCAGGAAACCCAGTGGTTTTGTGAAGCAGTCTTGGGAGAGGCAGGCTACCATTATCCAGAATCATTATAGGAAATCACTGTCAGAAGTGGGAAGGCACTTTTCATCCTGAGCAGGCAGCTTGTCTTGAGGATATCACACCTTAAACAAAGTTTTACCTGGATCTCCCTTTCTAGGAGGGAATAATATGACCAATGCCTCCTCTTAGTAGATGAAAATAAAACCTGGATTTTAGCAGAAAATATCCAAGACTAAACCCCAAATAATGCAAATCTTCACAGATAATATTACACTATAGCAACAGTTGTGTGGTATTCTTGTTTTCTAGGAGCCTATTGGTTATCAATCAATAACTATCTGAAAGTATATGCTGTTTACATGTAAATCTTCAAATCTACTTTTTTTGGAGACCCCAAAAGGTTAATCAGTATTTTTGAAATAGTACAGTTGATGAAGTAATGAAAAATTAGTAATCTTTGTAAATTAACCTTTCACAGAGTTGAGTATTTTTTTAATTAAAGATCATCCATTGAGTGGATTAGTTACTAAGTCATCACCATCACAAGCCCTAGTAAAAAGCGAGAGTCATCACGTGTATTCAGTCTACATATTTATTTTGAGTAATTCTTGTGGCATCATTAACAAATGTGATTTGTCTGCAAAGATCCCAAGCCCTTCCAGAGAGATTTGGGATTTTTAAATCCCGCTCTCAATAAGCTGCCATTTGTATAGCTAAACACAAAGAGAGAGGAGCCGTGGTCAATCCCAAACTGTGATGATGTCCTTGAAGAGGAACAGAAGCTCCTGGAAGCAGGGAAAGCAAGAACACTGTGCCTGCCTTTAGCTAAAAAGAAACAGTTATTGAGGTAAGTAAAAAATGTATCTCAGCCTCCCCAGGAATTTTGTGAGAATCTAGACAAATTTGACAGAGACAGCTGCAGAACTTTATAGTTGACAATTAAGAAGTGCTGAGACTCACTGGTGTAAAACTGCAGCATTAAGGACCTGAAGCTGCAAAAGCAGCTGTAACAGCCTCCCAGCTCAGCACTTTCCCTTCCAGCCAGCCACTACCAAGCCATGAGCAAGAGCCCAGAAGAGGAGCTGGCAAGGCCACCAGATCTGGTATACATTCAAAAAACAAAAGCCACCAGACTGACCTCTGTGACTTTCGAGAAAGTCTCTGCAGATACATGGAGAGAGTGGAGACAGTTGTTTTCTCAATTGATTATGCATTATTATGTATGAAGACAAAAAAGATGTCCAGCATTTGGAGTAGGGGTCAGAAATTTTTTTCTCTAAGGAGCTAGATAATAAATATTTTAAGGTTTTTGAAACAAGAGGCAAACTTGAGGATATTGTATAGCTACTTATATAAAACAGGGAGAAAAAAATCACAAATATTTTATAGAAGAAATGCAAAACTCTATTTATGGACACTGAAATTTGGATATTTGTTGCAAAATACTATTCTTTTTATTTTTTTCCACTATTTAAAAATATGAAAATCATATCTTATCGAGTGTACAAAAACAGCTACTGGGCTGGATTTGGCTCCTGCACTGTAGTTTCCAAACCTCTTATTTATTACATAGCCTAGCTCATAAAAAGTTATTAACAAATGCTACTAATTCTTATTATTTAAAATTATTAATACTTAATAAAATATTATTGCACATCGTTGTTTCCCAATCAGAATTTCTCCTGATCTACTAAGGCATGGTAAGCAATGCAGATGTTCATCTGGATACAACCATGAGGGCTCTGAACCAAAATGCAAACATGTAAAAACAATGCGTTCTCAGGTAAGTACTTAGAATAAGTTGGCATTTATTTCTCCCACAAGCACTCATTAAATGCAAGTATACATCAAGCAGCCTATACTGAGAATTATAGCACAAATAAAACCATATCCTTATCTTAGAATTTCTTACAGACTAAGATTGAGGTTAGATGTATAAATAGGTACATGATAACTGGATGTGACAAGGTGGTAATTGCCCAAGTAGAGGTTTGAAGAAGAACATTGTGAAAGCATAATCCATGAAGAGCTTCTCTCAGGGAAATATATGAATTTTCAGATCAAAACCTGAAGTTAAGACCAATTAAGCTCCATCAGTAGAATTTTAGACTTCAGCCAGATATTTGAAAGGCAGGATTTGAGAAGCATTTTCTCTAATCCTCAAACCATATTAGAGCAATAGGAGAGCTCAGGCAGAGGATTAGCCTTGGAGACAAGGATAGATAATCTTCCTTACTCAGAGAAGAAAAAGAAGGAAGATAGGTAAATAAAGGGAATGGGTTTTGAGGCTGAAAATTTGGAAATCAATGTTATTCTGTTTGGACTGTTCTCAGGAGACAGTAATGAATAAAATAAAAATGATTGGGTTAGACTGCTGTGGTCATATGCTGGCCAGAAAACCAAATCTCATGACTGACAGCTATGCATAGCCTAGCAAGATACAAAGTCATTGCAACCATGTATAGAGATGGGTAACTTTATTCATAGCAAATGGCGGCAATTGGAGCACTGGCAAAGCACTCTAGAAAATCAAAGAAAGAAAGAAATGGGCTCAAGATTTTGAGGATTGTTGATATCAACATGGATAATCACATCTTGTATCTATACAGAGAGAGAGCAAAATATGGGTAATAAACTGGAAAAGCGATCACAACTCACATGCTTACTGCGTCAGGAAGAGGGAAAAATGAACAATAAAGTTTGAATATAAGACAGTAGTAAGCAGGGTTTATGGCAACTACAGGGGGTGAGCCCTGACTAAATGTGTTTATTAACAGATAAATAGGCAAAGTCTACTAGACAATACATCTACATTTAATTTAGATTACCGTAAGGTAAGCAGCATGTCTATTTATTGAAAGCTGGAAGGACAAGGTGCTGTATTCAGAGAAAAGAAAACCACACTTTGTTGTTTTCCTGAAATTCACATTTAACTGGGTATCATTTTATCTGACAACCATAATTACATGGCAAAAATATAGCAGTTTTGCAGGTATAATTAAGCTTTCTAATTGAGAGAGTTAGCTTTGAGTTAATCAAAAGAGAGATTATCCTGTGTGGGGTTCACTTAATCAGGTGAGACCTTTAAAGAAGGTGAAGTATCAGTGGGATTCTGCTGGCCACCAGGGCGAAGGATAAACCATGCTGTGAACTGCTTTAGAAAGGAGTGGCCTCTAGAAGCTGAGAGACTCAGTCCTACAACAAGATAAAACTCAATTCTGCCAACAACCACATGAACTTAAAAGAGTACCCACGCAAGCTTCAGATGAGACCGTAGCCCCAGTTGACACCTTGATTGCAGCCAGACAAGACCCTGAGCACAGGAATCAGCTAAGCAACACCCAGATTCCCAACCCACAGAAACTGAGATGCTAAATTTAAATTGTTTTAAGCCACTAAGCTTGTGGCAATTTGTTACACAACCGTCAAAAACAAATACAGAGAATTATCTCAGAATTTATTAGGGAATTTCAAAATTACAAATTTGAATTTTGAATCGGAGGCTGACTCGGCCATTTTCTAGGTTCGTTGAGTCAAAGTGATGCTGCTATTCTGAGAGAGTGGGATAAGTCTAACTTCGAATCTATGTTTTTCTGCTTCCTGAAAGTGAGGACTTTATGCCACATAGTCTAAAGATTTATACAATATAACAGAGGGTCATCATTCTTTGGTGGCTTAACTACCATCCAATCAGCATTTCCATCATAACTACAAGGGACAGAAATCCCTCCTTGCCCCTGAACATCTCTTGTTTCCCTTAGAGAAGGAAGATTATAGTTGCCAGCAAAACTTGACTGAACATAAAATAATACCCATCTCAAGGATTTAACAGCACTGTACTAAGTTTTTTTTATTATTTTTATACTTTACGTTCTGGGGTACATGTGTAGAATGTGCAGGTTTGTTACATAGGTATACATGTGCCATGTTGATTTGCTGCACCCATCAACTTGTCATTTACAGTAGGTATTTCTCCTAATGCTATCCCTCCGCCAGTCCCCTACCCCTCGACACGCCCCGGTGTGTGATGGTCCCCTCCCTGTGTCCATGTGTTCTCATTGTTCAACTCCCACTTATGAGTGAGAACATGCAGTGTTTGGTTTTCTCTTCTTGTGTTAACTTGCTGAGAATGATGATTTCCAGTTTCATCCATGTCGCTGCAAAGGACATGAGTTCATCATGAGTTCTCACAACTCTGCAAGGCTGGGATTATAATCTGCATTTTACTAATGAGGGAAGTGGTGTCAGAGAGATTAAATGACTTGGTGCAGGTCACACAGACAGTAAATCATGGAGTTGTAAAGTTTCTCATCAAAATCTGTGTATTCACTATTGTGAAAACAACCCTCCATTAAAATACGGTTCCCTCCTTCTTAAGCCTCCATCCACGATCTACCCACACACCATTCGGTGATTCATAATTGGACTTAACATTAGCATTAATCTTATAACCCAGGTTAGCAACGAATTTTTACCTATGCAGTAGGTGTTTTGTAGGTACAGTAGTCTGTCTATGCTCCACAGGTACTTGACACAATAAACATGTGGAAGTCTTGATAGTGGTAAATTTCTCTACCTGAAAATAGGTTTCTGCTGAGTATCTCAGTGCTCACCTAGACCCACAAAGCTTTAGCTTTTGGGTATAAGGAGAAATTAAATGAGCTCTGCAAAGAAAAATTACGAATGATTCCTGTATCCAATAACTACTCTCACATGCCCATGGCTTAATTATCCTCAGCATATTAATAATTGTGTTCACAATTCTTAAGAAATTATATTTTAATATCCTATAATTTATACTTCTAGATTTATAATTCTCTAGAAAAATGAGTAGTGCTTTTGCAACATTTGCTCTGGTAGACAAAGAGCTTAAAACAATAGGAAAACAGACTTTGAATATGGAAGTAATTCAGTAAGCTTGTGTCACATTTTATCAGATCCCAGGAGCAGGGGTGGTATTACTTTTTAAAATAATTTTGTTTACTTAATATTTTATATGCCTTAAGTAGATATTAACCAGCAAGAGAAGCATGTCTAATAGTGTACCAATGTTTTGATAATATTTTAATTCTGAATTTTATATCATGTAAAATATACATTTCTTTCAAAAATTATTAAAAGGTAGAGTAGTCTTGGAATAAATAAGCATATATACACATATAAAATAAATGTACACACACAGATATATCTTTAAACATATATGTGTGTGTGTGAGTGTGTGTGTGTCTGTGCCTGTATGTGATGTTAAATTCTCATGACTTCCCCAGATACTGACTAGTATGGCTTTCAAGTTCTAAATTTAGTTCATCTAATGGGAGTTTGTTGATTGATATAAAATTTACTTTGTCTCAATCCTCCATCCTGTTTTGATTTACAATAAAGCAAAAGAAAGAAAAAAAAAGAAAAGAGAAAAGCGCAAGGGCGCAGAGTTTTGCCTGTTTTACCTACAGGGGCAAAGTGTTCTCTATTTTATCTAATATATTTCAAGTATTGGAATGGTGTCTGGGACACAGTAGATATAGGCTAAATGAATATGTTAAATAAATGGCCTAAAAATTTAATCATTTTTCCATATGTGCAAACTGAGAATAGAAAGAAAAAAATGTTAAAGTGTTAGCAATACATTTGTTTTAAAATGAAAGATAAGTTAGTATTTGTGAGCTTTTCTCCTTCTGGATAAAGGTTTAGCCAACTTGTTTTATTTCAACTGGAACAAATATGAGGTACAATGATAGCAGACTACATGTTGTTTAAGTGTGAAATTGAATCATGTTCAGGGTTATCAGGAACACTATATTACAGCAGCTTGAGGATGGCTGGAAAATTAACATCTCTTTAGATTTTTTTTAGAATTTCTAAAAATGTGTTTTAATAACAAGAGTAACATTTCATGAGTTTTTCTGTATATACTGTATATGTAAAACATCAAGTAATAAAATCTTAATTTTTAAAATAAGAACAAGAGCATGCATTTACCCCGTAAGCATATGCAGCACTAGTTTCTGTTTTAATGTGGAAGCTACTTTGGTATAAGTAAACAATTACAAGCATAGTACTAACTAAACAAGGGTTTAAAAACAAAACAAAACATTTATCTTCCCTTAAGGAACATATTCTCCTTTCTCTAACTTCAGAAAAAATATTGACAAGAATTCCATCATAAGCATTTTATTAATGCATTGAAAAGGTATTAAACCCTACTTAGCTTACATGTGACACTGCAGAAAAAATGGCATTAATTACACCTTAAACTTGAAATTGTAATGATTAAGCCAAAAATTTTCATAATGCCTTCATTATTCAGTGTTGCAACTATTTCATAGAATTCTTTTCTGGTACATGTATGGTGAATTTATTAAGGCAGAGTGGTTCGTTGGTTAGACCATAAGAGTCTCATTTGAAAAATCAGAAATTTCCTCTAGCACTAATTGGAAAGTTAATCCCATAAAATTATTTTAATGGTCAATATCCTACCATTCTGCCTAATCTATCCAAAGGGAATAATATGGGGCCAATGAGTCAGAGGAGTGAGTCAGAACCACCAGGCTGTATGTGGTGGTGGAATCCTGCAAACAATTATTTTATTTCTAGACACCACTTACATAAATGATGCATAAGGTTATAACCCAGCATGAGACTCAATATTTTGACTTAAGAACAACTTTGTTCTTTCTTGCAGGACAATTAATATCTGGTTAGATGCCACTATAAATGATGAATTGCTTCTTAAAATGTTTGTGTGATGTCTTTTCACCTCTTCACTTTGGTGCTTTGTTGAACATAATTTTTTTATGAACCCTTGAGTGCCAAGATAGCAGTAAAGGTGCATTCAAGCACCTTGGGTATAGCCATGGGATATAAACCTAAGGCCAGACTTCTGCATCACAGCCGTAAATGAGATATAAAAAAGGAGGAAACAGAGAACCTGGTTTCAGGATTAACACTAAGATTCATGGTATTTTATTGAGGACATTTTTTGAATATGAGAAAGTTTTCTTTAGATGGTTTCCACTGACTTCCCTGTCGTTTGCATACCTCTTTATGTATGCCCTTGGCATTGATTAGCCTTGAAGTTCATGTGTCTGCAGACCCATATAAAAATGTATTATCTGTCAATATATGTGCTGCAGGGAAAATGTGCAGGCCAAGCTTTCTTATGCTATAAAAAGAAATTAGTGGCTTGAGCTCCAGGGGAGTTTCCAGTCTTCACAATAAATCATAGACACTTAGCTCAGACCTCCACAAACTTCTTCCTCCTGATAAGGCACATCGTACTGTTACTCCCTACTGTCACTCCCCAGTTGCTGAGATGAAGAACATATGAACTCTGGGAAGTGACATTTACCTCAAACAGTTCAAAATAAAGGGCCAGAAATATCCATAGGTCTGACAATCCCAAGACTAGCAATAAATGCCTACAGAACTGGTTAGAGGGAGCAGAATACAGATTTTATGAACAATTTCTTAACAATATAATGCAAAACAAAGCGTTACTCAGAATTTACACATCTGAATAACTTCCTGTAAAACTGAATTATGTACATTTCAAATTAACACAAAATCTGATTTCTGCTACTATTAGGTTGTATTCTAAGATGTCAGTCCAGATTTGAACAGTAAAAAAAAAAAATAATAATAAAAAAAAAAGAGTTTGAGCTCTTTGGGTAATTTCCATAGCATTAACCCCAGTGTTGAAGTACTGAAACCAAAAAGCAAATTCAAGAAACAGGAAATAAACTATTTACATTTGACTAAAGGAGAATATTTACATTTGACTAAAGGAAAGTAGCAAGGGTTACATGGCAATGTGACATGCTTCACAAGACTTCGCTCCCTTTGTAATGAATCTGAAGGTATTTTGAAGTAATACTGAAAGTAATTTTTTGCAAAATAAGATTTTATATAAAAGTGTTTTCTTAGAGAGATAGTAAATAGATAAATACAAAGCAAGCACATTGGCATAGGTATATTGCTTATTTTTATGAAGAAGAATTGGTCTTGTAGTTTCCTGCTCTGGGACAGGCAGGTACCAGAATACATATCTATCCATCTATTTAAGCACTGGCACATTCATTCCAGATAGAATCCTTACTTGAAAATTTCCACACTGGTGGAAAGGGAAGCCATAGCCTCTTCCACTCACCTTCTTACAGGTGGAAAAGACAATTGCAGAATCACTGATGGAATACAGAGCTTCAAAAAATCTTCAGGCAAAAAAAAAAAAAGAAAATGACTCTTGAGAATTTATACTGAAAGTTGCTGAATCTTTCCTGTTAGCATAAGTTATTACTGCACTTAATAGCTTTCCTGAAGTTGCTGTTTTATCCTATAGATGAAACTGTAATGAAAAGGTTAATCATAGCTCCGCAGGGTTTAGGATAGCTGCAAGCTATTAATGGTTTGAATGAAGTCCAGGTACTTCAAACCCTTTAGCATATTGACAAAAACCAGTTATTAACTGGGGGCATGTCCTAGATGCTAACAAGTACATGATAATGTCTACTCTGAACACATTCAGCTTTAAAATAAAACTTGAGAGAGTCAAAGAAATTATTCTGGCACCTATTTATTGCTAGCTGCATAAGTCAAACCTAATACTGTATAAACTAACTAGTATTTTTTTATTGCCTGACAATTTCTAGTGATAAGAGTGCCAGAGCTGAGGTCAGAATGCCTGAATAAGAAACTATGATTTGCAAATTGCTACCTATATGACCTTGGGTCAATTATTTCATCTCAATATACCTCAGTTCAGTTTATCCATAAAATGAAGCTAATTTAAGTACATAATCTTTAGGGCTATTGTGAGCATTAAATAAAGTAATCCATGGAAAGAGTTTACCATAGTACGTAACACACTAACATTCAATGAATGTCAGCAATTATTATTATTGTTAATATGATCATATTATTGAGTTACTCTCCTAGTAGGATGAGAATAAAAGATAACAACTTAAAAGGAACCTGAAACCCAACAGAAAAACTTATTTTTAAAAAACTATACATACAAAATTTCATTATAAATTTGTTCAGGACTGAAATGTATCAACACCCTCATTAGTCTCTAAAATTCTTAAGAAAACTCACTGCCCCTTCGCTATACATTTTACACTGCTGACTCAACTGTCCTCCAATGTGTATAAGGTTTCCATTATGGTTGTGGTTATTCACTGAACCATGTACAGCTTTATCATGATAACTAATGGCATGCATTTTTTCAAATAGTGACACTGTTCAAGGTAGGTCATAGTAGTTGGCTGGCAAGCATAATAGTAAACTGCTCCATTAAACAATGATAACCCTAACTGTGGCTTCCTTAGAGTACACGTTTTTGCATGTTTTCTTTAGAATGGGGCTAGTACCCATTTTTATGTTAATATCATCATAAGGTGTTAACTGTTATTAGCAAAGCACTTTCAAAGCAATAGTATTTATCCTCTTGGATCTGAATTGTTTATTACCTATTATCCATATGTATAGTCTTTCTTACTGAGTAACTAAATTATACATACTTGTGTAATTCTCTCTTTTTTTTTTTTTTTTTTTTTTGAGACGTAGTCTCGCTCTGTCGCCGAGGCTGGAGTGCAATGGTGTGATCTTGGCTCACTGCAAGCTCCGCCTCCTGGGTTCACGCCATTTGCCTGCCTCAGCCTCCCGAGTAGCTGGGACTACAGGCGCCTGCCACCATGCCCACCTAATTCTTTGTATTTTTAGTAGAGACGGGGTTTCACCATTTTAGCCAGGATGGTCTTGATCTCCTGTCCTCATGATCCACCCACCTCGGCCTCCCAAAGTGCTGGGATTACAGGTGTGAGCCACCACGCCTGGTAGTTCTCTTAAGTGCTTGCTAGCTTCTCACATTTAATGGTGCTTTTTTCTATGAAGCTCAAGCAAGCAGCTTAAAATAACAAATGAATGGATTTACCACTACAGAGAATCAGCATCATCAGGTAATGATAAATGAACTAATGATATTTCAGTCCTGAACATAATATTTGTCTTCCCCAATGCCAATCACTAATTGAGAACCACAAATTCATTTCATTTGTTTGTTGTGAGAGATATTCTCTTCAGTTGCCACACCCCTTGCTTAGAATGTGCTAGGATAAGAAATAGGACTTTGAGAAATGCAAGGGAAAACAGACCAAGAGGCATAAACTTTGACCTTAATTATTCTCAGGGGATATATTAAAGCTCGCGCATCTACTGATTGTCTTGTAGATAGAACATTCTGGAGCCAAAGCTCAATGAACAGACTCTCCCTTCCCCTCTTACATTGCCAGATTCAAAGCTTTGCTGTCTCCTACTCAAACCCATGTCAACATAGACCTGTCTAGAAAAGTAAGACTAGATGACAATAAATGGTAGACCATTCTACCTAAGACAGAGAAGGGAAGGTCAAGCAGCTCCTTGCAAGGAGTGGAAGGGAGTGAGTGATGAGGGAAAGAAGAAGAGATTGAAAAAGGATTAAAGAACTGCCAAAGTGGAGTTAAGGAGGAAAAAAAGCTAGAATGTGGAACAGACCAGAAGAAAGTGTCCCATGAGGTAGTCTCAGGTGGTATGAACACTTCATAGCTAAGGAAAAGCTGAATAGATGGAGGAAGATCCACCAAACTGACATTACTTTCACTTCGTTGGACTTAGATTGTACTTTTATTTGCATATAAGGTTTTTAAAACAGTTATCTAGTTAATAATCCCTCTAGTTGGACCCTAATTCAATATGACTGGTGCACTTATAAGAAGACGAAATTTGGACATAGTCAAGTGACCACACGGAGGAAAGACTATATGAAGACAGAGGAAGAAGCCAAAGAGAGCAGCAGCTTCGAAAGAAAACAAACCTGTGAACACCTTGATTTTGGATTTCTGGGCTCCAGAACTGTGAGTAAATAAATTTATGTTGTTCAAGCCACTCATACTCTGGTATTTTGTTGCAGCAGCCGTAGCAACTAGTACACATGGGATCTGATGCGTTTTTGTCTAAGTAACAGTAATATCATTTTACAATAGACATTACCACTCCATTATTCAGCTGTTAATACCTGGTGTGGGAATTTAACAAATACAGAGCACTACTATGTTTCAAGTATTGTGATACATGCAAAGGATGCAATGGTGAATATGACATTTTCTATGCTTTCAAAGTGCCTACAGTCTCATTGGGGAGATATGTGTAAAACCAGAAATTTAAATCAAACCTGGTCAGGGCTTTATGTACAAAGTGTGTAGGAGAATCAAGGAGCAAATAGCTGCCCAACCTTAATTGTTGAGGAAGACTCTGTGACATGGTGTGACAGAGAAACTCTCTAGTTAAAGTGCTCTCAGAAAGGAGATTGAAAAGCAAAGCCTAAAAGGTAGAGTTTCTGCTGCCATATGTAAAGATTGTATAAGTAATAGAGCTTTAAAAGCCTAGAGATTTAAAAGCTCTAATATTATTCAGGCTCAATATCTCTTGATGAAGCAGTATTTTGATATTTAAAATGTTAATAATATATGTTTTTACGTCTCTTGAGGCAATTCTTAACTCCTGTGCATTAGGATGTACTCTTGGCAGCTAACAGAAGCACCTGAATCACAGTTATTTCAAAATATATATGGGAACATATTGACTCATGCAGGTCAAAATCCCAGGCACATGTTTACTGCAGACACAGCTCCATTTAGGAACTCAACTGATAGCATGAGTACTACCACCCTCTCTCCCTTCTCTCTCTGTAGTCTTCTATCTATCTATCTATCTATCTATCTATCTATCTATCTATCTATCTTTCATGTATCTATGTATGTATCTATCTATCTATCTGTCTGTCTATCTTTTGACACTGTTTTCTTCTGGTTTATTTCATTCACATGCAATCTATATCACTACTGTGGCTCCTGGCACCCCTAAGTTTACCACATCATACTTAAAACTAATGATCCCCAAAGGCATAGAGCATCTCTAAATAGATCCACAAATTGTGATATTCTCCCTCAGACACTCATTATTTCACCTCTTCATCCTGAACCAAATGCTATGGCTAATGGGATAGCATAGAATTATTGATCAGACCTGGAACAGTCTCCACTTCAGGAACTGAGGGCGTAGAGCAGACAAAAGTCTAAATCCCACTTGAATCACATGGACTGAATTAAAGGGTGGTCCTTCAAAGAAATATTGTGGTGATGTCTAAAGTGTAATGGATGATGTATGGGAAAAAAATAGTTGATGTGCACACTACTGAATGTAGAGTTATTTCTATTTTACATGTGTGCATTGACTGCTACACAGACATTTCCTTAATATGTTCTATATTAAAAAATAGCAAAGATGCATGTAATATGTTAGGTGTACCAAGCACTTTTTAAGAGAACTTTACACATATTAATTCATTTTAAAAATGCACAGCAAATGTATAACATACTTTTATTAGCCCCATTTTACAGATAAAACATTAGGCCACCAAACAGTTAAGTGACTTTGCAAGAACATATAGCATAAAGGAAAGAGTCAGAATTCAATACATCTTAGCTTCTGAGTTCATCTTCTCATTCAGCATATCAACACTTCCTGTAGGTGGTGTTCAATTAATGTGTGATTAATAGTTAAATGACTAGAGGCAAGATAGATACAACTTCAGCAGCAGAACAATGAATTGAATCCAAAATTCTTGATTATCCCTCAATGATTTTATTCATACGATCTTATTGCTTTGGAATGATTAACTTCAATATTCATCTGATTTAATATTTTTTAATTTTCTGACTCAGAGTATCTTTTCATTGGTATGCATTCCATCCCTATTTCTGAATGAGAAGAGAATTTTTCTAACCAGTGTATCATTTATTTATTCAATCTCTTTTGGCTCAAGACACTCTTCTAAAATCTCCAAGTGTCTAGGGAGTTGTAAATCAGGATGCTAATCTGTGAAGTTCATTTTATCAAATGTTAACAGTACTGTCAAAATATTAAAGATGTGATTTAATACCTTGTTAGAAATATATTTACAAATGGTAAATTTTCACAATATTCAGGCTTCCATCTGCAAGAAAATGGTACATGTAGGGGTAGGTACATTTTGCTTTCCGTGTAAATTTAGTTGTGTTTTCTATAATAGTTCAATAGGACAATTTCCATTTTGAATCAAGTTTAGTCTTGTCCCCTGAATAATTTATTGCATACTGAGCCTAATTAATTTTAGTGTTAGAATTGCGCATTAACAAATATTGGATCTGTAGACACACACACACACACACACACATGCACACACACACACACACACAATTGGGACCCACTTAAACTAAAGAACTACTGCACAGCTAAAGAGAGTATCAACAGAGGAAAAAGACAACATGCAGAATGGGAGAAAATATTTGCAAGGTATGCAACTGACAAAGCATCATATCCAGAATCTATAGTGAACTTAAACAAATCAATAAGAAAAATAATAAATAACCCCAATTATTTATTGTGGAGAAGGGACATGAACAGACACTTCTCAAAAGAAGTCATACAAGTGGCCACAAACACACACACACACACACACCCTCACCTAGTGCTTCATAGCTATCATGCCTCAAACCTTTGCTTAACTGGCATTGGCTCAAGAGTATCAAAGTGATGATTTGTCAACTGACTTTAGGAAAGAACCAAAAGTATCGACATAATCTAGTTTGAACTAGATAGAAGCAACTTAAGTTTTCCCTTTCTGCTAACAGATTTGCCACATGATAAGACCAAGCTCAGGGTTCCATAAGCGGCCTCTGCTCTCCAGAAGCCAGACAACAGACAAATTGATCTTCTAGTATCCACAACAGTGTAACAGATAGCCCAAAAACTGTATAATAGTTGAAACACACAACTAGAGAACCCTCAGCTATGTATTTCTTTATTTTTTTAAAGAATATAGTAATTCACCAGGTTAAAAAAGCTATTCTAAAATTCAATGTTTTATCTGTAAAATGGGGATAATAAAAATACCTTATACATTTGTTGTGAATTTTAAATGAATTAATATATGTAAATTCTTTTATTTATTTATTTATTCATTTTGAGACAGAGTCTTGCTCTGTCACCCAGGCTGGAGTACAGTGGCACAAGCTTGTACTTACTGCAACCTCCATCTCCCAGGTTCCAGTGGTTCTCGTGCCTCAGCCTCCTGAGTAGCTGGGCTTATAGGCATGTGCCACCACGCTGGGCTAATGTTTTGTATTTTTAAGTAGAGACGGGGTTTTTCCATGTTGGCCAGGCAGGTGTCAAACTCTTGGTCTCAACTGATCCACCCAATTCAGCCTCCCAAAGTGCTGGAATTACAGGCGTGAGCCACCTCACCTGGCCCAAGTTCTTTTAAAAAGTTCTTGGCACACACAACATATTACATTCATTCATCTTTGCTTTTTTTTTTTTTTTTTTTTTTTTTTTTGAGACAGAGTCTCGCTCTGTCGCCCGGGCTGGAGTGCAGTGGTGCGATCTCTGCTCACTGCAAGCTCTGCCTCCCGGGTTCACACCATTCTCCCACCTCAGCCTCCGGAGTAGCTGGGACTACAGGCGCCCACCACCACGGCCGGCTAATTTTTCTGTATTTTTAGTAGAGACGGGGTTTCACTGTGTTGGCCAGGATGGTCTCGATCTCCTGACTTCGTGATCCGCCTGCCTTGGCCTCCCAAAGTGCTGGGATTATAGGCGTGAGCCACCGCGCCTGGCCCATCTTTGCTATTTTTAATATAGAAAATACTGAGGAAATGTCTGTGTAGGAGTCAAAGTAAGGTGTAAGATATGTACACATGTAAAATAGAAATAATTCCACCTTAAGTAGTATGCATATCAACTATTTGTTTACTGACCGTATATCATAATCAGAAAAGAGCCTAAATAGCCAAGACAATCCTAAGCAAAAAGAATAAAGCCAGTGGCATTAAATTACCCAACTTCAAATTATGCTACAAAGCTGCAACAACCTAAAGAGCATGGTACTGGTACAAAAATAGACACATAGACCAATGGAACAGAATAGTGACCCCTGAAATAAAGCCACATACCTACAACCAACCGACCTTCAACAAAGTCAAAAAAATAAACAATGAGGAACAGGTATTCTATTCGATAAAAGATGCTGGAGAAGCTAAGCATAAGGAGAAAAATGAAACTGGACCGTCTACCTCTCACCATGCACAAACATTAACACAAGATGGATTAAAGATTTAAATGTAAGACCTCAAACTATAAAAATCCTAGAAGATAACAGTGAAAGTACTTTCCTAGATATTGTCCATGACAGAGAATTTATGACCAAGTCCTCAAAAGCAAATGCAATAACAACAAAAAAATGCCAATTGGAACCTAATTAAACTAAAGAACCACTGCACAGCAAAAAAGAATATTAACAGAGGAAACAGCCCACAGAATGGTAGAAAATATTTGTAAACTATGCACCTGACAAAGGACTAATATCTAGAATCTGTAGTGGACTTACACAAATCAACAAGAAAAATAACAAATAACCCCATAAAAATGTGGAAAACGGATATGAATGGACACTTCTCAAAAGAAGTCCTACAACTGGCCAGTAAATATATGAAAAAATGTTCAGTGTTACTAATCATCAAAGAAACGTGAATCAAAACCGTCTCATACCAGTCAGGATGACTATGCAGCCATAAAAAAGGATGAGTTCACGTCTTTTGCAGGGACATGGATGAAGCTGGAAACCATCATTCTCAGCAAACTATCACAAGGACAGAAAACCAAACACCACATGTTCTCACTCATAGGTGGTACTTGAAAAATGAGAACACTTAGACACAGGGAGGGGAACATCACACACAGAGGCTTGTCGTAGGGGGTGGGGGGCTGGGGGAGGGATAGCATTAGGAAAAATACCTAATGTAAATGACAAGATGATGGATGCAACAAACCAACATGGCACATGTATACCTATGTAACAAACCTGCAAGTTGTGCACATGTACCCTAGAACTTAAAGTATATTATAAAAAAGTTAGAAAATAATAGATGTTGGAGAGGTTATGGAGAAAAGGGAATGCTTACGCACTGTTGGTGGGAATGCAAATTAATTCAGCTCCTGTAGAAAGCAGTTTGGAGGTTTCTCAAATAACTAAAAATAGAACTACCATTTGACCCAGCAATCCCCGTAATTATATACCCCTTACTTTGGGTATATACGCAAAGGAAAAGAAATCATTCTACCAAAAGACACCTGTACTTGTATGTTTGAGACAGCACTATTCACAATAGCAAAGACATGGAATCAACCCAAGTGTGCATCAACAGTGCACTGGATAAAGAAAATGTGGTACACATACACTATGGAATACTATGCCACCATAAAAAAGAGTAAAATCATGTCTTTTGCAGCAACACAGATACAACTGAAAGTCATTGTCCTCAACAAGTTAACACACAAACAGAAAACCAAATACATGCATTCTCACTTATAATTGGGAGCTAAACTTTGGGTGCATACGGACACAAAAATGGGAACAATAAACACTAAGGAGTTCCCACAGGGGCAAGGGTTGAAAAACTACCTATCAAGTACTATGTTCATTGTTCAGGCAATGGGATCACTAAAAGCCCAAACCTCAACATCACCAAATACACCCAGGTAACAAACCTACACATGTACCTCCTGAATCTAAAACTTAAAAATAAAATAAAAAATAAGCTCATTCACCAGAAAACAGTCAATGCGTAACTAAAAGGTGAATGAAAATAAATGCATTTTAAAAGGGATCATGATGTCGATTTTGAAAGGAAAGTCAGTACATTTTTAAATTGCTAACGTGTATATGATATATGCAAACTAAATGAATCTTATTAAATTGTGGTAATCGCAATAGCAATAATATAAATATGTAAAGAGAAAGGTGTGAAGAGCATTCTATTTAAAATCATTGTAAGAAACAGAATTTATAGTGAGTTGATCCTCTGAGAAGAAAGAAGGAAAACAATTAAAATCATAAATTAGTAAAATTAAAATATAGCCAGATTTCAATAATGTTAAAAATATTATAGATGCTCAATTGCTTTCAAATTAAGTTTATGAATATACTTAAACAAATATATGTATTAGGTATACATTTTTTAATTTCAAAATTATAAGAGCCAGTGCTACCCAAATCTCAAGTCCAGAGATAAATCATAGGAGATTAACTCCATAGTATGGTGAAAACAGTTAATCTCACAAACAAAGTTTAATATTTTTTTACTTTCTAAAAACCATCCATAAATATTTTTGTTACTTCAGATGAATATTCTCTCATAGTCTCTTAATTATGCTTGTCTATTCTGATTTCATTATGCTTTCCTTTTCTTTCATAGCCACGTGTTTGACTATTTCTGTAGTTTTCTCTGATGTTAATAGTTTTCTCAAGTGACATCAATGTGCAGAGATGAACGTTTAGAATCTAGTTACCAGCTTCCTTGTCATTTAGATTGTTAGTTTCATTAATTTTCTCATGAGCAAGTCAGTATGAAATTACGTAGACCTATCAAAGAAAACTAAACTCATGGGGCCTATCATTGTTTTCTATATTATTCACTGTAATTATTAGTTCATGTTGTGTACTGTCTTCTGGTATTCAGAATTTAGAAAATGTGGTATGATCATTATCAACAAAAACATCAGCTTTTCAGAATATATTATCATTAAGAAAATTATAGTATATAACCATTAGTTTAAAAGAATTCATGGTAAGTTCTAATTTTAGAGATTAAAAAATGAGCAATAACTGTCCATTCTGGGTTCTTGATTGGCTGTGTTTGAAAAGACAAAATCTTATTAATATGCATCTTAGCATGACTGGAAAAAGAATTGTAATAGTTGAAGACACTGAAGAGTCAACATTAGACAGCCAGAGAGGTTGCCACATTGAAAGATTTTAACAAAAGGCACTAAATAAAGGATTAGAATAAATTTCTACAATAAGTATAACTAAAGTATATATAATAAAATCATGTAACCAGCAATTTTTTAAATGGTCAAAGGTGCACTGGCTGAGGAAAAAATAAGCATATACAATCTTTGAAAGACAAATAAGAAAAAAAATATGTAGTGCTGTCAATATTAAGCTAAAACCCCTGATTAAAATGCATGGATTTCTAGCTAACTTGCTGTGTAACTTGAAAACATGAATTGTCTTCCCATGGTCAGTGTGAGACCAGGAACCTGGTCAGGCCATCCAGGGCCAGTGAAATCTAGTGAGAAGCAGAAGAGTCAAGCAAAAGACCACACAGTATGGAAATATATGAAGAAAACAGCAACATTGCTAGAAATGTCTTGAGTCTGGTGCCTGCTTAGAATACTGTTAAACATAAATCAAAGGTTTAAAAAAAAGTCCAGAGAAAGATAAATAAAAATTATAAGAGAAAATCAATAAATACTGGTAAGAAAAAATTTTTGAGCATGTTTATGTGCTGGTTATTGTGCTAAGTGTTTTTCTTTATTATATTTTGGCACTAGAAATAATTTATTTAAAACTAAGTACAATTTCTGGCACATAGTAGGGCTCTATAAAGGTAGAAGTAGCCATCATCATTATTATTAATAATCATACCTATTGCTATTAATTTTTACTGGAATGTAAAGATATTAAGTATGTAATGTAAAGTAATGTAAAGATATTAAGTAATGTAAAGATATTAAGTAATGTAAAGATATTAAGAACAAAGATGTGTGTGGGAAGGAGTAGGATTTAAATTATTAAAGGCCTACAATGTGTGATATTTTTATATCTTTTAATATATGTCAGCTTAAATAAACTATGGAATGTAAGACTTTAGTATCCCAATTTTATCTCCTTCCTTTTTTTATCATTTATTATCTGCTTAGCTTGCAAATATTTGCAATTGAGTTATAGAAATTGATATAACTCAAAATAAAATAAATATGTCCAAATACATATATATGTATGTGTGTGTATATATATATATATATATGTATATATATATATATATATATGTATATGATGTCAACAAAGGGAAAATAATAGTGAAACATGTTAAAAGTAAAGATTTAGATTAAGAGATCTGTGCATGCAACATACTCAGCTAGAGAACTGTAAATTCTGCTCTGAACTTCCATACATCCATAAGAAAGAATTAAGGGCAATCTTATAGGAGTTCTTGTGTATGCATAATAAAAACAAACTAGATAATAAATATACACTTATGTGTTTCTGATATTTTAACTGAAGACAGGACAGAGTAAGAAGAGTAAAAATATTCTGCTGCATCTTCACTCAAAAATCTCACCAACAATGAATAAATGAAATGCAAAATTCTTTGTCAGTAAAAGAAGCAGAAATTCATATCTCTGAAACACAATTTGAAAAGATAGAAGGCACACAAAAAATATAAAGCAAGAAATTAAAACATACCAACAGAGAAAATTACTTGTACAGAAAGAAAGGAAGGAACAAAGACTACAAAACAATCAGAAAGCAAACACAAAAAAATGGCAGAAATAAGTCCTTATCAGTAATAACATTGAATGTAAATGGACTAAACTCTTCAACCAAAAGATATAAAATAGCTGAATGTTTTAAAATAAAAAAAGGAAATCCAATGATCTGTTGCCTGTAAGAAACACATTTCACCTATAAAGACACACGTAGATTGAAAATAAAGGGATGGTAAAAGATAGTCTATGCAAATGGAAACCAAAAGACAGCAGGAGTATTGATACTGATATCAGATAAAATAGATTTCAAGACAAAAACTGTAAAAAGTAACAAAGAAAGTCATTGTACAATGATAAAGGAATCAATTCAGCAAGATGATATAACAATTGTAAATATATATGCACCAAACATGAGCACCCAGATATATACAGCAAATATTATTAGAGCTAAAAAGAGAGATAGACCTCAATACAATACAAGTTGGAGGCTTCAACACCCTACTTTCAGCATTAGTCACATCATCTAGACAGAAAACCAACAAAGAAACATCAGACCAAATTTGCACTGTAGACCAAATGGACCGAATGGATAGTTATAGAACATTTCATCCAGTGACTAGAAAATACACAATCTTCTCCTCAGCACAGATCATTCTCAAGGACAAACCATATGTTAGGCCACAAAATAGGTCTTAAACTTTTTTTAAATTTGAAATCATATCATATCAAGTATCTTCTCGGACCACAGTGGAATAAAGCTAGCAATCAATAACAAGAGAAACTTAGGAACTATACAAACACATGGAATTTAAATAGTATGCTCCTGAATGACCAGTGGGTCAGTGAAGAAATTAAAAAGTTTATTGAAGTAATTCAAAATTGAAACACAACATATCAAAGCCATTAGGATGCAGCAAAGGCAGTACTAAGAGGAAAGTTTATAGCAACAAGTGCCTACATCAAAAAAAATAGAAAAAAATTCAAATAAACAACTTAATAATGCATCTGAGAAAAACTAGAAAAGCAAGAGCAAACCAAACCCAAAATTATTAAAAGAAGAACAATGATAAAGATAGGAGCAGAAATAAATGAAATTGAAATCAGAATAATAATACAAAAATCAATAAAACAAAAATATGGTTTTATAAACATTAAACAAAATAGAGAAAACTTTAACTTGACTAAGAAGACAGAAGACCCAAATAAATATAATAAGAGATGAAAAAAGAAGCATCTACATCTGATACCACAGAAATTCAAAGAATTATTAGAAACTGCCATGAGCAAATACATGCCAAGAAATTAGAAAACCTAGAAGAAATAGATTAATTCCTAGATACATACAATTTGCCAAGAAGGAACCATGAAGAAATCCAAAACCTGAATAGACCAATAACAAGTAATGAGATAAAAACCCACAATAAAAAATCCCTAGCAAAGAAAATCATGGGACCCAATGATTTCACTGCTGAATTCTATGAAATATTTAAATTTAAAGAACTAATGTTAATGCTACTTAAACTATTCTGAAAAATTAAGAAGGGAATACTTCTAAACTATCCTACGAAGCCAGTAATACCCTGATACCAGAACCAGACAAAGCCACATCAAAAAAAAGAAAACTACAGACCATTATCTCTGATGAACATCTATGTAAAAATCATTAACAAAATACTTGCAAACCAAGTTCAGCAACACATTAAAAAGTTCATTCCATGAACAAGTGGGATTCATCCAAGTGATACAAGGATGGCTCAACATACACAAATCAATCAATGTGATATATCACATCAACAGGATGAAGGATAAAAACCAAATAATTTTAATTGATGCTGAAAAGCATTTTATAAAATTCAACATCACTTCATGATAAAAATTATCAAAAACTGGGTACAGAAGGAACATACCTCGATACAATAAAAGCTAACATCATACTAAATGGGGAAAAATTAAAGGCTTTCTTCTAAGATCTAGAAGAAGACAAGATTGCCACTTTCACCAGTGTTAATGCTCTAGTCCTAGCTAGAGCAATCAGACAAGAGAAAGCTATAAAGGGTATGCAAACTGGAAAGGAAGAAATTACAATTATCATCATTTGCAGATGGTATAGTCTTATACTTGGAACAATCTAAATACTCCCCCAAAAAATGATTTGAACTGATAAACAAATTCAGTAAAGTTGCAGAATACCAAATCAACATACAAAAATCAGTAGCATTTCAGTATGCCTATAGGGAACTAAAAAACAATTAAGAAATAATCCCATTTACAATAGCTATGAATAAAATAAAATATCTAGGAATTAACCAAATAAGAGAAAGATATCTATAATAAAAACCATAACACATTGATGCAAGAAACTGAAAAAGACAGACACACACAAATATTTCACATTCATGGATTATTGTTAAAATGTCCGTGCTACCTATAGCAATCTACAGATTCAATGTAATTGTTATTAAAATTCAAATGACCTTCTAAATGAAAGTAGAATAAATAATTCTAAAATGTATATAGAACCACAAAAGACCCAGGCTAGCCAAAGCCATCCTGAGCAAAAAGAACAAAACTGAAAGAATCACGTTACTTGACTTCAGATTATACTGCAAAGCTATAGTAATCAAAACAGCATGAAACTGTCATAAAAATAGAAACATAGACCAATGCAACAGAATAGAGATTCCAGAAATAAATCCATACATCTATTGTGAACTCATTTTTGACAAAGTTGCCAAGAACATACATTGGGGAAACGACAGTCTCTTCAACAAATGCTACTGAGAAACCTGGCTAACATTATGCAGAAGTATGAAACTACACCCCTGTCTCTTGCCATATATAAAAATCAAATCACAATGAAGTAAAGACTTAAATCTATGACCTCAAGGAATGAAACTACTAAAAGAAAACTTTGGGTGATAAGCACTCCAATTATAGGATGAATACCCTATTTTACATGAAAAAACTTTGAGGGGAAATATATCATATTCTTATCAACTTTGCCATAAGCACCATGTTAATTTTCTCGATACTTTTTCTTTCTTCTTTTTTTTTGAGACAGAGTCTTGCTCTGTCACCCAGGTTGGAGTGCAGTGGCACAATCTTGGCTCACCTCCACCTCCTGGGTTCAAGCGATTCTCCTGCCTCAGCCTCCCGAGTAGCTGGGATTACAGGCCTGCACCACCATGCCTGGCTAATTTTTTTATTTTTAGTAGAGACGGGGTTTTGTCATGTTGGCCAGGCTGATCTGAAACTCTTGACCTCAGGTGATCCACCCTCCTTGGCCTACCACAGTACTGGGATTACAGGCATGAGCCACCGCACCCAGCCAATACTTTTGCCTTATTTGTATGTCATCGTAGTCAGAGATTAAATTATATTATATTTAAAATGTAATAATAGAAAAGAAAGCATTGGGTAAACTCTCCAGGACAATGGACTAGACAAAGATTTCTTGAGTAATACCTCACATGCACAAGCAACCAACACAATAATGGACAAATGGGATCACACAGGTTAAAAAGCTTCTGCACAACAAAGGAAACAATCAAGCTGAAGAGACACTCCATGGAATAGTGGAAAATATTTTCCAACTAACCATGTGACAAGGGATTAATAACAAGAATATATAAAGAGCTTAAATAACTCTATAGGAAAAAATCTAATAATCCAACTTAAAAATGGACAAAAGATCTGAATAGACATTTTTCAAAAGAAGACATAAAATGATAGACTGAATAAAGAAAATGTGGCACATATACACCATGGAATACTATGCAGCCATAAAAAAGAATGAGTTCATGTCCTTTGCAAGAACATGGATGAAGCTGAAAACCATCATCTTCAGCAAACTAACACAGGAACAGGAAACCAAACGTCTTATATTCTCACTCATAAGTGGGAGTTGAACAATGAGAACACATGAACACATGGACACAGGGAAGGGAACATCACATACCGGGGCCTTTCAGGGAGTTGGGGGAAGGGGAAGGAGAGCATTAGGACAAATACCTAATGTACACAGGGCTTAAAACCTAGATGATGAGTTGATAGATGCAGCAAACCACCATGGCACATGTATACCTATGTAACAAACCTGCACATTCGGCATATGTATCCCAGAACATAAAGTAAAATAAATAAATAAATGAATAAATAAAATATTTTTTAAAAAACATATAAAAATGGCAAACAGGCATATGAAAAGATGTTCAGCATTACCGATTATCAGAGAAATGTAAATAGAAACTACAATGAGATAGTATCACACTAGTTAAAATGGCTTTTATCCAAAAGATAGTCCATAATGAATGCTGGGTTGAAAGTAGAGAAAAGGGAACCTTCATACACCATTGGTGGAATTATAAATTAGTAAAACCACTGTAGAGAACAGTCTGGAGGTTTCTCAAAAAACTAAAAATAGAACCCCCATATGATACAGCAATCTCATTCTAGTATATACTCAAAAGATGGAAAATCAGTATATCAAAGAGATATCTGTACTCCTATGTTTATTGCAGCACCACTCAGAATAGCCAAGGTTTGGAATCAACCTAAGTGTCCACCAACAGACAATGGATAAAGAAAATGTGGTACATATGTACAATGCAGCACTATTTAGTCATAAAAAAGAATGAGATCCTTTTATTTGCAACTACATGGATGGAACTGGAAGACATTATGTTAAGTGAAATAAGCCAGACACATAAATACAAACTTCACATGTTCTCACTCATTTGTAGAACCTAAAAATTAAAACAATTGATCTCATGAAACTAGAGAGTGGAAGGATGGTTATCAGCAGTTGTGAAGGGTAGTGGGAAAGAGGAGAGAAATGAGGATGGTTAGTGGGTTCAAATATATAGCTAAATACAGTGAACAAGATCTACTCTTTTACAACACAACAAGGTAACTACATACAATGATAACTTGTATGTTTCAGAAAAACTGAGGGAATACAACTGGAATGCTGTAACACCAAGGAACGATGAGTGCTTGAGGTGATGGTACCCCATTTCCCTGGTGTGATTATTACACATGGTATGCCTGTATTAAAATATGTCATGTACCCCATAATTATATATGCCGACTATGTATCTATAAAATATTTTGTAATATATACAAAAGTCAATTCTCTACATTATACTCAAAATGTAAATCGACTCTAATAGACAAGCATAATGTATTAACACATGTAGAAAAATTAAAACTTAACTCTCAGCAAAATTATTCATTTTAAAGTTTTAAATGGCAACACCAACCTCCTAGGAGTAGCACATCTTTTTACTTACATAATCATATAACAAATGAAAGTTATAATCTCCTTGAAAACAAAAAATAAGCCCAGACTTAAAATACCATAGAGAAAGGCAACTCAGGCTTGGCAGAATTTTTAACAGTAGAAGCATGTATGCTATTTCCAGGAACAAATAATGTTTTGGTAGTCAGAATCTCCTCTGGTACTACTAAAACTATTAAGCTAAGTAAAATTAAATACTTTTGACATCTATTACAACTACAAGAAGTAACAGAATAGTAAGTTGACCTTTAAGTCAACTTAATTTACAGGATGGTATCAGGATCAAAATGTTTCTGAAGAGGAAATATGCATGTTTCTTGTTTACTTATCAATATTCTTTCTACTTTCTCACATCAAAGAACAATTATATTTATCTAGGAACCATCAATTTCAGCCAATTCTCAAAAAAATAAACTTCCACTTGGAAGTCAAAAAGATTTAAAAGGCCCATAAAGGAAAACTAAACCACTTAGCAGAGATGAGATTCAAACTAAAGCAAAACAAAAAAGGCAATTCACTTTTGCTGGCCAAACCCTAGAAAGGCTTAAGAATTGGAAGCACAAGTTAGATGTAAAGGCAGAGAGAAGATGAGGAGGTAAAATAGGCAAATTATTTGAAAGTCTGTTTCAAACATTTAGATATTTACACAATCCCCATCTCCTCTCCCACTGCCCACTTACTAATTCAGGTGACTATTCTGCCCAGTCCTTGAAAGGGAGGAGGAGGTACTTTCTACGAATAAACAGAGACCCCAGGATAGAGGACAGGGTTCGGTGCAAGGGAAGAGAGGGAGAAAATAGCCTCAGTAAGTACAAGTCAGAGTCACCCTTGCCTGAATTGGCTCAGGGCACCAGTTGCCAGACATTTTTTGTTAGGCAGGAAACTGAGAGACTCTTTTCTGGAAAACTGAATCACTTCAGAAAAGAATTCTATGGATACTGACGGGTGAAAAAAATCAAGTTCCTGACATCATAGTGGAATCACTAATCTAAACTACTTCTATCCAATCAAGTTTTTAGTGTGTCACTCTTAAATAAAATCACCAAACTTTTAAGCATAAAAGATAAAGCATAACAGTTAAACAATAATTTTTAAAAACGCAAAATAGAAACAATATAGGTTTAAAAAGTAATATTAACAAAAATACATATTATATATTATATAATGACATTATATTATGTTATGTCATATTATATATAATATCCTAAGAGAGATAAGACAGGATATTGTATCTTTAAAATAAAAAGCAAAATCATACTAAAAGAAGTAATATTCACATAATAATACCTTCTGGAAATGTTTAAAAAATAAGATAGTAATCTTAATAAAATGTGCAATAGATGATGGAAAAGCTAACAATTTACTATTTCATGTATTTGTATATAAAATAGAAGAGAAAGAATAATATAATTTGAGGGACAATCCAGGAGGTTTAACCCAGAGTCAGGAAGAACAGAAAATACTTGTAAGGAAGAAATAAAGACCATTTCTCCAATCAAGATAGACATGACTCTCTGATAGTGACAGGAGGCAGACAGGGATGGGTCCCCAGTGAAATCAAACTCCTTAAGCCAAGGACAGCCTAAAGCCTGAAAAGTGAAATGCCAGTTCTGGATATGGTCCATGACTGGAGTGAGAACTTCCATCCCCACCTTACCCACTCCCTTTCGATTGGTTCCTTCTGAATTATGCCTTTTAACTAATCGAATGGTGCTTTTGCCAAGACCACAAACGGACCAATCGGCCACGTTCTCCCATTATAAGCCCATAAAAACCCCAGACTCAGCCTCACAGATGGCAAACCACTTTCAGGTCCCCTCTCCATGCTGAGAGCTTTCTGTCACTCAATAAAATTCTACCCTGCCTTTCTCACTTTCCAGTGTCCGCATACCTCATTCTTCTTGGTCACAAGACAAGAACCTGGAACTCTCTGAACTGTGAGTGTGAAAAAAGCTGTAACACTCCTGCTCACCTAGCTGCAGGTGGTGGGAGTAAAAGGGCTTGTAACACTCTCTTCCATTCACCAAATTACAGGAGTGAAAAAGCCACTGGGTGCCACTCCCTCAAGCTCACCAAACTATGGAAACAAAGATAAGGGGCATCCAGTACCTTCTGGCATGGGAAGATACCTTCACCAACGGGGTGGAAGCATTTCCATGTTGGACAGGAAAGCCTCTGAGGTGATAAAATTAATTAATGAGATAATTTCTTGCTTTGACTCCCTAAGTACCTCTAGAGAGATAATGACCTGTCATTCAAGGCATCTATCACCCAGGGGACTTCAAAGGCACTAAGCATACAATACCATCTTCATTGTGCTTGGAGATTATAATCTTCAGGAAAGGTAGAAAAGACAAATGAAATTATCAAAAGGAACCTCACAAAAAAGTCTCAAGAGATTCATCACCCCTGGATAACTCTTCTTCACGTGGCCCTACTACATGTTAGAAACACACCTTCAAAGCTGGATTTAAGTCCCTTCAGATGATGGACAGCATTTTCTCACCAATGATTTTCTGATAGACTAAGAAACCTCTGATTTGATTAAACATATAACTTATTTGGACCATTTCCAACAGGAACTAAAACAACTGTCAGAAGCCCAACCCTGTGAACTAGGGCCACCTCTATTCAACCCAGAGGGCTTAGTACTGGTAAAGGCTATTCCTTCCCTTTCTCTCTCTCTCAGCCTGGATTGGGAGGGATCTTACACTGCATTTCTCTCTACTCCCCCAGCAGTGAAGTTCACTGGAATAGATTATTGGATTCATTACGCTTCAGTAAAGGCCTGAGGAACTGATGTAATTACCTCTGTTGACCAAACAGAGCACCCAAAGCACCAGTGTGAAGAAATCAGAGACATCAAGCTAAAGATCATAAATGATAAGTGTCAATAATTAACCTTCCGTGGATATCTTCTTTATAGTCTGGCCTATACTTGCTGTTCTTGACTCCATTCTGTTCATCACCATAAGGTGTCTTTGCCAAGAACCCCTTAACCCTGAATGACCATGGGATCATCTACTCCCCTAAACAGCTATCTCTATTCTAAAATTTACCTGCCCCCCCCTTACAATATTTAATTTCTTTCACCAGGGTGAAACAGCTCTGGCCACGACATTGTTTTCAGAATGATTAGTCTATTTTATTTCTTATTTCTGTTATCTCTGACACTGGCATGGATTTTTCCCTTTTAGCTTCTCTTTGTATAGTACTCATATTTGGTCCATGCATACTTAACCTCCTTGGAAAATTTATTTCTTCTCACCTAGGGGCTATCAAACTCCAAATGGCCATGCAAATGGAGGGAGTCCGGCACAAAGACTTTCTCTACCAGAGACCCTTAGATAGGCCTGTGAGAGAAATCTGACTGCCATTTTCCCAAAAACAACGCCTCCTGTCATAATGAAGCAGTTAGAACAGTCACGTCCCTATCCTAATGGCAGTCAGATGTACCTATTTAGAGAGGAGATTGATAGTGACAGGAAACAGACAAATTTCTAGGCAGATAAAGATGAGTCCCTGGTGAAACCCGACCTTTAAGCCAAGGACAGTCTAAAGCCTGAAAACCAAACTGCCAGTTGTGGATACAGTCCATGAACAGAGTAAGATCTTCTATTCCTGCCGTACTCACTCACTCTTGATTGGTTTCTTCTGAATGATGCCTTTACCAATCGAATGGTGCTTTTGCCAAGACTACCCATGGACCAATCAGCATGCATTCTCCCATTCTAAGCCCATAAATACTCTGGACTCAGACAGACTCACAAATGGCAACTGCTTTTGGGTTACCTCTCTGTGCTGAGAGCTTTCTATTGCTCAATAGAATTCTACTCTTCCTAGCTCACTCTCTGGTGTCCACGAACCTCATTCCTCTTTGTTACAGGACGATAATCTGGAACTCTCCAAACTGTGGGCACAAAAAGAGTTGTAACACCCCCGATCACTGAGCTGCGGGCAGTGGGAGTAAAAGGACTTGTAACACTCTCTCCCACCCACTACACTATGGGAGTGAAAAAGCCACTGAACACCACTCCTTCCCCGTCGCCGAACTATGGGAACATGAAAAAGCCACAACATTTTCAGAACACAACCCACTGAATAAAAAAGTTTCATACTGGAGCACATTCTGAAATTTCAGAACACCAGCAATAAATAAAGTATTCTAAAACTTTCCAGAGTAAATAAATAGGTCATCTACAAGAAATACAAGAATGGAATACAAAAATTGCGTGAGGCTTCTTAATGCAACTCCTGAATTAAGTAAACAAAGGAGAAATTCCTACAGTATTTAAAGAACAATAATTATCTATTTAAATTTTTACACAAACCTTCGTCATTAGTCAAAGATGTAGGTAGAATTGTGATGTTTTCAAATTTTCAAAGTCCTTAAAACTGTGCTCCCCATCTACATTCTTTAGGACATTAGTAGAGGACAGTCTCCAGAAAAAATGAGATAAGGAAAGTAACAAGCTCTCTTCAAAGTAGAAAGTTAGATGCCCCAAACAAAGGCTGTATAGAGTAAAATGTTTCAGAGTGAGCAGCAACTTGGAAGGCTCCAAGATAATTTTTTTTTTCAGAAATAAGCAATTAACTATATGACATGTTAGAACATGTGTGAAATTACAGGGACTGATATTTCATGGACTCATTGGTGAGCATAATAAAACTTAGATGTTCAACCAAAATTATGAAATATGGTAAAATATTTAAACTAACTCCTGGGGGAGAAGAGTTCAAGAAGGATTATCATAATGAACATAAGATTTGTTTCAACCATGAACAATATTTATCTAATGATAATAATAAAAATGCATGCTTTTGAGATCCTTTTCTAGAAAGCAAACCTCCCTGCATAACTATAATCGATCACACCCTGAACATTTTATTTACATATTGGTAATTATCAGTTGCATATTCAAAATGAAGTTTATCTTTTTAAATAATTTCATCAGCATAGAAAATGGAGAAGTCAAGCCTCACTTCTCCCTATGTATTATTGTTATTATTAAATATAGCTTCTTTACATGGCAAACAAAATTTATAAAGTCGTATGATGGAATGATTCCAAATGTTCTTTTTCACTATTTTAGATAAAGAGTAAGAGAGTTTTTTCCTAACTTAGCAACAAGTATTCAGACACTTCTCCATTTGAAACTCTCATTTGTTACTTTTCATAAATGCTCATAGAAATCAAACTGTGCTTAGGGCTCTTTCAGTGAACAGCTTGTGACTTTTTTCCAAGTATTTTTAAAACCATTTCCATAAGCCCAGTGTCTGGTGATGGATTTGTTTTGAGTTCTCAGAAGCCAGTAGCTATCTGGGTCACTGCTTCACTCTGGACATCATACCTCTTGACCATATGCTTTGAGAGTGCCTCACACAAGCTCTGCACAGTGGGAAACACTCTTGAGTTGGATGATGTGGTTACATTGATTGTGCAGATCAAGAAAGATCATGCAGGGCCCCCAAGTAATTTGTTTTTATTCAAGTTACCCTCTTTCTCAATTGCACTGTATCCTATTCCCATAAAGATATTGGAATGTGGCTTAACTACAATCCAAATAAATTCAAAAGAGAATTAGCTTTCTCACATTTTAGTAATTATTTTCCAATGTCTCATTACATTACACCCTATATCTTCATGTTCTTTCAAATAATTTAAATAGATCATTGGAAATGTTTTAAATGAGATTTATTTTAAACATATAAAAACTAATGATGTTAAATAAAAAGTGAAGACATAGTGTTACTGTCTTAAACTCTTTATAAAGTCATTTACAAGCAGTTTATTATACTGCTTCCAAGAAAGCCTCTGAATGTATACCAACTGTTCCACATTCACTGAGGGAATGATATTTAATCCACTTCAGTGACTTGGTAGGCTGGGTTGAAAATTTAATTTAAAAAATGCAAGAATCTTAGGGTTTTTATTTGGGTTTCACAGAACTAGTAAAATAAAAACATGACATTTTTCTTCCACTTTAAGAAACATTTCAAAAAATCTCTGTAAACAGAAGTAGAAGGAAAATTGTTACTTGCTACATCTACACATCTTTCTTGTATTTCCTTATATTGAACATTTTTCTCCTATATATATTCTTAGCTCAGAGAGAAACAAACAAGAGAAGTTCAGAAGAAATGTCAGCCAGCCCAACCATAGCCCATGGTATCTCATATAACGTACTTGCTGTTGATGAGATGCATGAGTGTGAATTAACTGTACTCTGAAATCCGCTTTGGAGAATCTAAGAAACACACCAACCACATAAGTTGGTAGAGTCATGAAACCAAAGTTAACTTCAGGCAGTGTCAGTTAAATGTCTACATTTCATTTTAATATGAATGAAAATCTACAGTATTTCCCTTGAGGGCAGATAAAAGTCTTAATAGTTGTTAGGGATATTAAACATCTTTCAGGTACATTTTTAAAATTCCAAATCCCTAACAATGAATTTTCCATCGCACTGATAGGATAAATTCCTCCTCTTCTTTATAATTTTTAAACTCTATGCATAAGCTGACATTCAGCAAAAGCCCCTAAAGTAAAATTATACCTTCTTATTATCCTAAGGATCATTCTACATTCTACACACCAGAACATATATTCCTTAAACAAAAGTAAGGTAATCTCATTATATAAGAAGATTTGTCATCTTAGTTTATTTTATGGAAACTTGGAGTGTCTAATCACGTTTCACAAGGCAAATTGGTAAGACAATGTTGTTGGACACTCAAAATTCATTTCTGTCAACCTTTTGTTCATATCTACTAAGACTTAAAAGGACTTTTGAACCCTGGGATTATCTTTAAGGTATTTGCCTGTGACAGAGGTTTCACTAAGGACAAACTCCGCATTACTTGCACAGAAGTCTAGTTTTGACATATGGTTCTCTGCATGAGTTCAACTGCTGGCTGACTTCCAATCTGTGAACTGTACTGCCAGCTAAAATCAATATCATTTTGTAATAGGGGCAAAGCCATCACTCTTTTATAGAAACAGCCATTAGTCACTTGCTTCTTAACAGCCATTAGTCTCTTGCTTCATCCATAGTCTGTACCACACATTTAGATACAATATCTTACATTCTTTTTCATGTTTATGCATTTCATCTCCAAAAGGAATTCACCGAGGTCTGAAAGTGGTGTTTACATAGCTTTGACTCTATGATAGTTTTTCAGTAGTGCCAGACACATTGGTATGTACTCATCAACTATTGAATTGAAAACTTTATGTAGATACTAACTACTAAATGAATTTATATTGTTCCTGTCATTTAACGGTAAAACTTCTTATAGAATATGAATATTTACAGGTTTCACTACCTTATCTGTCTCGGACTATGAAGTCTTTGGAAGCTTTCAGAGAAGGTAGTAACAGCTTAGCCATGTCATGGGTTAAAATAAGGTAGATCCTTGAGAAAGGCAGATGCAAAATGTTGTCAGTGATACTGCTAAGATGTGAGAAGTGGATGATAAATATAAAAAGTTTTTAAGCCATTTAATTTTTTAATCTAGTAGGAGATTTGTTATAATGTGGGGTCACCTATATAAAAGCTATAACACCCAAGTAGCACAAAAGAGAAAAGTTATTTTTGGCTAAGAATAAATTATATTTTCACAATTATGTTTAACTGTATACTCAACAGTAAAGTTCCCATTGAATAGAATGAAATTTGTCTTGTTTTTAAGAATCTTTGTAGAATTGCAACTAAAAGTATCCTCTAAATATTTTTATAGATGTATCATAGGACTATTACCATCGAGATTTGTTGCTAAAGTGGGACAAAAGCGGGCCATGTATTGAAGATAACTGCTGTGTATTCTGTTCATTACCACACTGGGAATTCTTTTCACCTCTTTTATAGTTCTTCTCCCATCTTGGATTTCTCCTTTATTTTGTTGGAGTATACACTCCTATAGCTTCTTGAGAAGGAAACATTATTATGTATTTTTAGAGGAAGGCTTTTAATATTTTCTCTTTATCCAACATGTCTGAATTTTCATAATGATCTGACTGTCTGTGTACTTGGTTCTTACGGTGTTTAGCAATCAGTGAGACTTCTCAATCTAAATTTTCATATTTTCAGTACTAGGAAATTTTCTTCAACTATTTGTTTAATCATTCTCTGTATTTTATTTTAATGCTATCTTTCTTTCTTTCTGGAATTTCTGTTACTCTGCTGTTGAAATGCCCTTTTCTCTAATTTTGCTTCTTATTTTATTTTACATTTTTATTTCTGGGTGTTTTTTTTCTACTTATTTTCTAAACCTTCTATGAATTTTTCATTTATGCCATCACAATCCATACTTTTCTTCTTCTTTAGATCCCATGATCCTGTTGCCCAAGTAGTAAACATAGTGCCCAATAGGTGTCTTTTCAACCCTTGCCTTTCTTTCTCCCACCTGTCTCTAGTAGTCCCTAGTGTCTATTGTTGTCATCTTTATGTCCACTGCTCCCCAATGTACCGCTCCATTTATAAGTGAGAACATGTGGTATTTGGTTTTCTGTTCCTCCATTAACTTGTTTAGGATAATGGCCTCCAGATCCATCTATGTTGCTGCAAAGGACATGATTTTATTCTTTTCTATGGCTGTGTAGTATTCCATGATGCATATGTACCACATTTACATTATTCCAATCATCGTTGATGGGCACCAGGCTTGATTCAGGTCTTTGCTATTGTGAATACCACTGCAATGAACATATGTATGAATACCACTGTGATGAACATGTGTCTTTTTAGTGAAATAATTTATATTATTTTGGATATATACATAGTAATTGGAATGCTGAATTGAATGGTAGTTCTGTTTTAATGTCTTTGAAAAAATATCCTAACTGTTTTTCCAGGAGCTTAACTGATTTACATTCCTATAAACAGGTTATAAGCTTTCCCTTCTCTCTGCAACCTCACCAACAACTGCTGGGTTTTTTGTTTTGTTTTGTTTTGTTTTGTTTCAATAGTAGCTCTTTTGACTGATGTGAGATGGCATCACATTGTGGTTTTAAATTGCATTTCTCTGATGATTAGTGATGTTGAGCATTTTTTCATATCTTTGTAATCAGTTTGTATATCTTCTTTTGAGAAGTTTCTGTTCATGTCTTTTGCCTGCTTTCTAATGGGGCTATTTGTTTTTTTGCTTGTTGAATTTTTAAGTTTCTTATAGATTCTGAATGTTTGACCTTTGTCAGATGCATAGTTTGCAAATATTTTCTCCAATTCTGTAGGTTGTCAGGTTATTGATATTTTCTTTTGCTATGTAGAAGATCTTTAGTTTAATTTGGTCCGACTTGTCAATTTTGATTTTGTTGCAATTGATTTTGAAGAGTTAGTCATAAATTATTTCCCCAGGCCAATGTCCAGAATAGTGTTCCTAGATTGTCTTTTACAATTCTTACAGTTTGAAGTCTTACATTTAAATCTTTAATCCATAAAGAATAAATTATGCCTACAAGATCTAGAAGATAACCACAAAAGTGCAAATCTAAGTTTTGGCCTAAAACAGGAGGTAGAGAGAGAGATGGGGTAGAACGTTCATCCAAAGGGATAATAATAGAGAACTTCCCAAACCTAGATAAAGATACCAATATTGAAGTACAAGAAAGTTACAGAACACCAATCAGACTTAAGCCAAAGAAAACTACCTCAAGAAATTTAATAATTAAACCCCCAAAGGTCAAGGATAAAAAAAGGATCCTAGAAGAATCAAGAGAAAATAAGCAAATAATATGAAAAGGAGCTTCCATAGAGCAGGCAGTAGACTTCTCAGTGGGAACATTATAGGCCAAGAGAGAGTGGCATGACATATTTAATGTGCAGAAGGCAAAAACCTTTTATCTAAAACAAAGATCCAGAGGAAAAAAATTGCTGAGAGATTTCATTAATACCAGACCTGTCCTGTAAGAAATGCTAACAGGAGTTTTTCAATCTGAAAGAGAAGGGTGTTAATTAGCATTAAGAAATTATCAGAGCATACAAAACTCACTGGTAATAGTAAGAACACAAAAAATTCAAAATATTTTAACACTGTAATTGTGGTGTGCTCAGTACTCAGTAACAATTGTTACTGAAGAAATTCAAATGATCATTAGAAGTTAATATCAGCAACTATATGCAAATTAATTAGAAAATGTAGAAGAAATGAATTCCTAGAAATATAAAACCTACCAGGTTTGAACCATGAAGAAATCCAAAACCTGAATAGACCAATAGCTATTAATGAGATAAAAGTCACAATAGAAAATATCCCAACAAGGAAAAACCCAGGTCCCAATGGCTTCACTGCTGAATTCTACCAGACAAAGAAGAACTAATGCCAGCCTACACTAACTATTTTGAAAAATAGAGGAGGGAATATTTTCAAACTCATCCTAGGAGGCCAATATTACCCTGATAACCAAAACCAGAAAAAGACACATCAAAAAAAGAAACTTACAGGCCAATATCCCTGATGAACATTGATGCAAAAATCCTCAACGAAATGCTAACAAACCAAATTCAACAACCCATTGAAAAGACTGTTCATCATGAGCAAATATGATTTATCCAAAGAATGCAAAGATGATTCAACACATGCAAATTAATTAATGTGATACATCTTATCAACAGAATGAAGGAAAAAAAGCATATGATCATTTTAATTGATGCTGAAAAAACATTTGATAAAATTCAGCTTCCCTTCATGATAAAAAACCCTCAAAAAAACTGATAGAAGGAACACACCTCAATACAATAGATCTACATATACAACAGATCTACAGCTAGTATAATACTGAACAGGTATAAACAGGAAGCCTTTCTTCTAAGATCTAGAACAAGACAAGTATACTCACTTTCACCACTGTTACTCAACATAGTACTCAAAGTCCTAGATAGAGAAAGCAGCAAAATTAGAAGCAAGGCATCCAAATTAGAATGGAAGAAATTAAATTACCTTGTTTGCAGATGATTATCTATATTCGGAAAAATCTAAAGACTTCGGTAAAACAAACTATTATAACTGACACAAATTCAGTAAAGTTGCACGACAGAAAAATCAACATATAAAATTAGTGTCATTTCTATAAGCCAACTGCAAACAATATGAAAAAGAAATTAAGAAAGTAATCCCATTTTACAATAGATACAAATATAATAAAATAACTAGGAATAAACTTAATGAAGGAAGTGAAAGATATCTACAATGAAAACCATAAAAAGTTGATGCAAAATAATTGAAGAGGGCACCAAAAAATGGAAAGACATTTCATGTTCATGGTTTGGAAAAATTAATATTGTTAAAATGTCCATACTACACAAATCAATTTACAGATTCAGTGCAATCTTTATCAAAATACCAATGAATATTCTTTGCAGAAATATAAAAAATAATGCTTATATGTGTATGGAATCACAAAAGATCCTGAACAGCCAAAGCCACCCTGAGCAAAAAGAACAAAACTGGAGGAATCACATTACCTGACTTCAAATTATATCACAAAGCTATAGTAATGAAAACCAGCGTGATACTGGCATAAAAACTGAGACATAGACCAATGCAACAGCATAGATAACTCAGAAATAAATCCACACATCTACTGTGAACTCATTTTTGACAAATGTGCCAAAAACATACATTGGGGAAAGGACAGTCCCATAAATAAATGAGAAAACTTGATAACCATACTCAGGGGTCTAGAATGATTCTACACCCCTATTTCTTGCCATATACAAAAGTCAAATCAAAATGAAACTACTGAAAGAAATGTTAGGGGAACTCTCTAGGACATTGGTTTGGGCAAAGATTTATTGAGCAATATCCCAAGTCACAGGCAACCAAAGAAAAAATGGACAAATGAGATCACACCTGGTCAAAAAGCTTCTGTACAGCTAAGGAAACAATCAACAAACACTCCACAAAATGGTGGAAAATATTTGCAAACTATCCATCTGACAAGAGATTTGTTACCAGAATATATAAAGAGCTCATACAACTCTACAGGGAAAAAAATCTAACAATTCAATTAAAAAATAGGCAAAAGATCTAATAGACATTCTCAAAAGAAGACACAGAAATGCCAAACAGGCATATGAAAATATGCTCAACATCACTGGTCATCAGAGAAAAGCAAATCAAAACTACATCTCACCCCAGTCAAAATGGCTTTTATCCAAAAGACATGCAGTAACAAATTCTGGCAAGGATATGGAGGAAAGGGAACCCTCAAACACTGTTGGTGGGAATGTGAATTGGTACAATCCATGGGGAGAACACTTTGGAGGTTCCTCAAAAAACTAAAATTAGAACTATCAGATGATCCAGCAATCTCACTGCTGAGTATATATTCAGAAGAAAGGAAATCAATGTATTGAAGTGGTATCTTCACTCCTATGTTATTGCAGCAGTATTCACATAGCCAAATTTGAAGCAAACTAAGTGTCCATTAACAAACAAGCAGATAAAGAATACGTGGTACGGGCTGGGCGCGGTGGCTCACGTCTGTAATCCCAGCACTTTGGGAAGACGAGGCGGGTGGATCATGAGGTCAGGAGATCGAGATCATCCTGGCTAACACGGTGAAACCCGTTCTCTACTAAAAATACAAAAAATTAGCCGGGCGTGGTGGCGGGTGCCTGTAGTCGCAGCTACTAGGGAGGCTGAGGCAGGAGAATGGCGTGAACCCTGGAGGCAGAGCTTGCAGTGAGCCGAGATGGCGCCACTGCACTCCAGCCTGGGTGACAGAGTGAGACTCCGTTTCAAAAAAAAAAAAAGAATATGTGGTACATATACACAATGAAGTCCTATCTAGCTATAAAAAAGAATAAAATATTGTCATTTGCAGCAACATGAATGGAACTAAAGGATATTATATTAAATGAAATAAGCCGGGCACAGAAAGACAAACTTCACATGTTCTCATTTGGTGGAAAAGCTAGTGGGGATGGGGTAGTGCAGAGGGCTAATGGATACAAAAGTATAATTAGATAGGATGAATAAGATCTAACGTTTGATAGCACAACAGGGTGACTACAGTCAACAATAATTTACTCTACATTATAAAATATCTTAAAAAGTATAATTGGAATGTTCATAACACAATGAAATGAAATGATAAATACTTGAGGTGATTGACATCCACCTGACATGATTACTACACATTGTATACCTGTATCAAAATTTCTCATGTATCGCATAAATAGATACATCAACTATATACCCCCAAAAATTAACATTTGAAAAAGATTCCTAATCCATCTTGCATTAATATTTGCATATGGTGAAAGGTACAGGTCCAGATTCATTCTTCTGTCTGCTATACCAGCACCATGTAATGACTTTTAAACTTCCAAGATATTTACTTGTTCCATGATTCTTATTACATTCTTTTTCATTTTTCTCTTTTTTGTAACATCTTTTATCTTTCTGAGTTATTAACTATGTTTCTTTTTCCTTTCAGTTTTCTTCCCTTTTTTCCTGTATTGTCTCTATTTCCTCCTAATTAACTTTGGTCACCATCTTTCACAATTGACATTTTCTTGGATGATTCATGGATTTCTGTTTTTATTTAACAGCACGAAAAATATCAATGGAAGTTTGGTGTGCATGGAGAGGAGAATCAGAGCTAAGTGTTGGGCTTCATTAAAAATAATACCACTGTACTATTATGTGCATATCACACTGTTTGATCTGTGCATTTTCTCCAAAGATAAGTCTTACACTCTTATCCCTGGAGGATTCCAGAATTTTATGAACTGAGTGGGGCAGGGGAAGGAGAATTTGCCCTTCAATATTCAGACTTTCACATAATCCTGTTGTTATCACTATGGCAACTAACTTCTGCCTTTAGCTCTGCCTGAGATCTGAAACCCAAAGTCTGGTTTCACTCTTCAGAGAGTAAAATTCTCATTTCCCACAGGGTAGCAAAAACTCCCTCGTCTGCTGGCAGGTTTCTGAGCATCTAACTGTGCTTATAGTGTAGATGTTACATAAGCAGAACTTGTGACAGAATCAAAGCATGATGCATTTAATTTGTTTTTTTGTTGTTGTTGTTTGTTTAATTTTATTTTTACTTATTGGCTTACTTATTTTATCTCCTGCAGCAACTTTAAGTTATATTCAACACTACTTTCCTTGCCCTGAGATGGAAATTTCCATTTGACCTACACACTGGGGTTGCCCTTAGACTCACAGTCCCCTGTAACTCACAAACACAGACTTAATTTGTAATTAATCAACATGCTCTATCTTGAACAATCTTCAAGTCCTACATTTTAATTTAGTGGCAAATCTTGTTCCCTTCCCCAGCCTGGGGTCTCCAACAAACAAAACCAGGAATGAGTATGTGGTCAGTTTTTCTTTTATCCATCCCCACTTTTTCACCTCCCTCCAGTCTGCTTATGTAAGCTTCTCTCCACTCTCATGTTAGAGATTGGGGGAAAAGACAAGTTTTCACAGAGTGACATTACTATCTGAGTTAGGGTGCTCTAGATGACAGCTGTTTAAGGCTCACTCTTTCCTTGGTATCTGTGTGGGATCCTGGGAAATTTCCATGCGTTAGGAACTTCCTGTAGCTCCTTGACATGGGAAATGCATGTTTTCCTTTAGATGGAAATAGAAATGTTCCCTCAAACTCTGATTTTCCAGAGGTTGTTACCCCACAGAGACATTACTCTTGGGATCCACTTGTCCAGAAGCAGAAGACCTCTTGGGTTAGGATTAAAGAGCTTCCAGATAGCTCTCTCACCTTGCCCTAGCAAATCCAGGAAGTACACGGTAACCTGCATTCTACTACCTTCCTCAAGCATGAATCAGACCTCAGTATGTTTCCCCTCCTCCCAGTACAGAGAACACATTTTAATATCTCTAAGTGGTCCAAAGGAAGCCTTCTTCACTAGATTTGAAGAAAAAAAAGAGGAATTTTAAAACCTCTCTCCTAAGAAACTGGTAAGAAATCCACCCCCCCCCCCAAAAATGTTGAGAGAGTGGAGAATAAATCAAAGTTTTATTAACCAGCTTTGGAGTGAAGTGATTTGTTCTCCACTCTCTAAACATTTTTGGGGGGAGATTTCACAAATAAGTGATGAAACCAAGATACATGGAACAAGTTCCTCTATTTCTTTTGTTAACAATGCTGCCCTTGATGATCTGAAACCTTGTTCTGAAATTTCACATCTACGATATCATTGTGTCTCACTAAAAACTTAGGTGTAAAACTCTGTTAAACAAACTCTCTATACCCCACCATCAGGGGTACGCAGTGCCTCTACTTCTGAGCATACCTGTGTTCTGATACATTTATTATCTTCTTTTGTTGGTCCCTCTCCTAGTCTAGTGGACAATTAGTTTAAAAATAGAAAAATTAATACGCAGATGGATAAATTAATGATTGAATGAATTTTAATGGATATTACGTAATAAAAGTCACACTGGAACTTTGCCCATACTCTTGAGAGACCTAGTTCCTTCACCATATTACATGGACTGAGCTGGATCTGCCATTTCAGTGCCCTCATAAATCCTTAGCTATTATGTTTTCCTTCTCCCTTTAGAGTTTATCTTTCTCAGCCCCCAACTGGCCAAATCACAGAACAAAACTCCCAGTATTACACTTACTGTTTAAAAAAATCTTTGATGCCATTAAGGAAAAAAGATATTTATTGCTGAAAATTTCAGGCATTGAGCCAAGTAAGGAAAAGAAATGTATTTGTCCAAGGAATTCAGGGCACTCTAAGGCCCTCTCTTGACTTACTCCTTCTGATATCATTACAGCCAAGATTAAAAATGAGGTTTGATATTGGAGAATAAGTTGTCTGACACTTCCTAGCACCATTCTCAATTCTGGAAAAAAGTACATTTTTATAAATTTCTTAAGGATTATTTATTAAATATTTACCACATGAGAGACACTGTCCTAAACCCCTGGGATTCAAAGAAGAGAGACACAAAGTAACATAGGAAATGCCTAAAATGCAGGCAAAGGGTGAGGTGGGACCACCAATAACAAACAAATAACTGGAAGAACTAAAAAAGACCTCACAGAGAAAGTTACATTTATTAAAATTTAGAAGAACAAGAATTCAAACGGGTTGGGAGAGCAGAAAAGGAGGAAGGACATTCCAGGCAAGAAAACAGCATGAGCTGAAGCATGGACGTGTGAAATAAAATCTGCTAACTTTTGAGGAATGAGTTAGCTAAAAAGAGAGGATACTGGGATAGTAGTTCTAAATGAGTCTGTAAGAAAGTTTGGGGTGAGATTGTGCAAGTCTTTTGTGTGAAGGAGTTTACATTCCTCCTGTAAGTGAGCCAGAGACCACAGAAATTTTAAGGAAGAGAATGATAAGATCAGAAATGCCATTCTGAAAATTAAAAAGTGAGAAAAGTGTACTGAAGACTAGGACCAATGCCTAAGCAATCTATTCAAGCATCCACTCATTCATTAAAATACTTATTAAGTACCATTGTAGGCAGGCCCTAAGACTAGGTGGTACAGATACAGAGGTGAACAGGGCAGACAAGGCCCTGCCCTCAGAGAACTTATATTCTAATGTTAAAACCTTGATGTGGCCGAGGTGGGTGGATCATGAGGTCAGGAGATCGAGACCATCCTGGCTAACACGATGAAAATCTGTCTTTACTAAAAATAAAAAATATTAGCCAGGCGTGGTGGCAGGCCCCTGTAGTCCCAGCTACTCAGGAGGCTGAGGCAGGAGAATGGCGTGAACCCGGGAGGTGGAGCTTGCAGTGAGCCAAGATCACACCACTGCACTCCAGCCTGGGCAACAGAGCAAGACTCTGTCTCAAAAAAAAAAAAAAAAAAAAAAACCTTGATGTGAATTTTGTTCATAATTTAATGTGTTCAATTTAGTACACATTAAATTATGTGTACTATGGTATACTTCATAAATTAATTATTTATACTATGGTATACTTCCTTCTACTAATGGTAGAAGGAAGGCCTCATGAGTGCTTTCTGGGAGAAAATCAAGGTGATGTAATAAGGCTAACTTTGGCAAGGGTTGGAGGGGGATGTGCTACTTTAATTCTTCTTTTTTTTTTTTTTTTTTTTTTTGGAACAGGGTCTCTCTCCCTGTGTTGCCAAAGCTGGACTCCAGTTATCCTCCCACATCAGCCTCCCCAGTGTCTGAAACTACAGACACACACCACCATGCTAGCGTGGAACGGGTATTTTAGATTAGACAATCAAGAAAGTGTTTCTCAGGGTATGATCCATGAACCACCTGCATCATAATCATTTGGAAACTTTTTAAAATGCAAATTCCCAGACCCAAGCCCCATATTGGATAAGTCAGTATTTCTGAAAGTAGGATCAGAGACCCCGAATACTTTAACAAGCACCCCAAGATAATTCTTACCCACACTAGAGTTTGAGAACACTGGACTCCAGACTAGAAGCCTAATTAGAAGGGTATTACTCAGATGAAAGAACACAAGAATGGTGAGGATGAAAAGATTCAGGGAGATTTAAGAGATATTTAGGGAGTAAGATCCAGAAGAGGGCAAAATGATCCAGTTTATCAAACCTATTGTACATAACTGATTGCTGAGTAGTTTAATGTATACTATGAACAAAATTCACATCAATGTTTTAACAATTTATACAACCCTGATATATGACTCTCCTTCACTTGCAAAGAATTTTACATTCTAACCAAAGATTCCTGAGAAATAAATCTGTAAATGTAGAAATGTAGGCTTCCTGACAGGTAAGAGGAAAAGGTATTTTCAACTGGCACAAACAATTAAGATGACAGTGAAGCATCATGCAGAAGCAGCCAGATGATGGAGCAGGCAGACAGACAATTACATTCTAGGGGGAAAAAATTACAACTGCCATACTTCAGTTTAGCATGGATTATTTTTTATACTAAATATCTGAGTTCTAGCAATTAAAGTAATTGTAAATGTTGAAGAAAAATTTATGATCAACAAAGGCTCCTAGCAGAGTCTCATTAATCCCTAGCATTCAATTTTCCAATTCTAAACTACCGAGGATCTGAATATATGGCCTTATGGTGATCATACAAATGTTTCTTGCTATGGTTATGAAAGATTCCACTGGAACCACAACACTAAAAGTGTTTGCTTTGTATGTACCACACAAATGGTACATCAGGAGATGCTAACAAAAATTGGTTTTCTCTCTGCCTAGGCAGCTTGTGTGCCTAGTCCCCAAGAATATATACATATATATATTATATATATGTATATATTTAATTGATATTTATATTTATATGTATTGAATTGAATATACATAGAAATGATATTTATGTTTAGTAGAGTATAATGATACTACATTCTTTTATAACATGATACTATTTATAGACTATTTCATATACATTGTATTAATGGATTTTCATGAAATCCATGAGATGTTTATTATGCCACTTTTAGGTAAAAGGAAAAACTGAGTCTCAGAGAGTTGAAGTAATTAGCTCAAGAACACATATCTTAGTAGCAGCAGGGCCCAGAATACAAGCCCAGGCATTTTGACAAAATGTCCAGTGATCTTTCTTCACAAAGACCCATAGCTTAGGTAATGTTAAAGAGCAGAACTTTGCTTTGGGATCCCTTTCACATTTGGGTTAGTTCTTTCTGCCTTTCCTGTCCTTCACCTCTTTCCTCTGCTTCTCTCCTTCCTTCTCCTTCCTGGTCCACATTTTCAGATATCTAGTAAGCCAGCACTGCAGGTTATCCCTAATCCTACCAATAAGAAACTTTTCAGATTTTCCCTTCTTTGGTAATTCTCTGGACTTTGAACATTTTTCTTGACCTTCACAGTTTAATGATGCTGTTGACCCATTCCTGGAAGGCCCGGTTCTCAGGTAGAAGTAGCATGGTCAGTGACCTGAAAGAGCCACACCAACCAAGACGCCACTGTCTGATGACAACTCAGATTCTTCTCATGGTATCTGGTCTTTAAGCTCAGATAAGGATGCAAAGAGAGCCAGCCTGGGGCGTGCATGAATCAGGACTGCCATTAGCACCCTGCCTGCAGCTTCTGCTTGTGCCCACCTTCTTCCACTTTCCTCCATTCTCTGTCTTGATCAGAGATCACAAACAAGACATCAAGAACTAAACTCTGCATCAGGCTGTTTTGTTTTTGTATCTCCTGCTTTCTTCTCCTCCCCTTCTTCCTCTTCTTTATTCTCTTCCTCTTTCTTTTCCTCTTCCTCTTCTTCTTCCTCTTCCTTCTCCTCCTCCTCCTCCCTCTTCTCTAGGAGGGCCACATAATCTGAACTTTGCCACAACCCTCCCTGTCGGTGTCATCTTACATCAAGCCAGCTTCACTTACCTACTTGACCTTTCTAGCTTCTGAGAGCATTTGGGTTTATAACTCCCAATCTTGCTCATAAATATCTACTTTATTTTCTGTAATCCTTCTTCTCTTCTTTATCTTGCATTGACAAGGTCTCCCCAGCATCAGGAACTCCACTTTTCAACTTCTGAGGCTCAACCTTAACTCTGATTCTTAACTTGCTGTACTTTCTTAGATACAAATCTCATGTTCAATTTGTAATACGTAATTTATTTAATTTTAAAATGTTGTCAAATATGACAACATAGTAATAGTTCTGGGTAGTGGTATATGATATTTCTTTGAATATTCTATGTGTTTTTCATATTTTACAGCATTTTTCAAAATAAAAACAAAAATTCTAGTAATCCTTATTTTATCAAATTCCATACAGTTTTAACCTTCCTATAGCCATTCAACGGGTGCCCTGAGTGAGTGATTCCTTTCTTTTCGACCCTTACATTTGTAGTTTTAGATATAATTTTCTCTATTCAGCAGTAAATTATAATCTAAGCTATTTATCTTAAGACAATGTATTTTAACACTGCTCCAGAAAAGAATGCTTTTATCAAAAGGAATAAGCTGTAGTGTTAGAATATCACAAACCTACTCTCTAGTTCAGAGTTTCCAAGTAGGTCATATACAGAAAATCTATATCGGAGTGGCCATATGTTTTTGAGATCAAGAATAAGAAGCACACAGACAGCTCATTGCTGCTCTATGGCTCTATTATTTGCTTTTTTTTCACCTGGACTATGACATTTCATGGTTAACTTTCTGAGTCTCTTGTGTGACCAGATGCTTCATTCCTTGCTCTCTAACCATTTATGTCCCTCTCAATCATCATGTCTCTTACTTAAAAATCCCTTTCTCAGGCAGACCTGCCCTGAATTTTAATTCTAGGCTGTGCTGCTTCTGTTCTATGCTTCTTTTGTAAATGTAATTACTTGTTCAGTGCCTGTCTTCCTACCAGGCAGAATGTTCCATGGAGGTGGAGACCAATCCATTTCATTCATTGCTGCCTTGTAGTGCCTAGTCCATTGCCAAGCCTGTAAAAGGCAACAAACAAATATCTGTTGAATGAAAGATGGAAGGAAGCAAGTCTGAGAGGGGAGAGAGTATGGGGGATGGGGGACAAAAAGGTACTGTTTTCAAGGAGGGTCTATAAACCAACCAATGTCCTTAAGCTTTTAGCTTCTTATTCCTTACCAGTCTCCATGTTTAATTTTCTCACCTTTTGCCTGTTCTGAGTTTCTCAATGAAAATATTAGAAAAAAATCACAAAAGAATGATTGTGAATTATAATTATGAACAACTGAGGGCTTTTGTGGCAGGAGACTCAGGGCCTCTCCTGCAGCTGAAGCTTGGGAAGAAAACACTTAATTCTCAGAAATGTCTGTCTAATAAATCAGGTTTCAACAAAGTTAATTAACTGGAAAGCACATGACTTGAAAAACTCCATTTAAACCTCTCCTAGATTAAATGCTGATGAGAGGCTGGACAAATACTCATGTTTAATCTCTGACTTGGAGATCAATCCTCTGAAACAGGAAAAGTGGGCCGCTGGTGGAACCACCTGGTTGCCCAGTGATAAGGAATATGTTAAAAACAACTTCTCAAATAGGTTATAAGTACATGTCAAAGTTTTATTCCAAATGTTCTCTGAGAGACAAGGCTCTGAGGATGCCAACCTGATGATTAATCTTTATTAGAGACATTGTATAGTAGACTAAATATAAAAAGGGAGGAGGTATCTGGTTAAAGATAGTTGGGAAATATGGATCAAAGACCATCACATCTTTGAATGTCTGGTGAAAGTTTATTATGTTCATTATACACAGACTGAGAATCGATTGGTGTTAATGCAAGCTTCCCAATAGAGGCCTTAATGTTAAAATCTGACAGAAGTAAAGTGATAACCAATGTCCAACCATTTCATCACAAAACTTACTTTCTAGAAGAGCCTGTAAATGACATCATACTCTCAAAATTGTTCCACCAGGTGAATGCCTATATATACATTCAATATAAATATAAATAAATAGTTAGTTATATAGAGAGCTCTCTAGTTGTTTGGCCTTAGGAAATGCATTAACCCAACCCTCATTCACCCATGCTGTGTTATCAAACAAAATGAAATAAAGTTGGGTTTGGGTTGACTACTATTGACTAATGTAAAATACCTTGTTCAATGGATATATATAAAGTTAATCCTCTTAGCAGAAGGACATGTTGGCTTTATGTTTTGGATAACGTTTGGGTTGTGTTTGTTGTTTGTTTCTATGATCTTTTTCCAGTAGTAAAATGGAAAGAAAAAGTTAGCTTTTGGGTAAGGGACTAAGAAATTTTGAGTTTTAGTCCTGGCTCTGCTATCAACTACTTGTATGAGCTCAGGTAATCTTTTACCTCTTCAGCAAAGCAAAGGCATTGAATTATATGATTTCTAGTATCTCATCTAGTTCTGCTGATCCTAACTTATTTTTAATGTTAAAAAATGAGGAGCAAACTTAATTTATCCCCATTCCTTCAATCTTGGAATAGGAGAAGATAAGCAGTAGATGGAAAAAATGGTTTATTTTCCTGTCTTTTCATTCTCCCTCCAGGGAACAACAGAAATCACTGCCACGAAAGGCTAGGAGGGTCATAGGGTCCTGGATATTTATTTATCCTGGCTCCTTGAGCCTGACAATGTCTTTCTTTCCCTTCAAGGATACAAGCATTTGGTGAACTTAACACAAAGAGGAAACTGTCACAGACAAACTCAAAACCTTGCCCAATATCACAAGGCCTTTTAGGGGTAGATCTGGTTTTAGAAGCCAGGTGTCCGTTTTTTACACACATAATACAATTTTATTATACAGGAAAACTGTGACAAATGATCCAGGGCACAGAGAATACAAATGAAGTCCAGAAGAGAACTGCAGCAGTAGACAATCATTGAATTTTCTAAAAAGCAGAGATATGTTGGATAATTTTACTGTTATATTCTAGAGAATTAGAGCAAAACTGCATCAGGTGCTTAGAATGTGCCAGGCACTTTCATAAATGCTTTACTTGCATTATTATTGCTTTCAATCCTTTAACTCCATGGAGAGATGGAAACTATAAATTCTCCCATTTTACAGTTAATGAACAGAAGTCAAAACTTGGCTGTAGACTTTGATCACTTGTCAAGGGTGATGTAAAAATTCCTGTGTCTGAGTATTACTCCCAGAATTATTTTATTTAACTGATGTGTAGTAGAGACTGTGCAGCAGGAATTTTAAAGTCTTGCCAGGTGATTCTAACATGCAGCAAAGTTTGAGTGCCACTAGGTTAAATTACCAGCCCAAGGTCAACCATGTAGAACCACATAGGTCAAATATTTGAACCCTTGCACCCTAAGTGGGGCATCCACATCTTAATACTATCTGCCTCTACTTTATGTGTATCTTGGAACATTTAATGTGCAGAAAGACTAGTAAAGTAGGTAGATTTATTCCCATTATACAGATAAAGCACCTGAGCTTCAAAGCAGTTGCCTAACATCGAAAAATGTAGTGGGTCAGTGGCAGAAGTTGGATTTGTACCCAAAAGTTTTCTGGTGTCAAAGCCCATGGGCAACTGTCTTTTATTACTCATCCGTGAACATCTGGAGTATAATGTATCTAAATTACAATATTTAATGTGCAGGAGCAGAAAGGTAGAAACAACAAAGGATTAAGAACTTGCTCCTTGGGCCAGGGACAGTGGCTCATGCCTGTAATCCCAGCCCTTCAGGAGGCCAAGGTAGGTGGATCACAAGTTCAAGAGATTGAGACCATCCTGGCCAACATGGTGAAACCCCGTCTCTACTAAAAATACAAAAAAAAAAAAAAAATTAGCTGGGCATGGTGGTGCATGCCTGTAGTCCCAGCTACTCGGGAGGCTGAAGCAGGAGAATCGTTGAGAACCAAGGAGGCCGAGGTTGCAGTGAGCCGAGATCACGCCACTGCACTCTAACTTAGTGTCGTCGCAGCGTATTTTCTCACACATAGAGATAATGGTGAATAATAGTTATATAGAGTTAAAAGAATGCTCCATATGAAATTTAGGTACATGATGCTTAAATTAATTTCTGTAAACTGGCCTGATAATCAGGGCATCATTAACAACATTATTTCTATGGGAAAATAACATACTCCCAAATGAATTTTTGGGTGACAACTGTAAGGTGGGGATTGTCTGCACTATATAAACACCAGATGTCAATATTAGGAATGCTAATCTGTGTGTATATGAAAGATGTGTTTTTAAAATGTAAATGTAAACCAAATTCATCAATTTAAAAATACCAGATGAATATATCCATTTTTCATCTTCAGGGGCTGACAGAATGGCTTTTAAATCTGCACTATAGCATTAAAAAATTGTTTCTTCGAATTACATTTCCCCATTCCAAGCATCTAGCATCTGTCACACAAGCCACATATGGTGGCTTGGTTAGCAAAGTGATAAAGAATTATAGTAGGCATCAACCACCTGATTCAATTAGTTATCAATCATTTAAACCACATCAAGCTTTTTTGTGACTGCCAGGGCCTTTGCACTAACTAAATAAACAACTGGTGTTTCCTGTTCAAACTGACAAAACAAAGACCATCCTTGATTTTTTCTTCTCACTGCACACTCTCATTCCTTCCATTAATAATAAGCCTACTCAGCACCACAGTTGACTCAAGTTTCCAGAAGACCTCCTTTCCTCTTGTTTCTGTAGTACCCTCTTGCTCCCTCCAAAACACTGCATGTATCTTTTCTTTCTTTGTGTGATGGACCAAGTTAAACCATAGGTCTTCCCAGAAGCCTTCCAATGCAATGCAGAATTTCTTCTTCAAGGACCCGGCATCCCTTTAGCAGAGTGGACTGTGGCTGTGTCATCCTGCTTACCACAGCGTGCCTTGCATTCCTTCCAGAAATGCGTGAGTGTGGCTCTGTGCTAAGCACCATTGTAGGCAGGCACCAGAGCTGTGAAAGGAGTATATTGCAGATAAGCAGTATATCGCAGATAAGGAGTATATCACAGATAAGGAGTATATTGCAGATGCTCCTAGTCTGACAGAGAGGTGCAAATACACAATGAAACTTATTATAATATAGCTGATTTTAGAATTATTGTTTTTCTAACACTTTATTTTACTTATTTTAAAATAGATACTACTTTCCTATGATATAAAAGTTACAAAGAGGTGAAACAGTGAAAATTATTTTCCAACTTTTTTCCCAATTATTCAGCTCTTCTCTCCAGATGCAACCAATGTTAACAGTTCTCTTGTACATTCTTCCAGAGATTTCATGAGTGTGTAAACAACTACCAAGTATATAAAAATACATACATGTATATGTACATATATACACACACATATTTAAAAATATTTAAATGTATATATAAATACATATATTTAAATAAACATACACCATACATATACATATATGTATTTTATATATTACATATACATTAAAAATATTTTTCACACAAAATTATAAAAACCAAAACATGATTTTATAGCTTGCTTTTTTACTTTATATTTTAATATTTTACATAATACTTGATTAGTATGTAAAGAACTTTCTGATTTGTTTTTAAATTTGGCTATACACTATTCCGTGAGAGGAATATACCATTATTTATATAACCAAAGCCTGATTGAAAAATATTTTGGTTTTTCTCAATCTTTTGCCATTATAAACAATGCCATGATGAATAGTACTATACATGCATCATACGTATGTATGTGTGTATATACATATACATGTGTAAAATTTTTCTAATCTGCACTACACTGCAAAGCATAAAAATGCTTATTTCTGCACACCCTCACCAACCTAGTTAAGTTATCAAACTTTTGATCTTTATCAATCTGATGTGGGAAAAAAGTGAAATCTCAGTGTCCTGCTTTAATTTGCATTTTTTTATTATGAGTGAGATTAGGTCTCTTTCACATGTTTAAGAACAATCCCTATTTTCTTTGCATTCTCTGGACATCTGTATTACCGATTGCTATGATTTGAATATTTGTCCGCTTCAAAACTCATGTTGAAACTTAATCCCCAGTGTAACAGTATTAACAGGTAAGGCCTTTAAGAGGTAATTTAGTCATGAGGGCTCTGCTCTCATGAATAGATTAATACATTCAGGGATTAACAGATTAATCGGTTATTGAGAGAGTGGCTTAGTCATCATGAGAGTGGGTCTGGCCATCTCTTGTGAGCCCGCCTTGCCATGTAATGTCCTGGGCTGCCTCAGGAATCTGCAGATTCCTCACCAGCAAGAAGGCCCACACCACATGCAGCTCCTTGACCTTGGATTTCCTTGCCTTTAGAACTGTAAGAAATAAATTTCTTTAAAAAGTACTCAGTCTCAGATATTTAGTTATGCCAACAGAAAATAGACTAAAACACTAGTTTTTCTATTGGGTTGTTATTGTTTCTTATTGATTTGTAGTAGCATTATAAATCAAAGAAATTAGCCTTCTGTGAAGTAAGTTGCATATTTTCCCCTTCCATTAATAATCTGTCTTTTGAATTTGCCTTGCAGAAATTTGACAATTTTATGAAACTAAATTTATTAATCTCAGCATGGGCAAAGTCTTTAAAAGCATGATACAAAACACAGAAGCCATAACTGAAAAGAGAGGAGAAAGTATATCTGATTTTCCAGTTAGAGGAGAGAAAAAGAATTATGGTTTGTTTTATGTTTGTTTGATTTCTGCATTCCATGTTACAAATAATATGGGGACATATGCTGAGTCTAATTAGGCCAGTTTAAGAAGCAGCCAGCTAATACCTATTGTTCAGATTATTAAAGCTGCAAAACAAATTATTCCAAAACTCAGTGCATAAAACAAATATTTTTGTGTTCATGGATTCTGTGGGTCAGGAATTCCTACTGGCACAGCAGGAATGAATTGTATCTGTTCCATGATGTCTAAGGCCTGCTAAGTCTCAAAGGTTGTCTCAAATAGGTGATTTTGGCAGTAGGCAGAGACATTAGCTGGAGCCATTGGCCCGAACACTTTTATATGATGTCCCAAGGTTTCCTATGCTTCCTCATAGGGCTGAGTCCCAAGGGGGCATGTCACAGAAAGACATAGCCAGATCGAATACATATCATAGAAAGCAAAGTGTCACTTCTGCTGTACTATATCAATCAGATTGGTCACAAGACTAGCCAGGTTCAAAGGGAGAGAAAATAGACCCCACCTCTTTTTATTTATATTTAATAGACTTTTTATTTTTTGGAGAACTTTTAGGTTTACAGGAAAATGTAATGGGAAGTATAGAGAGTTTCCATAGATTCCCTTTACCACTGCCTCCCTCCCCACTGTTTCCCCTTATTATTATCCTATTGCATTCATGTGGTACATTTCTTATCACTGATGAGCCAGTATTGATGCGTTATTATTAACTAAGTTCCATAGTTTATATTAGCATTCACTCTGTCTTATACATCTTACGAGTTTTTTAAAATGCATGATGACATGTATTTGTCATTACAGTATCATACAGATTAGTTTCACCACTGTAAAAACCTCTTGTGCCCCACCTAGTCATCCTTTTGCTAAACCACTGGCAACCACTGATTTTTTTACTGTGTCCATTGTTTTGTCATTTTTTAATGTCATATAATTAGAATCACATAGTATGTAGGGTTTTTGGATTGGCTGCTTTCACTTCATACACATTTAGTTTTTCTCCATGTCTTTTCATGGCTTAATAACTAATTTCTTTTTATTGCTGAGCAATATTTCATAGAGTTGATGCACCGCAGTTAGTTTTTCCATTCACCTATTCAAGGACATCTTGATTTAGATTGTTGCTTTTAAACCTTTCTTTTTCTAATATTTGCATTCAATGCTATAAATTTCCTTCTAATTACTGCTTTTGATACAGCATGAAAATGTTGATACATTGTATTTTCATTTTCATTTAGTTCAAAATGTATTTTAATTATTTTTCAGATTTTTTCTTTAACCACTTGTTATTTAGAAGTATAATTTTTAATCTCCAACCATTCTGGGATTTTCCAGTTATCTGTCTATTATTGATATCTAGTTCAATTCAATTGTGGTCTAAGATCAAACATTGTATGATTCCCATTATTTTTAAATTGCTAAAGCGTATTCTGTGTCCCAAAATTTGATCTAGTGGCAGATCATGTGTGACTGGAAATATTGCCTTGGTCTTTTTGAAAAACGCAATCTATCATACCTATTCAGAGACTGGTCGTATAGATCCTCAGTACAACGAAGATATCAGTCTACAGGTAGAACTCACTGGTGGGAACCATTAGATTGGAGGATCATGTGTGGCTTTCCTCTTGCAACAGCTAAAAAATTAAACCTACCTCAAGCTACAGGGCAGTTTCCTGAGATGCTTCTGGTGAGCAAGTCTCCTTTGCCAGCTACCCCAGGATGATACTGGTATAAATAAGAAACAGTCAGTTCTGGGAACATTTCTTTGCTCCCTCCTTCTGCTGGTGATTTTTCTCTCCAATGTTCCTTTTATCAAATAACGGAAAAGACAAGATGAAAAAATCCAATCAGCTCTCTTAATTATGCCATTAGCCACTCTGCTACAGTCAATGCTCAGTTAAAGAAACAAAAAAAGATGCTATTTACCGAAGGCAGAATGCGTGGATGATCTCTGGCTTTCAGTGATCCATACTTGTTTTCTTTTGCCCTGATTAGCATCATTGACTAATCCCATTTTTTTAAAAAGAATTTCCTATAAAGACTCATTATTTCATACAGAACATGTCCTGCTCAGTTAAACTAGTCAGTAAGTGTAGCACTGCCTTTTGCTGAAATCTACTGGGATATTTTAATTACAAAACAAAACGAAGCTGCTAATTTATGGCTGTGGCTTTTAGCTCAACAGAGCTAAGCAGCACATTAAATATGAAAACTGAAATCACACCATTCTAATTAAATAGTTAAGGTATGTGGTCTATTTGTTCTTTGACTGTACGAAGTTGGGATATGGAGTGAAGATAATTTCACAGAGAGCTACAAAGAACTAATGAGGAAAATAGTTTTTATTTTGAAAAGGAGCATATAGGGGATATAAAAGTTTTGCCCAAGAGGCACTAGTAATCTGAGGTCTTTTTTTTTTTTTAAGATATTGCCAAAGTAGTCAGTCGATGGGGTAGGGCAGCAGGGAATTCAGAAGAGTGTATTCTGACAGTCATTTTAGACAATGTCTGTAATGCAACCATCACCAAAAGACTGAACCTCATATTTCAAAAGGTGAAAAGCAGCTGTTAGCCAGCTGTGGCATATGGGTGTCAGTAAAAAATAGTTTGCATTCTATCACTTAGTAAAGGTGGAGCATTTGTATTAGTAGGAGTAATAGCCTAAAATAGCAAGCACCTAGGAAAAATCAGTCTGCTAATTGAGGAGGTTGGTAGTTGAGGTCGAATAGTTAAGTTATAAAATTCTGTGAAATCTTGGGTCAGATACGCAAAGAAGGAGACACAGAGTGTAAAGCCACTAACCTAAGAGCAAGCCCTTGGCCACAGACTTCAAGACATGAGTTTATGGTTTAATTTCAAGTAATTCTCCATTATTTAGAAAGTATTATTTTTACATTGATCTCCACCTTGCTCCTTTCCAGACTGTCTTAAAAACTTGACATAATCCAAATCTATCTAAGAAAGAGAAAGGATTCAAGAGAAACCATAAAAGACAGATTCCAAGAAAATTAGGTAGGGGCAGATAGGAGGCTTTAGAAGACATTTTAACATGACGAATGATCCTGACATCTAATGAACCCATTGTTTTCCTTACAATATATATCACTTCCAAAAAGTCTTCTGAAAATATTCAACTCCTTTTGATTTCTTTCAATATTTCAGTGCCTGCTGGAGGGACAGGTAAGATATGACTCTGTGACAGGACTGTCACTTTGGACTTTGCAAGCAACCATCCAGTAATGTTTTACCATAGCCTACTAGTAATGGATGAGGATAATTGGATACTATCCTCCCAGCAATGAGAGCACCATGACATCTGATTTTACATTTTGCACGCTTTTCATAACAAAAGAGACCATTACAGAATTCCTTGCTGCCCTGAGCATGCTTTAAACCTGCTGGAAAACTTAACTAAATTACAGCTTTTGCACCTATTTTGTGCCCTATCTAATCCAAATCAATCTATGTTTGTTTTATTTTAAGATTTAAACTCCACTTGGACCTTCAGCATTATTTCATCCCTTTCTCTCCAACTGCAAGAAGGGTGCTGACATTTTCAAATCTTTTATGTAAATGAGAACATAGGAAGGAAAAAGTATACATTTTGTGTGTAGAGTATAAATTTTCTAAGCACGTATAGCACTTTGCTAGACCCTACATCTTTAAAGTCTTCACACTACATATTACAGAGCAGAAACACATGTAAAATAGTAATTGGAGTGCACATCCATGGAGGATTTGTGGTATCCCAGGCAGTGTTTAAGATTTTTATATGCAATATACTTAATAGCCCATTCTAGAAGTAATAACTAGCATATTTAAAAATTACTGATTTTATATGTATTATCTCACTTAAGTCTCACAACAACCTCACAACACGTAAGTCTCACAATAAGTACTATAAAAAAAATACCCAAGTAACAGATGAAGACATGAAGGCTCAGAGAAATTCTCATCTGCCAAGCATCGCACAGTTTGCAAATCATGAAGCCTTCAGTCTTGGCCATTAAGATGTACTGCCTTCAGTGGAGTTAAATCTGGGGCCATAAAGAGTCATTTTTCAGGGACAGAACTGGATCTAATCAAGTGACAAAAATTGCTATGGATGCATGTCTGCTTTGCGGTGGCATACTGATATGGTTTGGCTGTGTCCCCACCCAAATCACACCTTGAATTGTAATAATCCCCATGTGTCAAGGGCGGGGCAGGTGGAGATAACTGAATCACGGGGGGCAGTTTCCCCCATACTGTTCTCATGGTAGTGAATAAGTCTCATGAGATCTGATGGTTTTATAAGTGGGAGTTCCCCTGCACAGCTCTCTTGCCTGCTGCCATGTAAGACATGAATTTGTTCCTCGTTTGCCTTTAGCCATGACTGTGTGGCCTCCCCAGCCATGTGGAACTGTGAGTCCATTAAACCTCTTTCCTTTATAAATTACCCAGTCATGAATATGTCTTTGTTAGCAGCATGAGAACAGACGAGTACAGTAAATTGGTACTGGTAGAGTGGGGTGCTGCTGTAAAGATACCTGAAAATGGGGAAGCAACTTTTTAACTGGGTAATAGGCAGAGGTTGGAACAATTTGGAGGGCTCAGAAGAAGATAGAAAAATGTGGGAAAGTTTGGAACTTCCTAGAGACTTAGAGGGCTCAGAAGATAGGAAGATGTTGGAAAATTTGGAACTTCCTAGAGATTTGTTGAATGGCTTTGACCAAAATGCTGATAGTGATATGGACAATAAAGCCCAGGCTGACATGGTCTTAGATGGAAATGAGGAACTTGCTTGGAACTGGAGCAAAGGTGACTCTTGCTATGCTTTAGCAAAGAGATTGGCAGTTCTTTCCCCTGTCCTAGAGATATGTGAAACTTTCACCTTGAGAGAGATGATTAGGGGTATCTGGCAGAAGTAATTTCTAAGAGGCAAAGCATTCAAGAGGGAGCAGGGCATAAAAATTTGGAAAATTTGCAGCCTGCTGATGTTTTGTTCAGTTTTGTTTGCTTCTGTAATGCTTCTGGGTCTTAGATCTAGCAGAAGAATAGTCACCTTCTTGAGGAAGAAAAAGTTGTCTGTGTAAACAGCAGACCTCTTGCTACCTTTATAAGGTGTCTCCCAATACCAACTGCTGGTCCTTAGAGTACTATTGTTAAGCCCGAAAGGATAAAGCCCCAAAGACTCAACACTGAGTTACAACACTGAGAATTAAATTCCAAGTCCTAGCTGTTTTCCAGGCTGCAAGTTAACTCTGTGGAAAGCAGTTCGGCGATTTCTCAAAGAACTCAAAGCAGAATTACCATCCCACCCAGCAATCCCATTATTGACTATATACCCAGAGGAACATACATTGTTCTACCATGAAGACACTTGCCTACGTGTGTTCATTGCAGCATTATTTGCAATAGCACAGATATGGCATCAACCTAAATGCCTGTCAACAGTAGACCAGATAAAGAAAATGTGGTAATTCTACTTACTTTCTGTCTTGCGTTGCATTCCCCCAAAGCAATGCTTAAGCTAAGGATTTAGGTGAAAGTGCTTTATTAGGAAGCTTTCTCCTATAGAAACCAGTCTTAGAGGAGGGGAAGCAGGAGATAAAAGGAGAACAAGCCAAGCAAAAGTGCAATTTCACATGAAGTCCATGACAGCCTGATCCCTCAGGGTCACTCAGGGACTCTAACTCTTAAATACAAAAATACATGTAAATTTTAACACCCTCAGCTTCAACTTTTATTGGTTGAATATAACAGCCTCTTTAATAACATAATTATAAACTATATATGTACCACAACTATTCAAAGTACATTTCTGCTCCACAGCCTTTGTAATTAAGAACGTCGTTTTTACAGTGATATTGTGCCACACCAATGTATGTGTTTCCATTATCGTTGCAAAACCAAATAATTTTAATAAATTGTAAACAATCTCAAACCTTAAAAAATGTAAGTACAGTGTAATTTTTTAACAAATCATTTAAGATCAAGTTGTTGATGAAATGCCCCAACACCACCCAATACTTCAGGGTACACTTCCTACAAAAGGATATTCTTACAACCATAATATAATCATTCAAACCAAGAAATTAACATTAATATATCAGTACTGTCTAGTCCTTGGATCCTTTCAAATTTCACCAATTGTCTTCTCTGCAGAAAAGATAATTCATTTATGACTATTTTTCTCAGTAATTTATCATGTCTCTTTAGTCTCCTTCATTCTGGGACAGGCCCCAGTTTTTCCTTGACTTTTATTACTATGAAATTTTTTAGGAGAACAGGCCAGTTATTTTGTAGGATGCCCTCTCCAGTTTTTCTTTCTTCCTTTTTATTTCAACTTTTATTTTACATGTAGGAGGTACTTGTGTAGGTTTGTTACATGGGAATATTGCATGATGTTGAGGTTTGTAGTACTGATCCTGTCACACAGGAAGTGAGCGTAGTACCCGGATGGTAGGTTTTTCACCTGTCCCCACCTCCCTCTCCCCTCTAGTAGTCCACGGTGTCTACTGTTTTCATATTTATGTACATTAGTGCTCAGTGTTTAGCTCCCACTTATAACTGAAAGCATATGGTATTTGCTTTCCTGTTCCCACATAAATTCATTTAGGATAATGGCCTTCAGCTCTATCCATGTTGCTGCAAAGGAAATGATTTCCTTTATCATGGCATTCTATGGTATATTTTCTTTATCCAGTCAATCATTGATTAGCACTTGGTTGATTCCATGTCTTTGCTGTTGTGAATAGTGCAGCAACAAACCTATGAGTGCATGTGTCCTTTTGTTAGAATGATTTATTTTCCTTTGGGTATACATCCAGTAATGGGATTGCTGGGTCAAATGGTAATTATATTTTAAGTCTCTTCAGAAATTTGCGGGCTACTTTCCACAGTGGCTGGACTCATTTACACTCCTTCCAAAAGTGTATAAGCTTTTCCATTTTTCTGCAGCCTCACCAGCATCAGTTGTTTTTTGGCTTTTTAAATAATAGGCATTATGACTGGTGGGAGACGGTATCTCACTGTGGCTTTTATTTCCATTCTCTGGTGATTCCTGATGCTGAGCACTTTTTCATATGTTTGTTGGCCACTCATATGTCTTCTTTTGAGATGTATCCATTCATGTCCTTTGCCCATTTTTAATGAGGTTATTTGTTTTTTGCTTGTTGATTTGTTTAAGTTCCCTGTTTCTTAAGTTAATCTCTACCCCAAGTCCAGCACCTACGGTTTTCTCTTTTTCAGATTTTTTTAGCCAAATACTGAAAAAGTTTCTAACTAGTTTCTCTAGACCCAGTCTGACCTTGTCAATCCTCTTGACCACTGCCAGAGTGAATGTTCTAAAATACAAATCTGTCCCTCTCCTGATTTAAAGCATTAAATATTTCAGTCTTCCTAAAAATTCAAAATAAAGTAAAAGTTCTAATTAGTATTCAAGTTACTTTATAATCATGTCACTATTCACCCCACCCAACTCGCCTTCTGCAAGTTTTCTACACAGATTTTATGCTGGGTATGTTTTGTTTACCTCTCCAGATCCATTTTCACCCCTCCATCCTGCTCTGTGCAGTGGGACCACATTAATGAGCTTCCAAGCTTGTTCAGCCCCAGGAGATCAGAGTGAGGGAGAAGAGTAGCCTCATGGGGTTTAATGTCTTGCATTCCTCTCTGCAAATCCTCCTGGGCTCTGCCTCAGTTTACTGCTTCTCTCAAGGCAACATTCTCTACCAGACTTTCTCCTTTTGGGATCTGACAATTGCTCCCTCATCTTATCCTTTTGGGTATAAAAACAGCTTCTCCAGTGTTATTTGCACAGATCACTGTCTTATCCTATGTTTTCTTTGTATGCTTTTATAAATCCTACCTATGGAAAAAAAAGAAAGCCTTCTAAAATTATCCTAATTTCTGTGTGACATCTGTGTTCTGTTGGGACCTTAACTGGCCAATACACACACTTCAATAGCTTCATGCTTACCTACAATCAGTTTAACTTTTACCTTACTATATGCCATTATGCCTGTACATTGCTGTTTCACTGGCCCCTTTCTTCTTCTTCCAGTCATAATTAAAACAACTTCCTCTTCTATGAATCCTTCCCTGAGCCTTTTTAGAATTCAGAAATCTGTACCTCCACCATGAATTCTCAGTACATTGCATATTTTGCAAGGATGGGAACCGTGTCCAGTTTTTCTTTGTATCTCCAGCACTTTGCACAAGCTGGCAAGCAATACATTTTTTTTCACGTAAATGAACTGATGTATGATGCAATAAAGCAGGAAGTGTGCTTTTTCTGATTATACCAAAAGAAGCCTCTTCCAGACAGCAGTGCAATGAGTTCTATAAATGTACAAATGCAAAACAAGAGATTAAAGAGATTAAGAAGTAACAGCAACAGCATAGCAGTAGCTGCTACTCTTCTTACAGCATATGAGGAAACAAATAATTAGGCTGAGAAACCACTACCTAATGTTTAGAGCAGAATTGGCAACTCTGAGCAAGCACATCAACACCTCCCCGCACCCACCGTGCTACCTCTATGAGCCTATGGCCAATGATACTAATGGATAAACATCTCTCTCGCTAAACTCAGAGACAATTTCAAATATCATTAAACACAGAAATAGAAGAATCAGTATACATTTGTCAATTGTGCTATAAAGTTGGCTTCCCATGGTGTAGAGACACTCCTATTAGAGAAGAAGGATTTGGGGGACAATGAAGAATTTGAATTTTACTATGTAACATAATATTACAAAAAGATATGTGACTAGAAATGAATCCAGGCACCTTTGCACAATGGCTGAATATTTTAGGTAAGGATCTCTTAATTTAAAAACCTGTTATAGTTGTCATTTATATTTCTCCATTCTAGGCAATAAGTATCTCATCCCAAAAAAAAAGACAGTATAATCTGCAGTTATAGTATGTTGTTAATTTTGTCCATTCTTTGATTTTGGTTTCAAAGGCTGGATTACCATTATAAAACACCACAATAGATTCTAATGTCAGCAATTCTTAACAACCTTTCGTTGCGCAATATCTTCTAAAAAGGACATCAATTCTGCTCCAGTAGTGGGAGTTGAATTGGCAAAAACATTCAAGAGGAGTGGTGTTATTGATTTAAGAAAGTTTTCTTTTGTTGTTTGGAATATACTTTTTGAATATTTCAACCTGAAATACAATTTGAGAGTGGTTAGTCATTCTAGTGCACTGGTCGACTTCATATTTGCTTTTGTTTGTCTGCACGTTTGTTTTACTAAGAGATTAAAATGTATCCTAAGAAAATCATCCTAGTACTGATTTTTTTGTAAAATTAATATTTCAATAAAATTATGCTCTGTATAATTTTATTTTTATTTTATGTAAAGTTAATAAAGTTAGCTCTATTTTATGTAAAGCTAACGTAGTTATCCCTATTTTATGTAGATAAGTTTACAGTATGTATGATAGATTTTAAGAGACTGGCAGACCCTGATCTGTAACTTCATAACATTTTGAAAGACATTTCAAATTTTCAGTCTTTATTTTATACATCATAAAATAAGAGTGTCCTGCATTATAATAAGCTATGTTTTTATTCAAAACTTCTTTTTACAAAGGAAAATAGTTAATAGGTCATATCTTTTTGCATTCTAGAATTTATTATGTAAATTTCTCATATAAAACTTCAATTAACCCAAAATAAATAATTATAAACTCACTTTCTATTATAAATGTCTGTAATCAAAGGCCTAAGAATAGGAAGTTTATTATTACCATATTGTTATAGAAATAATCTGTTGATATTTTCTCTTCTATATAGAAACATCTCATCTATCTACTTGAGCACTGGGTTGAAAATGGAAATCAGGAGCCCTGAGCACAAGGTGAGTCTCTATTACTCTCTTAGTTTGTGGTCTTTCACAAACTGTTGAAGCCCCAGAGAACTGGCTTTTGCAATTGTCAAGTTAGGGGACTGGGCCAATGATCTCCTTGCCCCTTACAGATGTGCCACAGTAGAAGCTAAACCAGTGGTTCCCAAATGCTTTTCTGTGGACTTTGGAGAGTCCATTTTAAAGTTTTCACCAATTTGTGAAAAAATGAGAAACATAGGGTAAAATAGTGAATTTTTCATAAAGTTAAATTACTCAATTTGCCTTCTTTTGTTTTTGACATCATTTCCTTTCTCCTTTTTATTACTTTTTTTTTTTTTTGCATAGAACCTTTGTTAAAATATCCTCTATTTTGTAAATGGTGAGGTCAGTAGGTAATAGGTCCCTTTTTTGTTGTTTTTGTTGGGTTTTTAATGTTTTCTGGGCAAAATGAAAGTCGGAAATAATTACCCAGGCCGCTCCTCTACTATTTAACTATTATTTAAAAATTCTACTGAATGGAACACCTCATTGTAAATCACTGATCTCAATCTTTCACTGCAATAATTCACTTTCAACTTACATTAATACTGATTGCCATTTATGGATTTAATTAATACCAATACACAAAACTTAATTAGGGAGAATTGAAGATTGTATTCATGTTTTATGATCTTTATTTTATGTAAATTTATGTATAGTTTTGTGGTCGTGTGCATTCTATAAAGGATGTATTACTAGTAGTAAATCTCTCATCTTAAAAATTCCCATATCTTTTTTCAACAGTCATAGGTTTATCCATTAAAAAAAAAAGTCTTAGAAGAAGTGGTCTCGAGGTTTTCATTCATCAACTGTTGGAGTTGATCTCTCCAAAATTACTGTGTAGGCAAGAACATAGAAAAAGGTTGTTTCCTCTTATTCTCCTTTATTTACCTCAATAAATGTCTTCTTAGCAGAAACAATTAATCTACCCAAATTTAATGCCCCCTTCCTTCTTAAGGAGCAATTTAACAAGGTATATTTAAAAAAAAAATGGACTGAAAGTCCGTTACAGTAAATAGCTAGCCAGGCATGAGCAGGGCAGGAGAGGGCTCCTCCCACCCACCAGGAATGCCAGGCGACCATCAGATGATGGTTAGGCAGTTGTCACACTGCCTCTCTGAAATAATAATTGGTCTCAGCCAGTGCCAGGGAGAGGCAGTTTCCCAGTAGATAAAAACACCTGGAATAGGTAATCAGCAGCTTTCACAAATTGGGCAAGTGGGCTCAAGCATGCACATTAAGAGGCAAACTGGCAGAGCGTGACCTTCCAGGGGCATTCCACTAGAAAAGGGAAGAAAGCTTCAGGTGAACATGCATATGACTCCAGTAAACACACTGCACATGCTCAACTCACAAGTGCATGCAGGGCACCAGGCATGCGAGCGGCTCACCGTAAGGGAAGAATGAAGGGAAATGGGAGCAAAACGCCTGAAGTAGGCCAGCATACAAAATCCCAGGTTCAAGGTTAAACAGGGCACTTGAACTTCAAGATGCTCACTTGGGCCTCTTCCAAGTGTACTTTCCTCTTTCCTGCTCTAAAGCTTTTTAATACACTTCCACTCTTCTCTGAAATTGGCCTCTGTATCTTTTTCTGCCTTATGCCCCTCAGTCGTATTCTGTCTTCTAAGGAGGCAAGAATTGAGGTTGCTGTATGCCTGTACAGATTTGCCATGAGATACCTGCCATCACAACTCAGATATCTGTCACTACTAACAAGTCAAGATTTACAAAAATGTCAAGTGATATTGTAAGTGATATTGAGATACTGTTTTAACAAGCAAGCACATTGTATGGTATAGTATACTTCATTCCTTAGATGATAGGCATTCTCCTACCTCAGTGACTATGCACCCAAATCATTAGAACTGTGCTGCCCAATTTGCAAGCTCCTGGCTACTTGTAGTTATTTATTTTTCAACATTATTGAATTATATAATTAGAATATATCCATTCTAAGTGTACGGTTTGATGAATTTTGAAAAAGACCTGCACACCTATCACTATCATCACAATCAAGACAAAGAATATTTGCACTCCCTCAAAAAACTTCCTGGCACTCCATTATTTTGGCTACTTACATTTAAATGGATATTAATTAAAACTCAGTGTTATTAAAGATCCAGTTCCTCCACTGCACCACCAACATTTCAAGTGCTACATAGCCATATCAGATAGTACCACTATAAAATATTTCCATCATAGCAGAAAGTTCTATCAAAGAGTGCTGCTGCAAATCATCTCTTTATTCTCAAAAAATAATTTCAGTTGTAAAACGTATTCAGAACACATAGAACAAGGCAGAATGGATTCTTTTCTCTCACCTTTTGCTATGGGATCTGCATTGACTTCACCTCCAGAGCACTATTGTTTTCTGTACCAGTGCAATGTCACCATGGCCCTTCTCTGTCAACTGGTGACTGCCTCCTGCCCACACTCTTTCTCATGCTCAAAAGTAAGACTTCTTTCTTCCACCTTCTCTTGGCTTTCTGCAGTTTCCTCAGGGTGTGCTTCCTCTATCTCCATGTCGGGTCTCTCTTCTATCCTGAATTCCGTTGTATTAACAGTTTGCTCTTCTCAGTAACAGTGTGGCTCTGTCTGCTTTCATTGCGCTCTGCTGTTTCTCTCCACATTCCTCCCGCCTTGCAAAGGCCCACCTCTCAGCTGTGATTTCCGCTGCTTTCCCATCCCACCATCTGTTAAGTGCACTATTAAATGGATCTTCACCTCCTTTTCCTGCTGTGGCTTTCCTCTTTGAAAAAGTTTTGTTTGAGTCTTTCACTGCGGAACCATTAAAGACAGAACTTTACTGTTTCAGGTTCTACATTCCAGCTGGTGCAAAAACTGAGCGGTCATTTGGCACTGCACTGTCACTAAGGATTTCACCAAAAAGGTGATAGCTTCTATTTGCAAAGGGGCAGTGACCATGAGCTCTATTGAAAAACATGAATATCTGCATCTTCGGCCTGCTGAATGCTCACGTAGGTTTCTCCAGTCCCCATGAATACTCTCTCTGGCAATTTTCCTCATGCAAAGCAGACATTGAATAAAACAGGTTGGTTTTTTTTTTTTTTCATTTATTTAAGCAAAATACATAGGTAACTCTAGCAGTGCATTTTAGTTTCAGAGTTCTCTGTCTTCCTTACTTCTAATCTATTTTCATATTATATTTTCTCTTTATCAGTGAGATCTCACCATACTGACATCAATAAATCTTACCATTCACTCCAACCCTATGTCAGGGTTGAGAGCTGTTTTCTTCCTCTCAGACCTTTCTGTCACATTTCAGGCTACACATCCAAGGCTTGGCTTGAGGTTTTAGAACAGTAATACCAAAGTATGCCATGACCTAGTCATTGAGTCTAGGTTTCTTTCCCAACTATATCATTTTATAGGTGAAATGACCATAACAACTATCCCCACAAATCTTTTTGTGGTAATACTTATGTTCCAGGAGTTGGGGAAAAGGGTTGGACATGATACAGTCTTCTTAACGTACAGAAGGTTAATTTTTCGGTTCCTTAAGATTAAATCTAAGATGTTGAAGTAAAAAGTGCTTCTTCTTTTAAAAGAAGCACAAAATTAGCAGCCTGATTAACCATACAGTTGCTTCAAAGCCCAAATACAATGCAAATACACCTATTTTATAAATTTTAAGCACTAAGGACAATTCAGAGAAATGAAAAGGAGAAGTAGAATTGGATTTGAGAGAGAAGCATCTTTAATAGGATTGCACTGCGATAAAAAGAGTAGTAATTACTCTATATAGTTTTATTTTTACTTTACAAAATATAAAGCAATAAGATTTCTGAGGCCTTCAATATTTATTAACCACTAATTGTATTAGTTTATATCAAACTTACTCCAAAATATTATTTAAAGAGGTATTAGATAGAATAGCGAAGAAGAATTTTAAAGATGATTATGAAAGAAAAAAGATGTAAAAGGGTATGCAAGACCCATATTATGAAAGCATTACTGTTATGCATCAAATTTAGCTCTGGACACCTTAGAATTCAGGAATGATATGTAAAATAAAGAGTGCTCAGGTCTTAATACCTGGGTGATGAAATAATCTGTACAACAATCCCCCATGACACAAGTTTACCTGTGTAACAAACCTGCACGTACTTCTGAACTTAAAAGTTAAAAAAATGAAACAAAGAGACAGGGGCTTGGGAAATACAAATATAACAAAGATTTTGCTCTTGTCTTCTAGGAGCTTACAACCCATGAGGAAAAGCATATTTTTTAAAAAAATAATAAAACCACAGCATAAAATCAAGAGCAGAGTTAAGATCTTGTTTCTGGAAAGAGAACAGGATACTTCTTCCTATAAACTTGAGGGAAAGATGATTGGTAAAGCTATAAACACGTTTTTAGGGTGAAGAGAGGAGACTACAGACAATGCATGTCAGGCTTTTATTTTCTTACTAACTAGTAAATGAAGTTGCCCACTGCTCTTAGAAGTGGGTTTATTATTTCAGGGTCAGTAGAAAATGTGTACAATGGTTATTAAGAAGAATATACTAGGAAAGAGATTTTTCATTGTACCAATCACTAAAAGTAGTCTGTCAATAAATATAAAATAAAGTTGGCTGATTTTTCTCTAAATATTGCAAGAACATTCTCTAATGATCGTCTTTCAGATCAGATAATATTTGGTAGGCCAAGCAGTTTCTATTAGAAATTCTGTGTAGACAGTTTTGTTTATTAAATATACATTAGAGGAAATGATTTTTCTCCCTTTAGATTCTAGACTTAAGGCACTGTAGACTGGATCTTTTAAATATATGGAAACTAGCTGTGTTTATTTTATGAGTTAGAAAGTCTCACAACTCTCAAGGCCCATATCCAATTTGTATTTCTAAAATGGCTTTTTATAAACCAGAATGAACATATCATCTCTCTTTTGCAAATCATAAGCTATTTATCCAGGCCAAACAAAGGTATTTTAACACCTTAATTTGGTATGCTGGGCTATGCACGTAGAGCATGCATTTGTCAATTTTTAAAATGGAAAGTATTATATACTCCATTTTAACTCCTCCAATTTGCCTACTTCTTTTCATGCCTGCTTTATTAAATAATTATTATCAGAAATCAGAATAAAAATCTGACTAAATACTATTTTTCCACTATGAAACCAAACACGGAGCATCTGGAGGTTATCTGGAGCTTGGAAAGAGGTGATGTTGTCAAAGGAGCAGGACTCAGAACTCCTTTGGATTTGGTTTACATAGCACCAAATGAAGTTGTAAAGAATGTGAGAGGTATACACATTCCATACAGATCATTTTTATTTAGCTATAATTGTTTGGATGCATAATTTTTCTTAGTTTATAGAATATTCAATTAAGAACAAAAAATAAAATTGGAATAAATGCCCATCAACTTAAAAATGTTTAAATATTATGGAACAGCATATCCATGCAACCACTCAAAATATTGAAGATATACGTGTACTGAAATGGAAGGTGATCAAAAAATATTGTTAAAAAGACAAGCTGCATAATATAACCGAGTAAAATTTTGTTTTTATTTATCAACAAAAGCTGAGCACATGCTCATCTCTCAAAGAGGACAAAAAAATATTTTGGAAGCTACACAATAAACTTCAGTTGCTTTCTGAAAAAGAAAATAAGAGGTCAAGCATTTTTACTTTTTATTATATAAATATTTACAATATTTGATTTTTGCATGAATAAGTAGATTTGTAATTAAAAAAACACAAATTTTAACAGAAATAAAGCTTATTTAAGACAAAAATAATCTTCTGTTTTTGTGTATTAGTAATTTCCACATAAAAATAGTGAATACTCTGTTTTACTTATTGACTAAATTATAATTATCTTCTATTTTCTTTTATATGATTCCAATATGCAATGTATAATTCCTTCCAGTTCTGCTATTGTTTGTGTTTCAGCTTCAGATTTTCTAATTAGAAGGATTTATGAGCAGATAATCTGATTGGAAAGTGTGTATCTAGGTCTTGCAACTCAAAACTCATGCTGTTGGTGGAAATGCACAAACTCAGGCCATAGTCCAGAACTACTGAATCAGAATCCACATTTTAACAAAATCAGGGGATTCATATGTACATTAAATTGAGAAGCATTGTTTTAGGGGACTCATCTTTAGTCTATGATTCCATAATAAATATATTTTATTTTTATTCAGATCACATGTTTATAGGGAGCCTGAAAAGGGGGGGACGGCAAAAATTAATAGAGATTAGGAGAGCTAAAGCCTCTTTCATCTCTATACGGCCTTTCTAGAGTTCATGCCTACAACTATTTCCTATATTTGAAACCACCTCAAAACATGTAAGAACTTGGAAGATCACAGATCTTCAAAGATTTAATAACTCTACTCATAGTCAGATAGAAAACAGTATTCTATGGTTTTTGACACTTGAATTGAAAGTGGCTATTAAAAGATATGCCACATATAAAATGTGTTGTTTACATAAACATTTATTTATTCACATTTGAGTGAAAGATCAGACAGTAAATGTCAGGATGAAATGAAATATGGTCAGAGTGAAATAAGTATTGTTGAGCTATGAAATTTTTTAAAATGCATATATAAGAAGTGTTATTTTTGGACTGTATTTAAAGTATAAAGTACATTGTAGTAAAAGTAAAAAACAAGGATATTTTAGCAATAATGATTGGCACTGTCACTACATTCACTTATTTGTTTTCTATTAATTTATGCATATATACATAGAGAGTAAAGTGACATTGCTTGTCAATGGAAACACTCAATAATGGCTTTTGGAATAAATGAAGGAATACATGCAAGCCTCTTATGAGTATAAACAATTCTATTTCCTGTATGATTACAGTTTACATATCCTGAACATCCTTCTGAACAAAACAAATAAAAAATGCTGGGTAAAACAAAAGACATGCACTTTTAAACTCAAAGCTGTGCAGCAAAACAGTTAAAAGGGTCTTAAAGCAAAGAGGTCATTAAAAACCAAACTAGTAAGCACGAGAACTCACATTCAGCAGCCTAGCCATTGGGAAATTGTTGGTCTCAATAACCTACTGTCTTGTGGTTTGATGCTTTTAGGAGGATAGGTGACAAACTTGTGCAAAATAAAACCTTGAAACTGACATGTCTGCACAAAGTCAGAACACTCAATGGCTATTATAGTCTTAGTGAAAGAATCAACTTTAAAAGTGCAAGCACTATCACAAGGAAGAAATTATGAAGTTCATATCTGGACACCTCAGCTCTAGGTGAAAACATTCATCTACTTTAAGAATTTGGCCGGGCACGGTGACTCACGCCTGTAATCCTAGCACTTTGGAGGCCGATGCAGGTGGATCACGAGGTCAGGAGATCTAGACCACCCTGGCTAACACGGTGAAACCTGTATCTACTAAATATACAAAAAATTAGCCAGGTGTGTTGGCATGCCCCTGTAATCCCAGCTACTCAGGAGGCTGAGGCAGGTGAATCGCTTGAACCCAGGAGGCAGAAGTTGCCGTGAGCCCAGGTAGTGCCACTGCACTCCAGCCTGGGCAACAGAGCAAGACTCTGTCTCAGAAAAAAAAAAAAAAAGAATTTAATGATATGCCAAAAGTTACCTGTTATTGATGCTCATTTTTAACCACTTACATTTTTTGAGAGATTAGAAATTTAATGAAGTGTTCTTGGGTTAAGGAGACCCCTAGAGTTCTTGACCAATAGAAACTAAAATCCTGTCTTGATGAATTATCTCTGAACACAGACTTTATGAGATTCCTATGAATAAAGCCCTCTGATAATATAAGTCAGCAGGCCAAAAGGCAGAAACATCAGATAATACAACTGTGAGATTTAGAGGATAAAGTAAGTATTTTTAAAATGATCAGAGACATAAAAAATAAGAAAAGGGATGAGTTAAAATGAAAAAATAAGTAGATAAGAACCAAATAGAACAAGTAACAATAAAAAATATATAATTATTAAGAAAAAGTAGAAGCTTCATTGGACAAATTACATGTTAGATTATCCACAGCCACGGAGAGAATTAGTGACATTAAAGAGACATTTCAGAATGTACCCCAAAAAAATAAAATGGGAGAAAGCCTAAAAGAGGGATTAAGAGTCTAACATAAATCTGATAGGGATTAGAGGAAAAGAATCGAGAAAATGAGGGAAAGACGATATTCTTAGCAACAATGCCTGAAAATTTTCTAGAGTTGATGAAAGATATATTTTTCTTATTGCAGACTCTCAAGAGGGTATAAATAAAAATAAACCCACATATATTCACACAGTAGTATAATTATAGACATTAAAATCATAGAAAATATTTTAAAAGGAAGAATTAAAATTATTACAAAGGAACAATAATGAAACAAACCTTTTCCCATGGAACAGTATCTATGCAGAGTTGAGAGGATATAGCTGCAACATATTATTCTATATTCAGCTAAAATGCCTTTCAGGTGTGAGGCCAAAATAAATAAATAAATAATCAAGCCTTGCGTTTACCACTAACATTTTCTGGTTTAGCTTCCGGTTCACAAACTAATAAATGCTGTACCTTTCGGAAAGAAGCAACATGAACCTAGAAGAAAGAAAAGAATTTCATGAAGGTTTGTAAGAAAGACAATATGTCAGCAATAGAGATGATAACAGTAACTCCTAATTTGGAGCATATAAATACCAGGTAAAACTAAATTACTAAACAACTGTAGTACATGAAATGGAAGATAATAATCATCATCTGCACTCTAAGGTCTTCGTATTGTTCTAAGGAATAGTAAAGATACTGATCATTCTCAAACTGCTTAAACTGTTTCAATAGAATATGTCATATTAAATGGTAAGGTAAATCAGTTAAGAGAATGTACAATAGCCAAGTCAGTGTGGAAAGAAAAAAAATCAGAATGGAGACAACTTAAGTACTACAAAAGGCAAAAGGAAAGAGGGGCAGGAAAAGATGCAACAAAAGGAGAAATTAGAAAACACTCAGAGATATAGATCAATGGAACAGAACAGAGGCCTCAGAAATAACGCCGCATATCTACAACTATCTGATCTTTGACAAACCTGAGAAAAACAAGCAATGGGGAAAGGATTCCCTATTTAATAAATGGTGCTGGGAAAACTGGCTAGCCATATGTAGAAAGCTGAAACTGGATCCCTTCCTTACACCTTATACAAAAATCAATTCAAGATGGATTAAAGACTTAAACGTTAGACCTAAAACCATAAAAACCCTAGAAGAAAACCTAGGCAATACCATTCAGGACATAGGCATGGGCAAGGACTTCATGTCTAAAACACCAAAAGCAATGGCAACAAAAGCCAAAATTGACAAATGGGATCTAATTAAACTGAAGAGCTTCTGCACAGCAAAAGAAACTACCATCAGAGTGAACAGGCAACCTACAAAATGGGAGAAAATTTTCGCAACCTACTCATCTGACAAAGGGCTAATATCCAGAATCTACAATGAACTCAAACAAATTTACAAGAAAAAAACAAACAACCCCATCAAAAAGTGGGCAAAGGACATGAACAGACACTTCTCAAAAGAAGACATTTATGCAGCCAAAAAACACATGAAAAAATGCTCACCATCACTGGCCATCAGAGAAATGCAAATCCAAACCACAATGAGATACCATCTCACACCAGTTAGAATGGCAATCATTAAAAAGTCAGGAAACAACAGGTGCTGGAGAGGATGTGGAGAAATAGGAACACTTTTACACTGTTGGTGGGACTGCAAACTAGTTCAACCATTGTGGAAGACAGTGTGGCGATTCCTCAGGGATCTAGAACCAGAAATACCATTTGACCCAGCCATCCCATTACTGGGTATATACCCAAAGGACTATAAATCATGCTGCTATAAAGACACATGCACATGTATGTTTATTGCGGCATTATTCACAATAGCCAGGACTTGGAACCAACCAAAATGTCCAATAATGGTAGACTGGATTAAGAAAATGTGGCACATATACACCATGGAATACTATGCAGCCATAAAAAATGATGAGTTCATGTCCTTTGTAGGGACATGGATGAAATTGGAAATCATCATTCTCAGTAAACTATCGCAAGAACAAAAAACCAAACACTGCATATTCTCACTCATAGGTGGGAATTGAACAATGAGAACACGTGGACACAGGAAGGGGAACATCACACTCTGGGGCCTGTTGTGGGGTGGGGGGAGGGGGGGGAGGAAGAGCACTGGGAGATATACCTAATGCTAGATGATGAGTTAGTGGGTGCAGTGCACCAGCATGGCACATGTATACATATGTAACTAACCTGCACATTGTGCACATGTACCCTAAAACTTAAAGTATAATAATAAAAAATAATAATAATAATAATAAATAAATAAATAAAAATAAAAAAATAAAAACGCTCAATATAATAAGGAAAATAATCATTATATTCTGGAAATACAAATTATTTGAAGACATAAATTGTAACAGATAACTGTTTCCAACCACCCACTTCTACTTATGTGCATATTCCAGAATACAGTGTAAAATAATACATCAATTCCTATCTTAGAATTTTTTGACAGCAAGCAATATTTCCTAAGTCTCAAAAATTTAAAGAAAACCACATTTTATTGAAGTAATATGAAGTAACTTATAAATTTAAAAAACAAGAGTTGAAAATCTCTGCTATCAGAAAAGACAGGAACCAGGGTAAGAACAAAGGGCCAGTTTATAAGGCCATGCAACCAGAATGAAAGAGTGTCAATGATTCTCCATCCTTGCTTCACATCCCTCAAGCTTCAAATTACCAGTCTTATTGGCCCAGTGGGGAGGACAATTTCATTAACAGATGCACCAAGAACACACACAATTCAGAAAAGCAGGAGAGGTGGGCAGAGTTCTTCAAAGTAAAATTAAGGTACCATGATTTAAAAAAAGGAAAAATAAATGTTGAGCTGTCCCCCACCATATCACCAAAGACAATTTGGTTGTATCTTGTGGATCTTCATGTGGGTATCACAATAATTATTATGTTACATTTGCCTCAATGGGGTACATTTCTTGAACGGTTATTATATTCTTTTTCTTCATCCTTAAGCATTTTAGACCAGTGATCACAAATCAAATGGCTGCTATCAGAAAACAAGTGAAGGAAACAAGTAAAGCAATATTGGAATATGGTGATAAATGGAAACTGATTCTTATTGTCAAGAATAAAATAAGATACGGTGAAGGTAAAAGAATACTGGAGAGCCCCTTACCCAGCCCAAGGAAGCAGTGGATCCTCAGCTGCAGATGATCATTGCTATGCATAAATGCAGGCCAATCAAAGCCAGATCTTTTTCAAGAAAAATGAAGTATCAGGAATTTATACACAATTGCCAGATTTTTAAATACTGACAACTGATTCAACTCTTAAAATATAGTATGAATCAACACCAGGAAGATTCATATGTTCGTAGGCCATCAGCGAAATGTGGCTCATGGTTTGCACTGTCTGTGCAAGTTAACAGAGGGAGTTGTGAGAATCTGTACTCCCCATTCCCTACTCCCATCTTTGGTGCTAACATTTTACTTTTATATATGTTATAAGCCTCACAATATATTGCTACCATGTTTACTTTAGATAGTCAATTATCTTTAGAGAGTTTAAAAATATAAAGTAATATAATTTATCCTTAGTTTTACTGTTTCTGGAGGTCCTCATTTCTTTTTTTAAGAAAACTGGATTTTATTTTTAGAACAGTTTTAGTTTTACAGCAAAATTGAGCAGAAAGCATATAGAGTTTTCATACACCCCCCACACCCCCAACAGCCTCCCCAACCAGAGTGGTTAATTTGTTTTAATCAGCAAAAGTATATTGATACATCATTATAGTCCATGATGTATGTTTACATTTGGTCCTAAACTATGGACTAAAGTCCGTAGTTTACATTAAGGTTCACTCTTGTTGTTGTACATTCTTTGGGTTTGGACAAATGTGTAATGACATGTAACCACCATTATAGCTTCATACAGAGTAATTCCACTGCCCTAAAAATCCTCTGTGCTCCACCTGTTTATCTTTGCCACCCTTCCTCAACTCCTGACAACCACTGATCCTTTTACCATCTCCACAGTTTAGCCTTCTCCAAAATATCATATTGATTGAAACATACGATATGTAGCCTTTTCAGGTTGGTTTCTTTCACTTGGTAATACACATTTTAAGATTCCTTTATGTTTTTTCTTTTTATGGCTTGATAGCTCCTTTCTTTTTGCACTAAATACTATTCCTGGATGTACCTCAATTTGTTTATCATTCACCTACTGAAGGACATATTGGTTAGTTTCAAGTTTTGGCAATTATGAATAAAGCTGCTATAAACATCTATATGCAGACTTTTGTGTTTAATTTGTTTCTAACTCTTTTGGGTAAATACCAAAACGTGTGATTGCTGGATTGCATGATAGATATGTTTTATTTTATAAGAAATCTCCAAATTGTCTTCCAAAGTCATTGTACTATTTTACATTCTCACCAACAACAAATGAGATGTCCTGATGCTCTAATCTTTTTGTTTGTTTGTTTGTTTTTATTATACTTTAAGTTCTAGGGTACATGTGCACAACGTGCAGGTTTGTTACATATGTATACATGTGCTGATGTGCTGCACCCATTAACTCGTCATTTAACATTAGATATATCTCCTAATGCTATCCCTCCCCCCACCCCCACCCCACGACAGGCCCCAGTGTGTGATGTTCCCCACCCTGTGTCCAAGTGTTCTCATTGTTCAATTCCCACCTATGAGTGAGAATATGCAGTGTTTGATTTTCTGTCCTTGCGATAGTTTGCTGAGAATGATGGTTTCCAGTTTCATCCATGTCCCTACAAAGGACATGAACTCATCCTTTTTTATGGCTGCATAGTATTCCATGGTGTATATGTGCCACATTTTCTTAATCCAGTCTATCATTGATGGACATTTGGGCTGGTTCCAAGTCTTTGCTATTGTGAATAGTGCCGCAGTAAACATACGTGTGCATGTGTCTTTATAGCAGCATGATTTATAATCCTTTGGGTTTATAGCCAGTAATGGGATGGCTTGGTCAAATGGTATTTCTAGTTCTAGATCCCTGAGGAATCGCCACACTGTCTTCCACAATGGTTGAACTAGTTTACAGTCCCACCAACGTTGTAAAAGTGTTCCTATTTCTCCACATCCTGTCCAGCACCTGTTGTTTCTTGACTGTTTAATGATCTCCATTCTAACTGGTGTGAGACGGTATCTCATTGTGGTTTTGATTTGTATTTCTCTGATGGCCAGTGATGATGAGCATTTTTTCATATGTCTGTTGGCTGCATAAATGTCTTCTTTTGAGATGTGTCTGTTCATATCCTTTGCCCACTTTTTGATGGGGTTGTTTGATGTTTTCTTGTAAATTTGTTTGAGTTCATTGTAGATTCTGGATATTAGCCCTTTGTCAGACGGGTAGATTGTAAAAATTTTCTCCCATTCTGTAGGTTGCCTGTTCACTCTGATGGTTGTTTCTTTTGCTGTGCAGAAGCTCTTTAGTTTAATTAGATCCCATTTGTCAATTTTGGCTTTTGTTGCCATTGCTTTTGGTGTTTTAGACATGAAGTCCTTGCCCATGTCTATGTCCTGAATGGTATTGCCTAGGTTTTCTTCTAGGGTTTTTATGGTTTTAGGTCTAACATTTAAGTCTTTAATCCATCTTTAATTAATTTTTATATAAGGTGTAAGGAAGAGATCCAGTTTCAGCTTTCTACATATGGCTAGCCAGTTTTCCCAGCACCATTTATTAAATAGGGAATCCTTTCCCCATTTCTTGTTTTTGTCAGGTTTGTCAAAGATCAGATGGATGTAGATGTGTGATATTGTTTCTGAGGCCTCTGTTCTGTTCCGTTGGTCTATATGTCTGTTTTGGTACCAGTATCTTTGACAGCACTTGATGTTGGAAGCTTTTGGGATTTTGGCCACTCTCACAGGTGTGTAGTAGCAATTCATTGTTGTTTTAATTTGCAATCCCCTAAGGACATATAATATTGAACACCTTTTTATATGCCATTTGTCCTCTGGATATTTTCTTTGGTGAGCTGTCAAGATCTTTCACTCATTATCACTGAGTTTTAAGAGTTCTTTGTATACACTGAATAACAGTCCTTTACCAGATTTGTAAGTCTATACCTTATCTTCTCAACCTCTTGATTTTTATTTCTTTTTGAAGATTTGTGCTTCTATCTGCTGATCAATACATTCAGCTATGTAATCATTGCTTCTGAAGTTAGCATTCTTATCTCTTATTGGATAAAAATAAAGACTGTGGTGTTTCCTTATATCATCAAAAAATATATTATAATTCTTATTGTTAAATTGGTTATTACAGGGCCCATTATGATTTTTAAAAATAATGACGGCTAATCTGGCTTATCAGTCTTAGACATGTTTGAAGCAATAATTAAAAGTACTCTCCAGCAACATAGTGAAAACTCTTCTCTACAAAAAATACAAAAATCAACCGGGCCTGTTGGTGGACACCTGTAGTCCCAGCTACTCAGGAGGCTAAGGTGGAAGGATCTCTTGAGCCTTGGAGGCAGAGGTTGCAGTGAGCCAAGATTGTGCCACTGCACTCCAGCCTGGTGACAGATGTGACTCTGAGTCAAAACAAACAAACAAAAAATTCTTAAAAAGTCTCTAAACCATAAAATGAGCACCTGTTCTTGATATGAATTTTAATTCTTAATTTCCAAATGCATGCAAAGCCAACAGGTACCTGGGGAATAAATATTCACAAAGTCAAAGGGGGAAAAAAGAGGAATGTAGGGCTTTACAGAACCATTTGTTTTACTTGACTCAAAAAAAAATACTGAATAGCATTTAAAGACTATCTAAAAAGAATTAGGACTGATTGTCACACTGTTAAGCTGAAAAATTCGTTGTTTGTTTGAAAATTCTGTATAGAACTATTTATTCCACTCCAGTGTATCACTAGAAAATTTCAAGCTTCATTACCTTTTGTGCTAATATAAATAAGCCTGTAAGATCCCTCCACTGACCTTGATTGTAGAAGCACACTTGATGAAAGCTTCTGTGCTATTTCATCCTTATTATTTTTATCTTGTTTTTTTTTAATATGGCTCTGCCTTTCTTACAACTCTGACAAAAATCTGCCCAGTACTCTAGGTATATTTTTATTCTAAGGCAAAAACTCTTCAAAATTTCATTTTTAGTAACCAAGTAACTGGGGCTGTGACCTGAGATAGATTTCTGGAAACAGAAAAAGTGTCCCACTGTAGGCCTGCCTAGAAGGGAAATTGATTTGAAAGTCACAAGGAAAGAAAGGAAACCGAAGACAGCATGAAGTAACAGGTCCAAAGAAGGTAGGCAAAGGGCACTAGGTATGAAGTAAATCAATGTAAAGAAGTTTGGGTAAATGAATTGGAGAAACTCTTTTAGGAGTGACCAAAAAAAAAAAAGAGTAATATTATAGGGAATCTGTGGCCTGGTCTTTGGTCAGGAGGAAATTGTTAATGAAGAGTACAATGAGAGGTCTCAAGTGTAACCAAGAGTCAAGAATTATTTCAGCTAATATATATGCCCATGTCTTTACTCAAAAGATATTATTTGATTTTTTCCCTTTCTGCTGACTTCGTAAATTTCTTAAAGAAAAATGGAGAGGATAAAAGAAAGGGGAAAAATTAAGACTTAAGATCATTACCATTTAAATGTTTCTATTAATTATAAACTGGCACTAATTATTAATATAACTTTGTAGCTAAAAATTGGCTGCAATGTATAACATAAATATGTATTCGATTTAAACTTTTCATCTCTTCTTTTACTCTTTATTTTTTGAAAATTGGCTCTCCTTTGCACCCATGTTATTCTGAAATGTCATTGTATCATTTTGAAAATTTTTATGAAATGGCTGACCTTTAATGAGCCAATGAAACTTCAAGAAAGAGAAAATAATTTTAACTCAATTTATTTTCCTTAAAAACAAATGAAAATGGAATTACACTTGAAATAGCAAGAACTGTAACATTTACACACAAAAATAGAAATCTATCATGGAACTGCGGCACAAAGAAATATTAGAATGAGGAGCAACTCAAATTCATACCATTCAATTTAAATGTGTTGTAAGTAATTAAAATTAATGTAATTGAAACTGTCTCTGCACCATGGTTCAATTAGGTCATTAAAATGTTGTAATAGGAAGATCTAAAATTGTTTTTAAGCAAAACAGAAGAGATAATTATTATTTTTCATCTCATTCAGGTACCATCTAAGATCCTAACGGGGTGAGAGAGAGTTTGTGATCCACACTGCCCTCTGCTTCTAGCTGTTTTTGCTTCAGAAAGTAATGGAAGCATTACTTCTGGGGGAATCTTTTCTAACCACCACACCCTCCCATCTAAGATATGTTTAGATGCCTTAATATTTATACTTTCAATGTGATTGGCACTGTTCCTTTTTAGTACTTATAATCATGAGTAACAGTTTGTGTAAGTATTCATGTAATGTTCCTCTCACCCATTAGACTACAAAATTCTGTGAGAGCAGGAGCCATTAATGCCATTTTGGGTTTCCTAACGACAAAAATAATACTAGCATAGAATAAATGTTAAGAAAATATTAAATTTGATGTGTATGGTGAATGGATTAGATAGATAGGAGCTAGATAGGTAAGTAGATAGATAGATAGATAGATAGATAGATAGATAGATAGATAGATAGACTATATAAATATAAAATTTTAGGTTGGTTCCAAAGTAATTGCAGTTTTTGCCATTTCTTTCAAGGGCAAATACAAAATACACAATCCATACAAAAATTTTAGAATTTTCATTTATTTAACGACATCCTAGGGTTATTCATCATGTACAAAATACTGAATTAGATAGATAGAGATACTTTGCAAATTTGAGTGAAATAAAAGTCATCCTGACCAGCCTGGGCAATATGGTGAAACCCCATCTCTACCAAAAAAGACACAAAAATTAGCCAGGTCTGGTGGCTTGCTCCTGTAGTCCCAGCTACTTGGGAGGCTTAGGTGGGAGGATCACTCTAGCCCAGGAGGCAGAGGTTGTGATGAATGAAATCACACCACTGCATTCCAGCCTGGGCGAGAGCAAGATCCTGTCTCAGAAAAATAAATAAATAAAGAGGTCATTCTATTTTAATTTATTGTGAGAATAAAAATAAAATAAAACAAAACACAGTTATTGATCATCTAAGAACATAATGCTTGGAAGAGAACACCTGTCAGTTTGTGCTCCTACAAAAGCAGACCTCGAGACAAGTAATTGCCTGTAGGTAGCTTATTTGAGAGAAAACCCAAATGAGGAAATTGACCAAGTAACACAGGAGAGTAAAGCCAACAAAACAAAATATCTTTTAATAAAAGGGTTTATTGCTTTGGGAAACCTGTGTTCAATCCCACTGAGGACTCTCTGAGAAGCCATGTGAAATGTAGCTCAGAATGTCTCACCACAGAACATGAAAGCCAGGACCCTCCATCAGTTGAGGATTGGAGGGGTGTTAACTCCCACCATATTCTCCACTTTGGGTAGCAAATGCCTGTGGTGGAGAAAGCTCTTTTAATGTGCTTCATATAGGCCTGGAATTGTGAGCCACAACTGCAGATGAACTCAAGTGGTCAGCAAATAAGACATGAGACCAACAGCATCTGTTACAGAGGGCTGGGGTAAAAAATATCTTTTACCGCTAACCTTGGTAGGTCCCTGTATATATTTACAGGAAATGAAGAGAACTACTATCAGTTCCCATAGAGGAGTCGGAATAATGACTGAGTGCCAAGCCTAACTCGTTTGAGAGACTCCATTGATGTCAGGAATTTTATGCAACTATTTATCTGGGAGCCTAAAAGTATTGGAATTCCACTTAAGAAAGGATCCTTAGGAGTAGGAGTAGATAGTTTCCTAGGCATTAATAGTCTTGTAATTGGAAGAGTATATCGTTGTAATTAAGCTTGGGCTGAAACTATATTCACCCTAGGATTGAAAAAAAGGTCTGGGATAGTCTAAAGAACTGGAGGAATTGGGCCGCATGGGCTCTATTTGTAGAAGCAGTTCACTATGCTTCTGGCATGGAACTCAGAAGAAAGCTGCCAAGATATATAATAACATTTTTTCCCATAATACAGTCAGAAATCTCTCCATCAGATTATCTGCGATCCAGTTTCTATGAATGCTATTTTGAGCTTTAGGAAAAGGAGTCTATAATAAAACAGTGAGTAAAAATAAAAAGAACTAATTCCTTAAACTATTGAATGGACATTAACTGCATAGTAACAGAAAAAGATAAAAATGTTCAGCTCCATCAGTACAAGTTAGTTCAGACAACGTCACTGCTTTGCCAGTGACAAGAGTCAGCATGTGGCAATTTGTAGTGGCTTCATAGTTGGATTAGCACACAAAACCTGTAACTGCTTTGCTTCAGTCATTGGAAGCATGAGCTACCTCATGCAAAAATCACTTCCAAAAATGGATAGAACAAAAGGAGAAAATGTCAGATATGACAAGGTAGAATAGAGTCTTAAAATGAATCATACTTAAGGCAAGCCTTATAAAATTACAAAACAATTTGGAGGTATATCTGAGAAAGATACAATCCAATTCATATAATCTGAAGATGGCAAAAGCGAAAGAACGTTTTCTACAACTGTTCTATGATCTTCAGCTGGTGTGGCCTGCAGAAGCCCAGTTTGTATAAGAATGTTACAATAGCCCTTATGGTATTTGCAGACATTTTAAGGTACCACAAAAAGATCAGTGTCAGGAATCACTCACAGCACAAGCTCACAAGTGCATTGGAAACTTAATTTGAACTTTTAAATAAATCACTAGAATTGTCATTTATTTAACAACATCTTTTTGAAACTTTGAAACTTACAATTTTTTTGAAACATTCATATTAGGTAATGGGAGTTAAACATGCTTTCGTGGATAATTTTAAGCCACAAGCTACACACAATCATTTACAACCCTAAGATATATATCCATAATTCAATGAACAATCCAACTAGAAAAAGCTGTTTATTCTTTTTGACACTCCTCTTTTCTTTTGTTTACATTGACTCTGAGTATTTTGTCATTGTACCTTTTATTAACTTTGTGTTATTTTGACTATAACATATAATCACAGCAGGAATTTTGGTGAGTATCTGAATTTAGAATATGATTCCGACATTCAGAAAGTTTTGAATAATTGGGATATCCAAAATAGTGGTCCTTAGAAGATATAAAACAAGCTATTTTTGATGTCTACTAACAAGGAAAACATTGCTTTGTGTGACAAAGTTGTCCTTAAAATGTGAAATACCAAGTTGTTGGTAAAGGATATGTTGATCCACTTCTTAAGACTGAGGAGAATGTTTCCAGGAACCAAAAGTATGCTGACAGAATTGGAAATAATAGTTTTGTGGAAAGGCTGAGAAAACTGGGATTTAGTTTTAGGAAAACAGACAACCACGAGGAAAATTATTCTTTCAGAATAAGGACTATAATGAGTAGAGTGATAACCGGTTGTTTCCATTTCAATTTAGAGCAAGGTAAGAGAAAAGAGGTTAAAGGCAACATAGAAAGGAGTTACGCTAGCTGTTCGTGAAAGGATTTATTGTTAACAGGGGATGGTATCCCTGAAACCCGTTCCTGACAGATGTGGTTGAACAGATGCTTGTGTGTATCTGGTATAAATAATGGAATGCAACATTTTAAATTCAAAATATTGTCCAGAGGCTTCTCAAGATACCTGTGTTTATCTTCAAACAAAGAAAGTAAAATTTTATTTCTACTTTGTCATCCCTGCATCTTCATAATATGTCACTATTGCCAAGTTATTATCAACTGGTTCTTTTTCACATTAATTTATTGTATCAAATTCAACTTTGGCTTAATTTTCTAGCTTCTCATTGTATCAAATGCCTGTTAGATGTAGGACATGAGAGATAAATTAAAATTAGCGATTTTAAAACATTTTGTGCAGCAGGATCCTTGCTTCCAGTAAAATCTTTTGTTTGGTCAACGTAGATAAACAGAGCTGGACTGATTAACCAAGGAGTGAGAGAGGAGAAAGAGCGGAGTGGGCAAAATCCCATGGTCCCACCTGCTTTCAACACCTGCCCTTCCCAGCAGCCCCCAAGACAGCCTGGAGGAAACCCTGTGGTTTTCTGAGCATTGTTTAAAAATTACTGACCTATATAAGAATTACACATTGCACTATTGTAACGTTTTATAGTTCACAAAATAACTTAAAATATATTGTCTGTGTCTTTCCTGCCTCAGCATTCAGATTCTATTTAAGCATATCCTATAAAAGTACCTGGTAATGACTTTTTAAGGGTGATCCTAAGTCTAGTTGTACTAGGTGTAATGAGGAAAGAAAAGCTAGTTTAATTTAGAATAAAATTTTTTCTTCACAGAAAGTATGAGGAGCCTTTCTATTTTCATACTTTTAGAATATATTTGAGATGAAAGGAGTTTATATTAAATAAAAGTAAAATAAAAAAAAATCTACTATAATAGAGTTTGATATTGGGCCATGACTAAATTCTCTATTAGGCACAGTAGGCACCTTGTCTAGACCCCACAGTACCTTTCAGAGCCTATGAAAATGTTTTAATTTCTTTTATTTATTTATTTATTTATTTATTTATTTATTTATTTATGATGGGGTCTTGCTCTGTTGCCAGGCTGGAGTGCAGTGGCACCATCTCAGTTCACTGCAACCTCCACCTCCTGGGGTCAAACGATTCTCCTGCCTTGGCCTCCTGAATAGCTGGGACTACAGGTGCACACCACCACAGCCAGCTAATTTTTTGTATTTTTAGTAGAGATGGGGTTTTACCATGTTGGCCAAGATGGTCTCTCCTGACCGCTTCATCTGCCTGGCCTAATCTTTTAAAATCAGAATTTTAAAAATGAGCTAGGTCAAAGAAATGGCTTAATATCTACTATTAATACGGTGTTTCCATTGCCTCCTATTCACCTCATTGGGAAAGGAAGGATCCCTGACCGAGGATTATGGCAATGGCCAAACACACGACACCTGACATTGGACAGGTGATGTCAACAGCAGTTTATTGGTCACATATACTCAAAGCCCAGGGCAGGAACACATTACACCATACAGGGCCACATGGGGGTTGTACTTAGAACACAGTAAACAAACAGAGACTGTGGAAAGCAGGCTTGGTGGTAACAAGAGGATGGGTGCTCCCCGGTTTTCAAAGGAGGATGTAACTGGCTTGCTTGAGCAACTCCATGAACTGTCAGGAAACTGAATCCTACTACTCAGGGATAAGTAGGAACTGAGCCTGGTTCCTTTGATAAAGGGGATTGTTTGGCTAGGTGTCATAGTCTATTTGGGCTGCCATAACAAAACGTCATAGACTGGGTGGCTTAAACAACAGAAATTCCTCTCTCGCAGTTCTGGAGGCTGGGAAGTCCAAGATCCAGCTGCCTGCAGATATAGTGTCTGCTGAGGGATTACTTCCTATCTTACGCACAGATGCCATCTCCTTATGTGCTTACATGGCCTTTGCTTGGTGCATGCCAATGGGTGGGGAAAGAGAGAGAGATCTTTCTCTCTTTCTCTTTACATAAGGCCACTAATCCCATCATGAAACTCTTGTCATCATAACCTAATATAAACCTAGTGACCTCCAAAGGCTCCATTACAAATGCCATCAGGTTGGGGAAAAGGGCTTCAACACGTGAATTTTGTGGTTTTGTGGGAATACAAACATTTTGCTCTAGAAGACCTTTTCCATGGAAGCAGAATAACCATGTGAGCTCATAGTTAGGCTATTCAAGACCCTTTGTGTTTCACATAATATTGAACATTTTAGGTCTTACACTACATATATTCTTCTTTATACCAATGCAGTCATAAAATAAATGTAATACTTAATTGAATAAGGGGCCATCAAAGTCTTAAGTGCATAGGGCCCATGAGAGTCACATATAACCCTGGATGGGACTGATAAGTATAGAATTCCCATGACCTCACCTCTCTCAGGACTAAAGCAAGTTTTATAATTAATTTTGAAATCTTTCCCAGTTCTTAATCTCCAAATATAAAAATGACTGGGTTAATAAATTAACCCAAAGGTTATTGCACGAAGGGCATGTAATGGTGTAAAAGAACTGTTTAGAGTCAAAAGATGTGATTGATGTGGTTTTCTTTCCTGAAAAGACACTATATGCAGTTTTGAAGTTCTTAATCTCTCTGAACTAAAATTTCTTATCTGTAAAGACATCTTATGAAGATTAAATAAATGAAGTAGGTGGAAGCACCTCCTGCAATGCACAGTAGGTGTTAGTTGAATGTAAAACATCATTGCCATAAAATTGGTCTCATTTTATTATTTCTGAATATTCTCTATAGATTGTGCCTGGCATATATTAGGTACCCAAAACTTATTAAATGAATGGATGGATAGATGAACAAATGAACTTACATATATACAAGCGTCTATGTCTTTACTTACACTGTTTCCCATGTCTAGAATGTCCTCTCCCACTCCTTTAGGCTTAGCTAAATTATTAGCCCTTCTTTAGAAGACCAATTTGCATATTATTAAATAATTTTTTACCTGGACAATAAAACAATCTGTACAACAAGCCCCCATGACACAAGTTTACCTATATAACAAATCTGTACTTGTACCCCTGAATTTAAAATAAAAGTTTAAAAAATAATTTTAACACTCTAGCTCTCTTTGGTATCTTCTTTGAACTTCTGAAGAATTTATTCTCTTTGACACTCATTTTGAATGAAATGTATGATGCCTTCTTTATTAATTCATTAGACAATTTTCCTATCTTCTTAGACCACAGAGCTATCAAAGGGATATGTATTATAACTCTTTGTTTGCTTGGCCCTAGCATAATTCCCTGCTTACAGTAGGAATTCAGGCAAAAATTTAAAAGCACCCTTTCCTCTACACTCTTGCTTCTTCTGCCCATTTTAATTGATGGATAGCATTTTTATTCCTCTAGTCATTTGGACTCAAAACTTCACAATCTCCAAAGGTAAATTCAGATTCTTGGGCCCCTGGAATGAACATGTTCCTTCTCTGTCTAAAGGCACTTTTCTTATCAGAGAGCTCAGATTTAGAACTGGAGAGGAAGGTTCACTTGCCTAGCAAACCAGGTCCACTACACCCTCCCTGACAATCCAGGCTTTCATAACCACCTCAATGCTCTCTCAAACCTTTTCACACTCCTGTGTAGCCACTCAATTATTTACGCTGTTCTTTTTCTAAAACATCTCCTACATATGTCTCAATTCCCTGTTCTCTTTCACTGCTATAAGTCGGGCTTTCTTCAATTCTCTTCTGAATTATTAAAATAGCCTCCAAATGGGTCTCTCTGTCTTCAGGTCATACCTACTTGAGTTCATCTTATCTTTTATGACCTGAAATATCTTCATAAAATAGGTAATATGTTGCTTAAAGATATAAATCTTTGTTCTAAATATTTAATTGGCTATTTAATACTATTATATTAACATTGATGATGCATTTATGAACATATTTAATATTCACTCACTTACAGGATAAAATCCATGTCCAATTCTTTTAGCTAGAGGTATAGATCCTTTATAATATTTCAATAACTATTTTTCTAATCTCATTGCATATCTTAGTCAGGAAGCTATAACAAAATATCAGAAAGGACTTAAATACAACAAAACTTCATTTCTCACATTTCAGGAGGCTGGGAAGACTAAGATTAAAGTACCAGCAATTTGTTGTGTGGTGAGGGTTCACATCCTCACAGAGAGTTGCATTCTCACTCTAACCTCACCTAGAAAAGTGATGAGAAGTCACTCTGGGTCGGGAAGGGCAGGGAGTGTCACTAATCCCAATCATGAGAGCTCTGCCCTCATGACCTAATCACCTCCCAAAGGCCTCACCTCCTAATACCATCAACTCGAGAGTGAGGATTTCAAGATACAAATTTGAAGAGATCACAATTATTCAGACCATAGCAATATCATATCACAACCCTTAAACATTGTGCAAGCTGGATTCACAACTCCCTCAAAGAAAAACAATGCTTTCTGTTTCTCAGGTCACATTCAAGCTTTTCTTTCTGCTCAAAATACCCAAGAATCGGCCTTTTAAGTTGTATCCCCATCATTCTAAATCCAATTTACATCTCAAACTTGCTAGGCTTTCTCCCACCCACTTCCAGCAAGTATGCATCTCCCATTCTCTCTGCTTTCTAATTTCTAAACATTTTGTCCATTCTTCATTCTAGCATGTTTCACAAGTTACTGTAGAGCTGTGAGTGTGTGTGCGTATGAATGAATGTGTTTGAGTGTTGTGTGTGAGTGAGTATTGTATGTGTGAGTGAGTCTGCATGTGTGTAATTTCCTGCTAGATGGTGAAATTCTATTTGACAGAGATTAATGTTTAATTATCTTTCCATCCCTAACAGTACTTGGAACTATGTATTGCCCAAAATGAACAATCAATAAATGCTATTGAATTGAGTATTTTCCTGCATTGAAAGAGGAAATGCCTCTAGGACTTCAGTATCAGAAACAAAATATTGCAGTTAGACATGTCCACTTAAAATAAAACTAAATGTTGTTTTGTGCATTATCTCATTATTCACATTAATTTCCTCATTTAAATTTAAGTATGCATATTACCTACAGTCTACAAGAAATTCTGTTACTCTTAGGAAAAAAAATCACCAGATAATAAACAGTTTTTTTCCTATAACAAGAATCTTCAAATATTTTCCAAGAAAAAATATTGTACAAATAAAGGGTTTCATGGATATAAGAGTTTTCGAAATATCAAGTTAAACAAAGCTGAACCATTGTCTTTTGCCACAGAATTTCAATATATATTTTAGTGCCTTGTGAATATCAAACATAGAAAAACAGTGTAAAGAATTCCCTAAGCATTCTGTTGCTCAGAAACCTTTTCTCCCAGAGCGTGTTGCATATTGATGGGATGGTGTCCAGTGAAGTATTTGGGAAACACTCTCCATGAGTAGTAATCTATTTTAACATGAATATAAATGTATTGTAGAGACTACATAACTTTTGCAAGAGATAGAAATCTGAATTGCCAACATACACAAAAATAAAAGCCTACCAAAAAATATCCTTCTCAAAAGTTACCAATTCAATTAAAATGGTATTTACTAATGGAGGCTATGTTAGCAGTTTTTTTAATATTAATGAGGTTATATCTATAGCATCAAAATCATTAAATGTTTGATTAAAATAGCACATACACACTTTTGCAGAACAAAACTGTGACTGAACTATTCTCATAAACAAGCATTTTGGGAATGACATTTTGATTTCATGCAACCAAGCCTTCAAGATCAGAAGAAGTTATTGAACAATCTGAAATCACTTAATTTTTAAGGATTTAATTTTTATCCATTAAAAATCCTTTGCTTTACACAGACTTCAAGTCTGTTTATAAATATCAGTCTTGGTGAAGTTTGCATAATATTTTTATTTTTTGTGAATCAGTTATACCCTAAAGTGTATCATATGGTAAATATGAGATTCTTGGGCAGAGATCAAGCATGAGATAATTGGGCAAAGAGACAATTAATTATTGCTATTCCAAATACTGTTTGATTTGGCAGTAATAGTGATGTAAACATTGTCTTACTATTGTTTACTATAAACTGCTGAGTATTCTTATGAATATGTAATTTATATTACATGCTGGGGAAAAGTTATATTAATCCAGAATAACTTAAAACTTTCTATTGATTGAAGGCACTTGAACTTTGACTATGGTGTTTATTACCTATTATCTTAATTCTAAAATTAATCTCTAAAAGTACCCACCTTTGGTTTACTGTTTAGGCATCATAAAGACAACAATATAATTAACTGAGACTAAAACTAGCTTATGAAATAAAAACTACATGTAGTAAACATTTTTTAGAAATCTTCCTAGCCCATGAGCCGTTATTAGTGGAGTTAAGATCCAACAGTCACGCATTTAAGTTGTCTCAATCATAAGATACATGATCCAGGCTGAGCGGGTCCTTCTTATTTTAGTTGGGACAAGAACAGGATACTGAAAAATGGGCACTCATTAAGTATCCATGTGCGACTATGTACCAGGCTCTACGTGTAACTGAAATGTAACATTTTCACTCAATAGCTAAAGACACCATATTATTCCATTCATTGGTCATGACTAAAGAAAAAGTGAACAGTGAAGGAAATAAGTAAATATTCAAAGAGAAACGAGAGAGAGAGATTGAGAGAGAGAGAGAGAAAGAGAGAGAGAGAGAGAGAATGCCTAAGTTTACGATGACTTCGATATTCTTTTTTCAGGTGTTTCTTCAGGCCTATCTGCATTTCTGAGTTTTCATGCTTTGAGCTAGTCACGTATTATGTTTTGGATAAATAAATAAATAAGTATACTTTATTTTTAAGCTTCTTCATGTATTATGTTTTGGACAAATAAATAAATATCCTTTATTTTTAAGCTTGTTCAAGTAGATTTCTATTACTCTCCAACTCAAAGTTTCAAATAACACAGTCATAGAACTAACTTTAGTATAATTGTCTAAAGAGCAAAGTCCAATCAAAGACCACCAGGAACACACCTGTGGCTGATTAAGTTGTGTTTACTGCACATGCAGGGAGAAAGGATGCTCATCATGGGGACTGTGGAGAACTGCAGTAGAGGTTGGTAGAACACACTCAGTACAGGATGTGGACTTGTGATTTTAGGGGAGACCTTAAGTAGCAGAATGTTGGCTTGGAGGCTGTGCAGGGAGCTAATTTTGTGACTGGGTATTTTAATAAATCTTACCTAGATGGTGAGGAGACTAGGCTGAAGATGTCATTGGTAAAGAAGTAGTAGCCATTAGACAGTTTTGGTCATTTTTGTGATATGGACAATGTCTACGTTTTTTATGTATTCTCATATGATTATTGAGTGGCCCTGTTTTTTCTCTATCCATCATTATCACAGTCATGGCCTTGCCTGATGTTAATGTTCTATGAATTGTTTATGTTCAACAGGGTGATACCAAGCTCAGCTAATAGAACCAGGCAAGTTTCTAATGATAGGTGCTTCTTCCTCTTTGTCACTATAAGTAAGGTGATAGTGGTTTCACTTTATTATTAATCTCTCCTCACTGAGAGATTAGTGACACTATATTTGCCCCAGCTCAACTGGGTTGTCTTCCAGATTGTGTGGGTTTTAAACTGATCTTCTGTGTAATCTATGCTTACCTTATTCCACACCACCAGCACAACAGTGGGCATTTTCCTGTGTCAAAAAAAAATGTACTAGTAATAACTAAAGTGTCAGTCTCCAAATTGTGCTAAAATTAAAACATCAAATGCACCATCTTCATCCAGTGTATTTCTAAGCTCTAAAGCTTGTTCCTATTTGCACAGCTTTTTGCAATGCTGAAATAGCCAATGTTTGCTCTAAGACAAGCCTGTCATCATTGCCAGCTCTATCCTATTAATACCCAGGATACCCACTCATTTTCCTCTCTTTCTTTGTTCAGTGGAACATCTGGCAGAACTTCTATGTGGTAGGAAAAAAATGGTCTTTGTATCCCCCTATTCTTTTAGGGAAAAAATTTACCTCCCAGTTTGAAAACAACTTCCAAATTCAGAAACTAATGGAGAAAGCATCCACAATGGAACAGCTGTATGGTTTCACGACATTTTCTATGCAACGCTATCCCTTGCTATAGTAATCTGAGGCTTTCATACTTAATTGCTTAATAAATTACTTTTTATTATGTTACACTTTTATAAAGATGATTTAAGCACTACTTGAATATCTAAGGGAAAACTAAAGAGCAGGGACTACTTACCTCTACAGGGATCTAGGCTGACTACTAACAGGCCTGAATTAGCACTATTGCCAAAAACACATTTCTGAAGAGTTTTAACATCAGGATGACTGAGTTAAAACATTGACTCTTTCCCTTACAATATGTGTGACTTTGGTCGAGTTACTTTATCTCTCTGCCATAGTTTCCTTATGTATAAAATGGAGAGAAGAATGGAATGTATCTCAGAGGGTTCACGTGATGACTAAAAAGGAAAATGTACATAAGGAATTTATGCTCCTGGGCCATTATATGTCCTCAATAATACACACACATTTTTTTTTCACATGAAATACTCAAACCGCTTAGTGAATAAAATGTATGCCTTTTGTGGAAAGCATTTATAAAAATAATAAAATGATGAGCTCATACTATAAGATAAATATCTATTAATAGTAAAAATTTTTCCTCAATTTACAAAACACAGATATTCTTCACCTATTCATTTCCTGACCATCTAGTCCATATTAAGTTCTAGGGATACCAAAGATAAGAGCACACATCTTTGATATTAAGTAGTCATTTTACAAAAGAACAGGTATTCATAGGTTTAGTATTACTACATAGGCTTACATTGCTGCTTAAGCATTTGAAATTGCAGATTCTAAAGAAAAACAGTAATACCATGGCCTGCCTGGGGTTATTCAAGAACAGACATATTTTTGACAAACTCCACTTTTTCCACACTAGTATGAAACAGGTCTTTTTTGATTAGGACTGAATATATGCTACTCTAGGTGCAAGAAGCAATGAAAAAGTATACTTGTCTATGAGTAGGGACTGTAATCACTCAATCAGTGTTTTTTCTTTCAGAAAGTTGCTTCCATAGCATAGGAAAAAAAGTTGCCAAAATAAATCAAGCAGATAAAATATTGAAATACATTAAACTGTAAAAGAGAGTAAGACTAGGTATTGCACTTTCCAAAATATATTATCACTTATTATTTATGTTTTTTATGAATTCTCTTTTGTTATTCAAAGTACAATGACTATTGGTATGCCTCCAGCAAAAAATAGCAAATATCAGGCAGATAAGTGACAAATAAGATGACAACCCAAACAGAAAAAAATGCTTGTAGTTATGATTGTGCCTAATGTTTGAAATAAACATATTATACTAGAACTGATGTGATATTTTCTCTTTTTAAAAAATGTACTTTTCAAATGGAAATCATGTTACAATATCCATAAGTAAATACTACAATGAAAAAATGCAAAATCTTAGAAATATTATCTAACATATCAGTGAGTAAAATATGGTTACTATTTTAAAGTATCATTTATTAATTATATCTCATGATATACATCAAAAATGCCTCAGTTACCTTTAGATTACAAAATTGAATTATTTTATTATTTTATAAGATCTGAATAGTAACCTAATAAATTTTTCAAGAAGCTTTAATATACCTAGTGACATTTTCTAATGAAATAGTATCCCTTATAGCTAGCATGTATTAAGTACTTGCCATGGGTCAGGCACTGTGCTAAATGCTTTACATATATCATATAATTTTTTGCTCAAGAACGAACATTGTGAAATATATTTCTTAACCACAGTTTCACAGTTGAGGAACTGAATCTCAGAGAGGTCAATTAATTTGCCCAAGATCACATGAGTAGTAGGTGGTACATCTTTTGAAACCCAAAGCTCCAGCTCTTAATCGCTAAGCTGTAATGACTCTCCTTGGCAGCCTTATGCTGAATACTTAGTATACGCCAAGACCTCCATTGTCTTATTAACTGTGTACAACAACTATGTAGGGGTAGATAGCTATACATTTTCAAAATGAGCAAACAGAGCCAATGGTCACAATGTTAGTAAGTGTATTAGTCTGTTCTCAGGCTGCTAATAAAGACATACCCTAGACTGGGTAACTTATAAAGAAAAGAGGTTTAATTGACTCACAGTTCTGCAGGGCTGGGGAGGCCTCAGGAAACTTACAATCATGGCAGAAGGGGCAGCAAACACGTCCTTCTTCACATGGCAGCAGCAAGGAGAAGTGCAGTGCAAACTGGTGAAAAAGGCCTTTATAAAACCATCAGATCGCATGAGAACTCACTTACTATCACAAGAACAGCATGGAATTAACAGCCCCCAATATTCAATTACCTCCCACTGGGTTCCTCACACGACATGTGGGGATTATGGAATCTACAGTTCAAGATGAGATTTGGATGGTGACACAGCCAAACCATATCAGTAAGGTAAGTATGTTAATGGCAAAATCAAGATCTAAATTTAAGATTGTCTAAATCTAAAGCCATGTTTTTAATCTGCAAGTCATACTAATTGGCATACCTGCCTAAAAGAAGACAAAATCATTGTTTATAAATGTGACACATAAATATTGTATGTATATTATCATTCAGACTAGCACTGCCCTAATAATTGATAATATATTTTAAAATCAGTTAGTATACTTATTACTATCATTATTATATATTTTTCCATTCAACCTGAGAAGAAATCTTGTACAAATGCTTACCAAGTTCTTTGGGAATACCTCAAGGGTGCTGAACTGCATTTTCTGAAACAGACTTGAATATTTAAATGCAGTGTCAATAAATGCAGTTTGAAAATGTAATGGGAAAATTTAAAGTAGAGAAAATAAGATTATGTATTTCTGGCCTCAGTGGAGACACTTTATCACATTCCTAGAGCAAATGAGAAATTGCTACAAAAAAATACTATCATCTCTAACAGTCTACACTGTTCATAGATTTAGTTGTCAATAGTGGGAGTGCAATCGAAGCTCTTTAAAACAAAGACTGAAAGAATATTAACATAATGGAATGCTAGTAAGTTGATTGTTACTTACCCTTGATTTTTCAACTTGCCTTATCACAGGTATTTCCACTAAGCTGCCTATGATTTTAAAGTTGCAGGACAGATATATCTGTCCACAAATTGTATTTAACAAACAAAAGTGTACAACAAATTTTGTAGCAATAGGGAAACCTGTGAACTAGGAGAAATAGTGCCCCATACCCTTTTTTCATGAGCCCTTCCCTCACCCACATCATCTTCATGCTTCCTCATCGACAGAAGAAGGTGTACAAGTACAAGCAATAGTATGTGCCAACAAGGAAGGACAAAGCATTGAGCCAGCATTACCCAGGTAAACCAAATGTACCATAGAAAATATAAATGATGTTCAGAAGGAGCACTTAAAAAGAGAATAACTTTAATAATGAATTAAGAGCTCAAGAAAAAAGAATATATGGAAGACAATATGAAAACCATTTAAGCTCTGAAAGCCTAACTCCCCATGGAAGAAAGGTGAAGGAATATTAACGTAATGGAATGATAATTTTATTATTGCTCACAGTTTATTTACTTTCCATTTATAACATCACAGATGTTCCCACTAAGCTGCCTGTTATTTTAACTTGCAGGACAAAGTGCCCCCGCCTATAATTTCATTTAGTAAGCTTACTTTATCTGTGAGCTTTTGTACTTAAATGTTACAGATGAAGCAGTTGGGAATAGACTATAACCTCTCTCCTCCACTCTCAATTCCAAATTGACAAGAATAGAATAATAACTGTTCCTGTTTGAAAGTTCAGGTGCTCTCTCCTAAACTAAACAAAAGTGGCCAAGGTCTAGATATTGTACAAATTGCCAGAAGTCATTTCTATAATCGCTTGAATGGGGAATTAATTCCCACTCACACCAAAAAAAAAAAAAAAAAAAAAAAAAAGCTGAAGAAAACATAACGTTTGTTCTTTACATATGATCAAAACAAGATTTCCATCTAACTATTTCCCTCAAGGTACACTTTGAGAAGTAAAAATTGTGGTTGACATCTTCTAAGGAGATCCTCCCAAATTTTATTCCTCCCTTCTTCGAGCTGCCACTGTAGCCAGCAGCTCTGCGTGAGCTGTGGTCCCCCTCACACAGGCATATCATGACCACAGCTTTCTTCTTGCCTGTGCCATATGCTCCTTGTGCTTTGCCCTGGTACTCCCTTGTTGAGGACTCAGTGATATTGTATTCTTCCAAACTCCTATAGATGAACGCAAAAGGGAGGGGAATTTACCACTCTGTAAAGCACACCATTGTCCAGGGGCAGTTAGAAGTGAGTGGATACACTCTTGCTTTTTCACCCTCCCAGAGGACTTTCCTGAGACACATGTGTATGGCTTCTTATTAAATGGTCCAACAATATCAAATAGACTTACATAGTAGAAATCAGCTCAATAGAACATCTTCATGTTGACTCTCTCTCCAGACCTATTACTCTCCTTGTCCCTCAGTTATACTCCCTGGGCTTGCACTCCTTAATTAAGTAAAAATCATAAGCCTTTGTCTCAGGCTCTGCTTAGTTTGGGGAAATCGGACTAAGTCAAAAGGAGATAAGGTTCTTTAATTCATTGATTCATTCACTGAGTGAAGAATACAAGCTAAGAAAATGAAGAAGTAGCTTTCACATGCTTCACGTATTGCTTCAAAAAACATTCTTGAAGCAACTACTAAATTTCAAGAACTGTACTTAGTGCTGTGGATACAGTGATGCATAAGAAGACACTGCCTCTGCCTTCAAGTTCCTCTGCCTTACCATCCCTTTGGAAAGACATAAAAATCAAATAAAGAAACAAATAATAAGAAATTCTGATAAGTGCTAAGAAGGTAATAAACCAGCATTCTGAGATAAAAAATAGATACAGAAGAGACTTTTTTCGATAGTGCTGCATTGGGGGATGTTTAACAGAATTTTTAGGTGCAAGCAACAGAAGCTGACTCTAGCTGGTTGCCAGAAAATATTGGAAGTATATCAGGTAGCTTGCAACGTTGTTGGGAGGAACAGGCTCTGACACAAACTTCCAGTACACCACTTAAAACCGCACAATAGAACTGGCCTGATGAAATAGCTGCTGATGTTTCTTTTGATCCACCACAACCAGAGTGAATCATCTTTGGTGTCCACCAATGTCACTTTGGTATCTTGACTTTCCAAACCCTGGAAAACTGCTGCAACTTCCACCATGTTCACCAAAGTCAGACATCTCTATAGCTGTCAGTGATGGGCAAAAGGGAAGCACCACTCAAAGCATTTGGAAGCTTATTGGGACTGTGCCTGATTGGTGGGCCTTGCTCATCTGTCTGCTTCCTAATGCATGGGAACCTGGGATTTTTTGAGTTTTGATTTATGTTGTGCAGGTGGAACTTACGACAAGAAGTATTCCCTTGAGTACAGAAAAGGCAGCCATATAGGACAGATGCCCATAAGGAGAGTTACAAACACCTTGGGGAAGAAAGGAGTTACAGAGTAAGGAATTAGTAGGCTATACCCCGATAGGGACAGGAATATAATAGGGTTACATTAAAGAGATGATGTAGCTGGATCATAGAGGACAAGGGCAAAAATGTCACGTGATGAGTTTGGAAAGCTGGGCAGGGCCACATCAGGCAGACCTCACCTTTAAATACCCTTTAAACATTGTCTCTGTCTAGCTACTCTCAATTCTGACTGTTTTCAGTAGTGAAATAATTTGGAGTCTCCATAAACCACAGCTGTGAACTTGGAAACTCATTTTCTCTGCATCGTAAGGAGTTCAGGCACTCAATAAATATTCACGGAGAATGAATGGAAGGCACAAAAAAATGAGTTTTCATATAAAGGTTTAGGTTTTAAAATTGGAATATTTTAATAAGGGCTGACCATTTTCATTTGGATGCTAATATTCTGAAAATTCAGAGTATGTGACTAATAATCATGTTCTCTATTTATGATATTTTGAAAAATAGAACTACAAAATATTTTAGTGCATTTCATTTTTAGGTAAACTATAACCATATGCATATTTTCCTGAATTGCAATATAAATCTACAAATAATTATTTATGGAACTGAAAAATTTGCTAAAGAGTTTCTGTATACATTCATTTTTATATCCCCCTAAATTAGATTTTAAACACTCTTTTCAGAAACTCAATCTTGGGCAATATTTAAGGACAAATACTACGTCACCTTAAGGCATTGGAACTATTAATATGTACTGTGTGAGATAGCTCTATGACATCATAAAGCTATTTTATATAATATGTATTAATACCTACAACCTTTTATTCTCTATCTGAAATGTCACATAGTATAGAAGCATATACATTGTTTACATTGGGAAGAAATCTGTGCTTTTTTACATAGCAAATAATAAACTTAATTTGAAATTCTGCTAACTGTTACATATTTTCTGAGTTTATGGTAAGAGATTACTTCAATAATAATGATTAGTATTAACCAAGCAATAGCATACAACAGCATGGTAGCATAAGATATTACGTTTGCTCCTCACATCAGTAAGGCAGTTATAATTTCCATTTTAGAGATAAGAAAATGATGGTTCACAGAGGGTTACTAACCTTCCAAATAGTGTCAATCTAAAATCACAAAACAATGTCACATAGCTACATGGAATACATGGGGTAAGGGATTCCAACCAGGTCCTTGATCAATGAGTCTGATGCTCCTGTTTATTTTTCCACTATACAACCAGATTATGAGCATTCTTTAATAAACATCTCTGCTAGTTTGAAAATAGTAAAATAACTTCATAAATAGCTACTTTATAACTACTCATAGTAACAAGGCCATTCTGAGTCATGTTTTAACCAAATCTATATTGAAGGTTGTTTTCCCCATTTTTCTTCACATCTGATGGAGAAATAGTCACACAGAGCAAAGGAATTCATTCTCACTCAGGAATTTTCCTGGGTGAAAAGAACAGTCAAGTGTAAAGTTGCCTCGAAGGCAGAGCTCCTTCATGTCTCTCCTAGGAAAATCCCCAGGAGACAGAGCACATGCCCAAAAAGTCATTCCAGGTACTGAGATGCCATGCATTGCCACACATTGTTAGATGCCACATATTGTCACTTGATATGACATATTGTATCATTGATTCTAATATGAAACTGTATCATTTACAAAATGATGAGCAAGGCTCAACCCCAAAAGCATAATCCTCACTATGTCTAGATCTTTCACAGAGAAGCAGGGACAGTATTAAGAGAAAAGAGTGGTATTTACTAACTAAGCCACATCATATGCCAGCACAGTGACGTGAGACATCAATCATATTCACTGCTCACATTGGACAATGTGGTAAAGACCTCCTTCCACTGGGTGATACAAGGGGAGAACTATTCAGAGAAGGTATTCATAATCTAGGGCTATATGTCGAACAGATGTAAGTGTGGCAAGAAATTGTTAGCTATACAACCTTGCTTTCTTAAGTTCCTATATTTCTCTTGAATCTAACCCTTAACCATCTATCACACTACTTGCCTCTGGCTGGGAGTCCCCCAGAAGGTTTCTCATGTGTGTTCCCAGATATTATTTTTCTGCAGCTGTTAAAATAATAATGAGGTTCTTTGTACTTCTTAATGTGCTGAAACGACAAAGGTGTTGTGTGTTAATAAACAACACTTGAGACAATCAAGTTCCATCAAGCAGCAAGCTCTTGAGAATTTCTCAATGATACATTATAAAAATTGAGAAGAAAGCACCTACATTCCTTTCTGAATTAAGAGGATCTACATTTTTTATTGTCTTCTAGTTCTGTTTAATTACCAGAATGTCCTGGTTTCCTTATAATTTATATTTGTATTAGATTTTTTGAGTCATGTATAAAGGTATTATCACCATTTCTTCCATATGTCACCAGGGAAGCTATTTCATCTTGGTCTTCAATTTTGTAGATCTGCAAGTCTGATGTGATTAGTTCACCCAGAGGACAAACTCATGCCAACAAAATTAGCAAATACTACATTCTAAATTAAATGCCAATCTATTAACTTTCTAATAGAGCATATTTATTATCTAGGGACATAAATATGAATATGTGTAGCATACCATGAATGGACATTTTCAGTCATTTTGATTTATGATTATGCCTTTATCAATATCTCTATTTTCCCAGTAATATCAGTGTTCAAGAAACTTGGCTTTCCCTACTTTATTAGTAAAAAGGGTTATAACACAAAATATGCTTACCAAAGTCATTTAAGCCACATATAATGGAAAAATGCCAACATTTATTTGATGATTGATTGACAGATGACAACGTTTCTGATGTTTTCGTCTCATTGAAATGATGGAGATGGACACAAAAAATTGCATAGAGAGCATAAATCACTTTCTTCATTTGTGATCTTTCAGCAATTATATTAAAGAATCAATGTAGACACTCAGGCAACTGAACCACATCTGTCTTTCAAAAGTCCTCAGATGAGAAGCCAGAGTGACTTCTGCCTCAACTAGCATTCAAAATGAATTATTAATATTATTTCTACTGAAACAAGTCATATTTTGAATAAAGGAAAGAAAAGTTGAAAGAAAAAAATAAGAGAATGAAGTAAAGGGATTTTTAGTGATTTTTAGATTTCAACCTACCTTCACATCATTACACATTTTCTACTTCCAACAAATAAAATATTTCCTCTTCAATCTCATCAAGAAAGTATAACATACCACCTCACATATTTAATTCCAAAATTAATGTTTTTAAAGGGTAAATGTCATAAAAGTAAAGTATAATATCATAGCTTATAATCGTCTCACCATTTGGGTTATAGTCTTCATCAAAGCATTAATAATCAAAAGCAAAGGTAAGAATCATCCAGAACTAAGAGGTCTACTATAGTCTTTTTGGGTCTGCTTTCTACATAGTTTCTACAGGTTTTCTTCCTTATTACCTTTTTTTATTTAGGATTATTTTAAGGTATTTTTTATTCTCTGGTCATCCGTAAGAATGAAATGGCTGATACAAAGTATATCAGGTTTTATAGCACGCACGGGAAAAATAGAGGCTTAAATACAACGAAGACTTGAATGTAACTAATGAAAAAGTAAAACAAACATCCAGATAAGTATTTTAGAAGATAAATGCAAATGACTTATATCATCATCTTATAATAAACTCATTATGTATATAAGTAGTTCTTTTATCATTTACATGTTTTTAATTGCAAATCTTGTTTCTTGTCTCCAGTATTCTACCGAACATTATTCAAAACTAGGCATAATTATTCTTTTCTTTATTTTATAAAATATACCTGCTATTATTGACTTAGTTGAATATCTGTAAGATACAAAGCAGTGTATTGAATACCCAGAGAATAACTGCTATTTCTTAGACTAAGATGGATTTATCTATTCAGGACATAGGCATGGGCAAGGACTTCATGTCTAAAACACCAAAAGCAATGGCAACAAAAGCCAAAATTGACAAATGGGATCTAATTAAACTGAAGAGCTTCTGCACAGCAAAAGAAACTACCATCAGAGTGAACAGGCAACCTACAAAATGGGAGAAAATTTTCGCAACCTACTCATCTGACAAAGGGCTAATATCCAGAATCTACAATGAACTCAAACAAATTTACAAGAAAAAAACAAACAACCCCATCAAAAAGTGGGCAAAGGACATGAACAGACACTTCTCAAAAGAAGACATTTATGCAGCCAAAAAACACATGAAAAAATGCTCACCATCACTGGCCATCAGAGAAATGCAAATCCAAACCACAATGAGATACCATCTCACACCAGTTAGAATGGCAATCATTAAAAAGTCAGGAAACAACAGGTGCTGGAGAGGATGTGGAGAAATAGGAACACTTTTACACTGTCAGTGGGACTGTAAACTAGTTCAACCATTGTGGAAGTCAGTGTGGCGATTCCTCAGGGATCTAGAACCAGAAATACCATTTGACCCAGCCATCCCATTACTGGGTATATACCCAAAGGACTATAAATCATGCTGCTATAAAGACACATGCACACGTATGTTTACTGCAGCACTATTCACAATAGCAAAGACTTGGAACCAACCCAAATGTCCAACAATGATAGACTGGATTAAGAAAATGTGGCACATATACACCATGGAATACTATGCAGCCATAAAAAATGATGAGTTCATGTCCTTTGTAGGGACATGGATGAAATTGGAAATCATCATTCTCAGTAAACTATCGCAAGAACAAAAAACAACACCGCATATTCTCACTCATAGGTGGGAACTGAACAATGAGAACACGTGGACACAGGAAGGGGAATATCACACTCTGGGGACTGTGGTGGGGTGGGGGGAGGGGGGAGGGATAGCATCGGGAGATATACCTAATGCTAGATGACAAGTTAGTGGGTGCAGCGCACCAGCATGGCACATGTATACATATGTAACTAACCTGCACAATGTGCACATGTACCCTAAAACTTAAAGTATAATAAAAAAAAGGATTTATCATTAATTGGATGAATTGTCTCATAAATAGGTCCAAAAAATAGAGAATCAGCACTTTTGTGTAGGAAACTGGAGACTTTAAAGTCACAATTTTTAGTGTTTTTGAGTCTATACACTGGTGTGTCGAGGGTGGGATGTGAGCCTATGGCACCAAAGAAAGCTGGAGCTATCAGTTATGTCGCAGCTTTTCCTGGTTCTTTTATTTCATTCTCTACAAATGAATTCTGTCCTAAAACAAATTCCAAAATTATTTTCTATTTTAAAAAAATCACCAAAACAATCATGAATGCCATATTTTTCATAATAGGATAATAGCTAGTTCCATTTGGCAATCACTTTTCAACTCTCCTCTGACCCACATGTTTGTTGGAAATTAATTGATATGCATGTATATGTATGTTTGTGTATATATATGTATATATCTGTTATATCCTGAAGCTCTGTGGTCTGTGTTTCCTCCTGCTGCTTCTGCTACGTATTTCAGGCATTTTCAGCTAATCCACACAGGCCCAAGTGCTTAACTGGATACCAAGTCCTAGAGATAAGTTGCAGTATAACATGGGCCTTCTAATGTTTCCTAAATGAAATAATTTATTTGTTTGAATTCTACAAATCCTGGTGCAATGGTAGCCCAACAACCACTCCCTGAGCTCCACAACTCTCAGCCTGGGATCAGAGAGTTTGGGTTTTTATTGACAATTTTGGTTCTCCTGTTATATAATGCTTTGCAACTAATTCCTAGACATGTCATTCCCAGGAGAAGATTCTATCTACAGTCTAAGCAAGGTTTTTTCGGCATTTAAGCTGTGAGGAAATAGATTTTAGTTTGAGCACTGGGCTTTAGAAATAAGCTAACCTCAAATGTGTTCTATCTAGCTCCTACCTTATCTCTACCCCTGAATTGAATTCAATTGAATTTTAATTATTCCTGGATCATAGGCATTACATTTACATTTTGAAGATAAAATTGGGTTGGCTTTCTTTGGAGTTTAGCTTTTATATAACCAATCTTGGATGGTCTGATCATTAAGAATGACTCATATTTAGGTGAGTATATGATGAATATAAGCATTTGTTTTCCTTATCCTGAGAGTTCCCTTTGGGGATCAACATAGTAGAAATTATTTGGCATTAGTGCTTGTATAAATGTCTAATTGGAGGACTAAGACAGGAAAAGTACAAGATAAACCTGTACAATCTTATGATACCAGGAAGTTAGGAAATTTTTTAAAATCGTGGAGACACATCCAAAGGACACAGGAGTCAACTTGAAGGAGCTGTCAGTGGCCGAAGCTGGAACAATTACTGGAAACAAACAATGAGAGTAATATATTATAATCTGTAGAATTAAGCAACTATCCATGAGTCTATATCAATATAAGTAAATAATTGAATAAATAAATAAATAAATAAATGGGGGAAAGGAAAAGTTCTTCCTTACCGCAAAATTCCAATTAGTAAGTGTACAAGAAATGACAGAAATAGAAAGTTTACCATTTGTCAATACCATATTAATAATTGTTTTAGGCAAGAGTCTTCAATAGATGTTAAAATTAATTGGCAAAATTATGATGAGAGAGAATATTTACATAGTCTGCAAGTATATTGCCTTGGCATAAATACTAATTACAAAGAGAAGTGTAATAACAGTAACTCTACAGTGGAGAAACCCAGCAGGCACTACAGTAACCAAGTGATCAAAATTATCACAATGGGACTATTGGTACTACGTGTCTCCTGAGATAATGTGCTTAAAAAATTTCAACATCACTTCTTCATATTTTTACCAAAAATATATAACCTAAATTTAGTCTAGAAGAAACATCAGACAAATTCAAATTGAGGGCCATTTTACAAAATAACTGAACAATACTCTTCAAAAATGTCAAGGTGATGAAAGACAAAACAAGTTGAGGAACTGCCGCAGATTAAACAAGACTAAAGCAACAGCAATCAATGCAATGTGTGCTTCCAGATCGATGCCTGATGCCTGGGTCATATTCAGATCAGCGAGAAAGCTGCCAAGATTTGAATGAGATATGAAGATTAGCTAATAGTATTGCATCAATATTAATTTCCTAGTTTTGATCATTGTATTGTGGACATAAGATGAGAATATGTGGAAAATCTATTTGAAGTGTATGTAGGCATTATCTGATTATCTGCAAGTCTGAAACTATTTCAAAAATAAAAGTTAGAAAAATGTTAAAAATCATAAAATAAATTTTTGACTTTGAACATATTTACATCTTCCTGACTTTTTTTAGAGGCCGATTCAGGAAGGTTATCTGTTAGGTGGCTTCAGACTAGGCAAGAATTTCTAGCTACCATAATCTATTTTTACTTATCATTTGGACCATTGTAATGGTCTCCTAATAAAGGCAATCTCCACTCCATTCTTCATACCATAGCCAGAATGATATTTTCAAACCCCAACTATGAGCATGTTTCCTGCCTACATTAACTTCTAGTTTCTCTAAAGATTAAGATGCCATATGACAGGTAAGAGGGTCTTTTCAGTGATAGTTTCTCCTCCTACAGTGTGCTTCTTTCTTTTCTTTAACATATTAATTCTACTAATTATTCAGATACCAGCTTAAACCCTCTGATTTTCTCGACTTGGCCAAACACTTTTATCATAAACACCATAGCATATGGTTCTCTCCTTTTTCACATGTCAGTTATAATTTCATATGTTTCTGTGGTTGTTTGATTAATGTTTGTCATTCCCACTGCACTTCAAAATTCATGAGACCTTAATGGACATTGTGTCTCTAGCATTTAGCCCAAAGTAAAACATTCATTAAGTATTTGTGAATGAATGACATAAATAAGCCATATATGAAAGTATCTATATGTGACTCTTCCAAATAACTGAAATATGCTTTCCTAAAACTTATACATAAAAGAAAAAAGAGTATACCTTTGTTAATATTTTACCAAATAAACTTATGTTTTAAAGATATTAACTTCTGTGGCTCTTCTTGCTATAATACACATTTTCTGTGTCTAACAGATTTTGGAGTCACATGAAACAAGGTTTTTCTCTAAATAGTTAAGACAGAATATTGGCAGTTTTTATCTAATATCTTCACTGTTTTCAGATGGAATTTTAGTGAATTACTTGAAAAACAGATATTCTTATGTAGAATAACTTAAGTAGAAATAGAATGTCATAAAATAAAAGTACAAATTTATCAATAAAATGATCAACTTATTTGCTGTGATTGAAATTCTCATTTGTCTTAGAGTTTCCAAAGGATAGAGGCAAAGGGGAATATATTTCACACAAAGAAGGAGTCATATCATTTATTTAGAGAGTTCTATACTCACTTATTCTTGGTAAAGAAGCAATGACTGGTAAAGAAAGCAATGACTGGTAAATGGTAAAGAAGCAATAACTGCAAATTCTCTTATGATTCTTCCTCCAGCATAGTTCCAGCAAAGCTGGACTTGAATCCTATCTTTATTAAATAAAATAGTCTGTAAAATTTGAGCGATCACTTTGTATATGAGAACCATGTGAGGTCACAGTGAGAAGGTGGTCACCTACAAACCAGGAAAGGGACCCTCCTAAGGAATTGAATCTGCCAGCACCTTGATCTTGGATATCTAGCCTCCAAAACTGTGAGAAAATACATTTGTGTCATTGAAGCCACCCAGCTTGTGGCATTTTGTTATGCCAGTCATAGCTGACTAATTCAATGAGGAAAGTATTTGATTTGATTTTCATCTGTTCAGAGAGAACAATTTGAGAAAAACGAAATTCATGAGTTAAAATAAACTATAAATTAACCTGCGCTAGTAAGATAAGGAATTCAGTGAATACACTGTCCAGAACTTACAGTTAACATGTTAATTATCAAAAGACCTAACCTCTGCACTACTTGCTATTGAATATTTTAAGTGCCCTATATCTTCGTTTCAGGGCACCTGCTTTTGCTTTAGTTAGATATGAGACAGTGAAAGTAAATTCCCTCTGGTCTAATTAAAGGTATAGTTAATTTATCCCTTTTTTGCAACACAAATAACAAAGTTCTGATTAATCATCTCTAGAGCAAAAGTAAACACTCTGCTTCCTTTAATTAAAAATTAAATTTCTCTGGAGGGTTGATTACAGCAGGGAGTCAGGCTACGCCTCTGCTAAGGATGTGTTGTTTGCAGGACAATGTTAGAGACAGACCTTGGGGACTTGTGCATCAGTATAAACAAGAATATGCTCAGACATTCAATGAGGTATATCCACATTTTCATTCTCAACAGGGAAGGGGTGTAGAGAAAGAGGCCAAGGGGATGCTCAAGAATTTTGAAATTATTAAGGCCTGAGATTCCAGTTGCATTCATTATCCAGAGAACAGCTATTCAGGTAGCCCCACTAAAAGAAAAACCTAGTAAGTTGTTTTAAACATAAACAGCCATGCTGCATAGGCTCAATTTAAATGGTAAAGAGAGGTTTTATAATGGCATAATTACCGAACATTGTAGAATTACCTTAATATAACCGTATGCCATTATAAACAACTACTACATCAGGAGGAACATTGCATCTTCTAGTCCTTTGCCCATGTGTAACTCTTCACTTTCTATTTCTGAAGAAGACATAGTATCTCAGGTAAGGGAATACTAAAGATTTAATCTTTAAAGCAGAAATCAAAAGCTTTAATTGATTCAAGAACCAGGCAGATAACATAAAGGAGAAAACAGCCTTGTTATAAATAAAAATTGAGGGAAACTAGAGACTGTAATCCCCTGGAGAGCACTGATTTTCTTGGTTAGTGAGAGGTTGAGGGGGTCAGGGGCTCCCCAGCAACAGGCTATCCCCATTGTGCATGAGGGCAGGAAGGCACATCCAATTTAGCCTGATTTTTCAAAAGAAAGTGGATATCCATACTTTTAATATAAAATGTTTATTCTTTCATGTTTGTCTTAATGATTGTAAAACTATGTTTACAATAAACAAAGCACTCTGCACACCTTATTCAGCGAGAGTACCGCCCTCGCAGCTGTGATCTCTGCTTGAAAAACTAAAATTGAGCAATTTTTGGTTCTCCATTATAGAGGCAGCCTGATATAGTAGAGGGAATACTACACTAAGACTCTGGAGCCCCTGACTCCTGTGCTGTCACTGTCCCTGATTAGTAAGTATTTTCCAGATCCTAGTTGTACTATCATGAACCTTAGGGCCTTCGTCTAAACACTTGGTGGATTAAATGACATGGGTTCCACAGTTCCTTTCAGCATCACCATTCATTACATCTCAACAAGTTCAGGAAGAGAACTTCAAGGCCACATCATGCAGTTCTTCATCCAATGTTTGAAATATATTTATCAGGAAAGTGCTGGGGACTGAATGTGTGTGTCCCTTCAAAATTCATATGCTGAAACTCTGATCCCCAAGGTGATGGTATGTAGAGATGAGGCCTGTGGAAGGTAATTAGGATATGAGGATGGAGCCTCATGATGGGATTAGTGCCCTTATAAGAAGACAGAGAGAGCTTGCTTCCTCTCTCTGTTCTCTGTCATGTGAAAACACAGCAAGAATACAGCCATCTGCAAACCAAGAAGACAGTCCTCACCAGACCCCAGTCATGCTGGCCCACATCTCAGCCTTCTTAACCTCCAGAACTGTGAGAAGTAAACTTTTGTTTTTTAAGTCAACCATTCTATGGTATCTGGTTATAGCAGCCCAAAGAGACTAAGACAGCAGGCTTTATGGTCATGTAACCTGTACAGTCACACAGGGCTCATGCTTGCAAGGGTACTGTGCTTGATTTAATGCTCTGCTGTCACTGATTTTACATTTTTCATAATTTATATACCAGAGGCTGCACATTTTCATACTGGGCCTCACATACTGTACAGTCAGTCCTGACTGGTCTCTATTCTATAACTTATTCTATGATCTCTGTTTTACTCTATCTCTTTATTCTATGATTAGGACATTGTTTTATTTGTTGTGACCTTTTATCAATAGTTGTCTATTCATATCAATACACTTCATTTTCTCAACTATAATATGGATATAATAATAATGTCTAACCCAAAAATTTGTGAGAATTGAATGAGCTATGGAAAATAAAATACCTAACATATTTCTTGGGACACAGTAGATGTTGAAAAATATTCTGTAGTCTCTCCTTACTTCCTCCTAAATCAACAACTTTTTCCTAAAAACATCAGGAAGAATCATCTCCTAAGCTAAACTATTAGTAATTTGAAGAAAACGTTGCTCTAATTTTTCCTACAATTGTTAACATGATATAAAGTAGCTGAATTCATGAAGAATCAAGGAATAAGATATCTAATAATTTGAGTTAAGGAATTTACTTCTCTGAATTCAGTTTAAATAAATAAAAGTACAGTTGACTCTTGAATAATTTGAGTTTGAAATGCACAGGTCCACTTACACACAGATTTTTTTTCAAGCAAACGTGGATGGAAAATATTATATTCAGGGGGTGTGAAGCCTATGTATAGGGAAGACTTATTTTCCTGCACAGAGGTTTCTTAGGGCCAACTGAGAGACTGAAATATGCTCGGATTTTGGTATGCAGAATTCCTTCAACCAATGCCCCAGGCATACTGAGGAATGACTGTAATGTACATATGCTTCCAAAATAATAAATGAATTTCATAAAAATATGCAGATTGTTGGAATTACATTTTATCATTTTATTAGAAGTACATTTTGTCTTTAAAAATTATTGAAAACTATTTATGCCTTTAGCAAATATTACAGTATTCCAGGAACTGATATATAGAATCTCTTATTCCTCACTAGAATGCACTAAAACAATCCCTGTTTACAGAAAATTTGCCTTTTAATATTTTTGTGCTATGATAGTTTGCTTTCAAAGTGCTGGAGAAATTACCAAGAAAGTCGTATTTCTCAGTGAAGCAGAATTTTATAGATATTTCAATATAAGAATTTCTTTTTATAGTGAAAGGCATAATAATCATTTCACTAAATAATCCCTTTCACTTACAAAACATTTTTCAGTTTGCAATCTGCTTTCACTTATGAAGTTTAAGTCTTATTAGTATGCCACTATGTATGTATAGCAATAATTATTTTCACATGCAGTTTGAAATTTTATCTTTCTAATGCAGAGAAAGAACCTGGGGTTGGAAAGGTTTTTAGTCAGCTTTTTGCAATGATCTTTTACTTACCATTCTAATTTCCTATGGCTGATTCAGATCACTTGACATATAAACACTGCAGCAGCCTACAAGATGATCTCTATCACTCCAGTCCACTTTTCAACTTACTGCAAACTTCTTGAGTCCATACTTTTAGGAGTTAACTATGTTCACAATAACACTACATAACAAATGCCCAATATATCAGCAGATTTAAATATATGCATTTATTAGCTCATAAGCCTACAGGCCATCTAAGGATTTGGTTGACCTAAGCTGGATTCATATGTGTGGTTTTACTAGTCTCAGCTGGGCTCCCTGGTAGGTGAATTGTCAGCTAGGAGATTACCGATCTTGGCTGGGTCAGTTTGGTTTGATGGTGGTTCTGTTCAATTTGTATCTCATCTTCCTCTTGAAACCAATGTGTTTGCAAAAGTATGTTTTTCTTTTGCTTTTTTCATTTCTTTTTTTGAGACAAAATCTCACTCTGTCACCCAGACTGATGGTGCAGTGGCATAATCTCAGCTCTCTGCAACCTCTGCCTCCCACCTCAGGTTCCCGAGTAGCTGGGACTACAGGAACATGCCACCATACCCAGCTAATTTTTGTATTTTTGTAGAGATGGGGTTTCACCATGTCGCCCAGGCTAAACTCAAACTCCTGAGGTCAAGCGATCCACCCACCTTGGCTAGGGTTGCAGGTGTAAGCCATCATGCCTGGCATGTTTTTCTAATAGTGATAGCAAAAGTGAAATCAAGCAAATAGGGGTATAAAATATCACATAATGCCTGGGCCTGGAACAAACATATAGTCACCTTTACCTCCTTTCACTGGCCAAAAGAAATCATATAGCCAAACGTGGTATCAGGAGGCAGAAAAACAAAGCCAGTCCGCAGCATGGGATTTGTTGTACAGATCATTTCATCACTCAGGTATTAAGCTCAGTATCCACTAGTTATTTTTCCTGATCCTCTCTTTCCTCCAAGTATGTTGCTCCCCTCTCTGTGTCCATGTCTTCACATCATCTAGCTCCCACTTATAAGTGAGAACATGCAGTATTTGGCTTTTTTGTTCCTGTGTTAGTTTGCTAGGGATAATGGCCTCCAGCTCCATCCATGTTCCTGCAAAGGACATGATCTCATTCTTTTTTATGGCTGCATAGTATTCCATGATCTATATGTACCACATTTTCTTTATCCAGTGTAATATTGATAGGCATTTAGGCTGATTCTATGTCTTTGTTTGTGAATAGGGCTGCAATTAACATATGTGTACATGTGACTTTATAATAGAATGATTTATGTGCCTTTGGATATATATATCCAGTAATGGAATTGCTGGGTTAAATGGTATTTCAAATAAAATTAAACATAAACCAGTTATTTTAACCTGAATAAACTAGCATGAATGATAATATTCATTTCTTTTATAACTTATCCCAGAAGACTTTCATAGAACACAATAGTTAGCTTCTAGTTTCAAACATATATGAAGTACATCAGAATTTACAGCTTAAAAGTCTATGTTGTGTTTCCTATAGAATTCAGAAAGAATTGGACACATATGGAGAAATGATGAGAGGGGTCTAGCACAATTCCATTTTTGTGGGCCTTCAGGAGAAAAACAATGAAATACAGGGACAGTATAAGTGGCACATGAATTGAGTCATGGATTAGAATTTCGAACTCCCATGAGGGCACTATATAATATATATATATACACATACATATATATATGTATGTGTGTGTGTATAATATCTATTTATATATATATACTGAATTACATATAAATAATTCAAAGCTAATTTGACTTAATTTTTAAAATATTTGCTTTTTAATCATCTTTGTTTGGATTTAATAAATAGCATTTCTTTTCGTTCATAGTGTTTGATTAACAAAGAAAGTACTGCAAGAAGATACAAATGAAAAAGTAGAAAATCAGTGTCCCCATGGGAGTTCAAAATTCTAATCCATGACTCAATTCATGTGCCACTCACACTGTACCCATACTTCAATGTTTCTCCTGAAGGTCCACAAAAATGGAAAAGTGGGAAATCTTCATCAGAAACACCAGCCCTATCAGACTGTGGGACCATGTTTAAGTTATTTAACATTTTTGAAGCTCTATCTCCTCATCCTACTTTTGGGAGAACTACATGCAACATATGTTAATTACCTCAGGTAATATTTAACAAACAATAGATACTAAATATTGATTTCTCCACATTTTCAAGGAACAAGTTTGGTCTGTATTATTGTTTCTAATTAAGAAATTACTCAAATCTTGGCCTTTGAAATCTGGTATAGATTTGAACTTCCTGAGCATTTAGCCAGTGATATCATTGCATTATATAGCATAGTTGTGGAAATAGTGACATGATAAACAAATGTATCAAAATGTTTTACACAGTGAAAAGTTGAAAGAGTAACATGAAATCATTTAAAATCAGACTAGAAAAAAAAAACACTAAACTTCTATTGTGTCGTATAAGAAGAAAAGTAAAAGCCTTTGAGGAGTTACATCCCCCTCAAAGCCAGTATGTGTCTTACACATGGTACTGTCTCCTTTGATGGCCTGTATACTGCCCTGTTCAAAATTATTTTAAGAAGGCCAGGTGCAACGGCTTATGCCTGTAATCCCAGCACTCTGGGAGGCTGAGGCTGGCAGATTGCATGAGCTCAGGAGTTCGAGACCAGCCTGGCCAACATGGTGAAACTCCGTCTCTACTAAAAATACAAAAAAAAGTTAGCATGGTGGTGAGCCTCTGTAGTCCCAGATACCTGGGAGGGTGAGGCACAAGAATGGCTTGAACCCTAGAGGCAGAGGCTGCAGCGAGCCGAGATAATGCCACTGCACTCCAGCCTGGGCAACAGAGCGAGACTCTGTTTCCAAAACAAAACAAAACAAAACAAAAACAGAAACAAAACCATTATAAGGAGAAATTGTTCTAAAACATGCATTCAATATAAGAAACAGAGAAAATGTTTCATCTATGGTATTTTTAATAAAAGTTTCACAAAATTTAAAAGTAAATATGCTCTAATTACAACAAATTCAAAAAGGTGCTAAGAAAATAAGAAAAAAATCAAATGTCCCATCAGGCAAACACAATCACAATTTTTTTTTTTTTTTTTTTTTTTTTTGGATGGGGTGGCAAGGGGCAGGGAAGCAGACAGCAGGGCAGTAACAGCTTTATTGCTGTTATAATTGCTGATATAATCCACACGCCCATTTAATCCATCCATTTAAAGAGTATAATTGGCCAGGCATGGTGGCTCACACCTGTAATCCCAGCATTTTGGGAGGTGGGGCGGGCAGATCACTTGAGGTCAGGAGTTTGAGATCAGCCTGGCCAACATGGTGAAACCATCTCTCTACTAAAAATACAAAAATTAGCCAGGCATGGTGGCAGGCACCTGTAGTCTCAGCTACTCATGAGGCTGAGGCAGGAGAATAGCTTGAACCAGTGACAGGTTGCAGTGAGCTGAAATCACGCCACTGCATTCCAGCCTGGGCGACAGAGAGAGACTCCATCTCAAAGAAAAAAAAGAAGAAACCCTATAACTAGTAATAGCCACTCCTCTTTTCCCCAAACTCCCTTCCCAGCCTCTGGCAACCACTAATCTAGTTATCTCCTTATGGAAAATCACTATCAAGACTATAGATATCCTATTAATTTGATAGACTTTTCTAGCAAGTCATTTAAATATAATTATTCTATAAACAAATTTTTTTCCTTTTTTTTCCTTTGTTTCTTCTTTCTTGCCTTCTTTTTTCTTTCTCTTCCTCCCCTCTTCTTCCTTCTTCTCTTAAATTCTTCTTTCACCAACTGGCATTGAGAATTTGCCAGTTAAAATATAGTGTTGTGTATCTTCTAGTTCTACGAACATTGTTCATGGTATTTTTATGGGAATTGCATTGAATTTGTAGATTGCTTTTGGCAGTATGGCCATTTTTACAATATTGATTCTACCCATCCATGAGCATGGGATATGTTTCCATTTGTGTCATCGATTATTTCTTTCAGCAGTGTTTTGTACTTTTCCTTGTAGGGTCTCCCACCTCCTTGGTTAAGTACATTCCTAAGTATTTTATGTATTTGCATATTTTTTTGCAGCTATTGTAAAAGGGTTTGGGTTCTAGATTTGGTTCCCAGCTTGGTAGCTGTTGGTGTATAGCAGAGCTACTAATTTGTGTACATTATTTTGTATCCTGAAACTTTGTTGAATTTATTTACCAGTTCTGGGAGATTTCTGGATTAGTCTTTAGGGTTTTCTAGGTATATTATTATGTCATCAGTGAACAGCAACAGTTAGACTTCCTCTTTAATGATTTTGGATGCCCTTTATTTCTTTCTCCTCTCTGATTGCTCTGGCCAGGACTTTCAGTACTACATTGAGTAGAAGTGGTGAAAGTAGGCATCCTTGACTTGTTCCAGTTCTCAGGGAGAATGCTTTGAACTTTTCCCTGTTCAGTATAATGATGTTGGTTGTGGGTTTGTCATAGATGGCCTTTTTTTTCTTTTATTCCAGGGTACATGTGCAGTGCAAGTTTGTTACGTAGGTAAATGTGTGGCATGGCAATTTGCTGCAACTATCAACCTGTCACCTAGGTATTAAGCCCAGCAGGCATTAGCTCTTTTCCCTAATGCTCTTCCCCATCATCCTCTCCCAACAGACCCCATTGTGTCTTGTTCCCCACTCTGTGTCCATGTATTCTCATTGTTCAGCTTCAACTTGTAAGTGAGAATATGTGATGTTTGCTTTTCTATTCTTGTGTTAGTTTGCTACAGATAATGGTCTCCAGTTTCACCCATGTCCCTGCAAATGACTTGATCTCGTTCCTTTTTATGACTGCATAGTATTCCATGGTGTATATGTACCACATTTCCTTTATCCAGTCTATCATTTATGGGCATCGAGGTTGATTCCATGCTTTGCTATTATGAATAGTGCTGTAATGAATATACATGTGCATGTATCTTTATAATAAAATGATTTATATAGCTTTGGGTATATAACCACTAGTGAGATTGCTAGGTCAAATGGTATTTCCACTTCTAAGTCTTTAAGGAATTGCCACACTGTCTTCCACAATGGTTGAACTAATTTACATTCCTACCAACAGTGTAAAAGCATTCCTATTTCTCTGCAACCTCACCAGCATCTATTGTTTCTCAACTTTTTAATAATCACCTTTCTGCCTGGTGTGAGATGGTATCTCATTGTGGTTTTGATTTGTATTTCTCTAACAATCAGTGATGCTGAGCTTTTTTAATATGTTTTTTAGCTGCATGTATCTCTTTTTTGAGAAATGCCTGTTCATATCCTTTGTCCAATTTTTAACGGGGTTATTTTTTCTTGTAAATTTGCTTAAGTTCCTTGTAGATTTTGGATATTAGACCTTTGTCAGATGGATAGATTGCAAAAATTGTCTCCCATTCTGTAGCTTACCTGTATGCTTTGATGACAGTTTCTTTTGCTACACAGAAGCTCTTTAATTAGATCCCATTTGTCAATTTTTGCTTTTGTTGTAATTGCTTTTGGCAATTTCATCATAAAACTTTTGCCCATTCCTATGTCCTGAATGGTTTTGCCTAGATTTTCATCTAGGATTTTTATGGTTTAGGGTTTTACATTTAAGTATTTAATCCATCTTCAGTTAATTTTTATATAAGGTGTAAGCAAAGGATCAGTTTCAATTTTCCTCATGTGGCTAGTCAGTTCTCCCAGCACCAGTTATTGAATAGGAAATCCTTTCCCATTGTTTTTGTCAAGTTTGTTAAAGATCAGATAGTTGTAGGTGTGTGGCCTTGTTTATGGGTTCTCTTTTCTGTTCCATTGGTCTATCTGTCTGTTTTTTACCAGTATCATGCTGTTTTGGTTCCTGTAGCCTTGTAGTATAGTTTGAAGTCGGGTAGCGTGAGGTCTCCAGCTTTGTTCTTTTTGCTTAGGATTGTCCTGGCTATACAAGCTCTTTTTTGGTTCCATGTGAATTTTAAAATCATTTTTTTCTAATTCTGTGGAGAATGTCAATGGTAGTTTAATGGGAATACCACTGAATCTATGAATTGCTTAGAGCAGTATGGCGATTTTCAAGATATTGATTCTTCCTATCCACGAGCATGGAATATTTTTTCACCCACTGTATCCTCTCTGATTTCCTTGAGCAGTGGTTTGTAGTTCTCCTTGAAGAGGTCCTTCACTTCCCCTGTTAGCTCTATTCCTAGGTATTTTATTCTCTTTGTGGCAACTGTGAATGGGAGTTCATTCATGATTTGGCTCTTTGTTTGTCTGTTGTTGGTGTTTAGGAATGCTTGTGATTTCTACATATTGATTTTGTATCCTGAGACTTTGCTGAAGTTATTTATCAGCTTAAGAAGCTTTTGGGTGAGTTCATGAGGTTTTCTAGATATAGGATCATGTCATCTGCAAACAAAGACAATTTGACTTCTTCTCTTCCTATCTGAATACCTTTATTTATTTCTCTTGACTGATTGCCTTAGCCAGAACTTCCAATACTATGTTGAATAAGAGTGGTAAGAGAGGGCATCCCTGTCTTATGCCAGTTTTCAACAGGAATGTTTCCAGGTATTGCCCATTAAGTATGATATTGGCTGTCAGTTTGTAATAAATGGTTCTTATTATTTTGATGTATAGTTCTTCAATACTTTTTTATTGAGAATTTTTAACATGAAAAGATGTTGAATTCCATTGAAGGCCTTTTCTGTGACTATTGACATAATTATGTCTCCCACTATTATTGTGTGGGGGTCTAAGTCTCTTTGTAGGTCTTTAAGAACTTGTTTTATGAATCTGGGTGCTCCTGATTGGGTTCATATATATTTAGACTAGTTAGTTCTTCTTGTTGAATTGAACCCTCTACCATATGTAATGCCCTTCTTTGTCTTTTTTGACCTTTGTTGGTTTATTTTGTCAGAAACTAGGATTGCAGCCCTTGCTTTTTTCTGCTTTCCATTTGCTTCAGAAATTTTTTCCATCACTTTATTTTGAGCCTATGTGTGTCTTTGCATGTGAGATGTGTCTCTTGAATACAGCACACCAATGGGTCTTGGTCTTTTTTATCCAGCTTGCTATTCTGTGTCTTTTAATTGGGGCATTTAGCTCATTTACATTTAAGGTTAATATTGTTATTTGCAAATTTGATCCTGTCATCATGATGTTGTCTGGTTAATTTTGCAGACCTGGTAATGTTGTTGCTTCATAGTGTTGTTGGTCTGTGTACTTAAGTTTGTTTTTGTAGTGGCTGGTAACAGTTTTTCTTTTGCATGCTTAGTGTTTCCTTCAGGAGCTCTTTCTTTCTGACTGCCCTTAACATTTTTTCATTTATTTCGACCTTGGAGAACCTGACGATTATGTGCCTTGGAGTAGATCTCCTCATGGAGTATCTTATTGGGGTTCCCTGAATTTCCTCAATTTAAATGTTGGCCTCTCTTGCTAGGTTGGGGAAGTTCTCCTGGATGATATCCTGAAGTGTGTTTCCCAACTGGGTTCCATTCTCCCCCTCTCTTTCAGGTACTCCAATAAGTTGTAGGCTGGGTCTTTTTACATAGTACCATAGTTCTCAGAGGTTTTGTTCATTGCTTTTCATTCTTTTTTCTCTAATCTTGTCTGCCTGCCTTATTTCAAAAAGATAGTCATCAGGCTCTGATATTGTTTCCTCTGCTTGGTTGATTCAGCTATTGATAGTTGTGTTCACATCATGAAGTTCTCGCGCTGTGTTCTTCAGCTCCATCATGTCATTTATGTTCCTCTCTAAACTGGTTATTCTAGTTAACTTCTCCTATAATCTATTATCATGGTTCTTAGCTTCTTTGCATTGGGTTAGAACATAATCCTTTAGCTCAGTGAAGCTTGTTATTACCCATTTTCTGAAGCCTATTTCTGTTAGTTCATCCATCTCAGCTTCAGCCCGGTTCTGTGTCCTTGCTGGAAAAGCATTGTGATCATTTGGAGGAAGAGAAGCATTCTGGCTTTTGGAATTTTCAGTGTTTTGGCATTGGTTTTTCCTCATCTTTGTGGATTTGTCTACCCTTGATATTTGAGGCCATTGACCTTTGGAGGAGGTTTTTGTGGGATCTTTTATGTTGCTGTTGTTGTTGCTCTGTTTGTTTTTCTTCTGACAGTCAGGCCCCTCTTCTGCAAGTCTCCTGCAGTTTGCTGGGGGTCTACTCCAGACACTGTTCACATGAATATCACCAGTGGATGCTGCAGAACAGCAAAGATTACTGCCTGCTCCTTCCTGTGGAAGCTTCCTCTCAGAGGGGCACCGACATGATGCCAGCTAGAAGTCTCCTGTATGGAGTGTCTGGCGACCCCTGTTGGGAGGTCTCACCCAGTCAGGGGGCACAGGATCGGGGGAAGCAGTCTGACTGTCCTGTAGCAGAGCTTGCGCACTATGCTGGGGGAATACCCCTCATCAGGATCAGTCAGACTCTTTAGAGCCGGCAGGCAGGAAATATTAAGTCCGCTGAACCTGAGACTGCAGCAGCCCCTCCCCTCAGGTGCTCTGTCCCAGGGAAATTAGAGTTCTGACTATAAGGCCTTGGCTGGAGTTGCTGGAATTCCTGCAGGGAGGCCCCGCATGGTGAAGAGGAATGGAGCCGGGTCCCACTTAAAGAGGCAGTCTGGCCACGATTTCCACAGCCACTGTGCTGTGCTGTGGGGAGTACCACCCAGTCTAAACCTCCCAGTCTCCCTAACACTGGCAGGGGTAAACCATTGACTAGAGCGCAGTAATGGCTGTCAGCCCTCCCACCAGGAACTTGGTCATCTTAGGCAGACTCCAGGCTGCTGTGCTAGCCAGCAGGGATTTCAAGCCAGTGGATCTTAGCTTGAGGGGTTCCGTGGGAGTGCAACCCGCTGATCGAGGACGTTTGGTTACCTAGCTTCAGCCCCCTTTCCATGAGAGTGGATGGTTCTTCTGCCTCACTGGATTTCCGGGCGCCACGAATTATATAAACACTCCTGCAGCTCAGTGTCGGCGGGAACAGCAGCCAATGGGAGTATCTGCCATAGGTCTGCCCACTTTTATGCTTGAGACCCAGGGCCCTGGCAGTGTAGGCTCACAAGGGAATCTCCTGATCCGTGGACTGAAAAAATCCATGGGAAAAGCGTAGTACCCCAGGCGGGTAGCACCGTTCCTCACCACCTCCCTTGGCTAGGGGAGGGAGGTCCCTATGCACCATGCAGCTTCTGGGTAAATCAACACCCCACCCTGCTTTTCCTTGCTCTCTGTGAGTATGCCAAGTGCCTAGTCCGTCCCAATGAACTGAACTGGGTATCTCAGTTGGAAATGTAGAAATCACTTGCCTTTTTGCATATGTCTCACTGGGAGCTGCAGACCAGAGCTGTTTCTATTTGGCCATCTTGACCCCTCCTTATAGATGGTTTTTATTACATTAAGATATATCCTTTCTATGTCAATTTTGCTGAGGGCTTTAACCATAAAGGGATGCTGGATTTTGTCAAATGCTTTTTCTGTGTCTATTGAGACGATCATGTAATTTTTGTTTTTAATTCTGTTTATGTGGTGTATCACATTTATTGACTTGTGGATGTTAAACCATCCCTGAATCCCTCATATGAAACCCACTTGATCATGGTGGATTATCTTTTTAATATGCTGTCAGATATCAACTGCATATCAACTGATCTTTGACAAAGCAAACAAAAACACAAAGTTGGGAAAGGGCACCCCAAATGGTGCTGGGATAATTGGCAAGCCACATGTAGAAGACTGAAACTGAATCCTCATCTCTCATCTTATACAAAAATCAATGCAATATGGATAAAAGACTTAAATCTAAGACGTGAAACCATAAAAATTCTAGAAGATAACTTTGGAAAACCCCTTCTAGACATTGGCTTAGGCAAAGACTTCATGACCAAGAACCAAAAAGCAAGTGCAACAAAAACAAAGATAAATAGATAGGACTTAATTAAACTAAAAACTCTTCTGCACAGCAAAAGATATAATTAGCAGAGTAAACAGACAACCCACAGAGTGGGAGAAAATCTTCACAATCTATACTTCCAACAGAGAACTGATATCCAGAATCTACAAGGAACTTAAATCAGCAAGAAAAAAAAAATCTTATCAAAAAGTGGGATAAGAACATGAACAGAAAATTTTCTAAAGAATATATACAAATGGCCAACAAACATGAAAAAATGCTCAACATCACTAATTATCAGGGAAATTCTAATCAAAACCACAATGTGATACCACCTTGCTCCCACAAGAATGGCCATAATCAAAACTCAAAAATAATAGATGTTAGCATTGATGTGGTGAAAAGGGAACCCTTTTACACTGTTGGTAGGAAGGTTGGTAGGAATGTAAACTAGTATAATCACTATGGAAAACAGTGTGGAGATTCCTTAAAGAACTAAAAGTAAATCTACCATTTGATCCAGTAATCCCACTCCTGGGTATCTACCCAGAGGAAAAGAAGTCATTATATGAAAAAGATACTTTCACATTCATGTTTATAGCAGCATCATCATTCGATTGATGGGCATTTGGGCTGGTTCCATATTTTTGCAATTACACACATATATATACACACACACACATACCATGGAATACTACCTGGTCATAAAAAAGAATGCAATAATGGCATTCACAGCAACATGGATGGAACTGGAGACCATTATTGTAACTCACTCAGGAATGGAAAATCAAACATCATATGTTCTCACTTATAAGTGAGAGCTAAACTATGAGGATGCAAAAGAATAAGAATGATGCAATGGACTTTGGGGACTCTGGGGAAAGGGTGGGAGGGGGTGAAGGATAAAAGAATACACATTGGGTACAGTGTATATTGCTCAGGGGATAAGTGCACCAACATCTCAGAAATCACCACCAAGGAACTTATTCATGTAACCAAACACCACCTGTTTGCCAAAAACCTACATAGTATATATCTTAAAATTAGAGACCGCACATGTCTCAGACCTATGTGGAGGCTCACTTAAAGAAGCCAGTTCCAGTCACAAAATTGTAATTATAAAGAAAATGTAATCTTCCTTTTGTCTTGAAGAACATTCAAGGTGCTATATGTCCTAATCCAAGCATGTTTCTTGGAAGGCCTCACCTCACTCCCTAATTCTGCTTCTGCTGGGCCACTCTCACATTAACCCTCAAGCCGTCTTGAAAATTTCCAGCCCTCATAGCTTTCTCTTACCTTGTTATTCTTCCAATGTATCACTTGTTTATTTGTATAGTATTAATTTCGTTAGTTTCCCTAAGTTCTTTTCTTCCTGACTCTTAGGTACTATTCATCTGTTATGCTAAATACACGATACTGAAAGAGAGGGGAAATATTTAAGAACCAGTCTTGCAAAGTTTCTCCTATCCCAAGAAGGAGTAATAGAGGGCTAAGATGGAAAACTCTGTCAGGTTTATAAATCGTACCTGTTTCATGATGATAAAAAGCATTTTACTTTGCACAAAAGACTTTATAAACATATTTTAATGGCTATGCAACATTAATGTAGCAACATTTTTTAATCCTTTCTCTGGTGTTCAATATCTAGGTTTTTTCTAATGTTTCATTATCCTAAATAATGATACAATCACAATTTAGTGCATATAGTTTTTTTCACATTCAACATTTTCCTAGAATAGATCATAGAATTATGGAGTCAGAGAGTATGAATGCCTTTAAGGTATTTGACATATTTTTAAGAGTACTAAAATTTCATAAGACTAGATTCATGTATCCAATAGTATTAAGAGAATAAGGATTCTACTTTATCCTCACTATAATGTTTATGAATTTGGCAGACTTTTCAAACATAATAGGCTTAACAAGTCACATCATTGTTTATTTACATTTGCATTTCTTTGATCACTGATAATTTTGAATATGTCCCGTAAGTTCAAATCTTAGCTGAATTTTCTTGTCAGAAAATTGTTTACAGTACATTACTGACCCAATTATGAATCTTACTGTGAAACCTGTTAAAGACTATTTCATATAGAAACCAGGAAAGGACCCTTTTCATTAAAGATGTATGTATTCTATGTGACTTATTTCCACTCATTTAAGCCTTCCCATCTATTTTTAAGGGACTTGAAAATCACAATATTCATGGGATAATTAGTGAGTTTTCAAATGCATAATAGATTACACAAATTATTATTATTATACTTGGAAGTAATTTATCTTAACTCTCAAAATATCAAGCATTAAAAAATAAGCATCCCTTTTCAATGCTAGTATAATGTCTTCCACTCTAAAAAACATTGAATGGAATCCTCTTATAAAGAGCAGAACTGGGGACTCCAGCTGAAAACAGCAGCAGGCATCTGTCTTCCTTTCCCCTGACAGATACAATAGAATTTCCATAGTTAAGAAAATATTTTTGTCCTAGTTATCAAGCTGAAAAATTATCTAAAATTATCTAAAAGTAAATGTGTAACACCGTCATACAAAAAGTAAAATTTTAATTTAGAATACAAAAATTGAAATATTTTAAGATATTAAAGATAAAAACACAGGTATTAACACTTTCTTATTTTATTTTATTTTATTTTATTTTATTTTATTTTATTTATTTTTATTTTTATTTTTTTGAGATGGAGTCTTGCTCTGTCGCCCAGGCTGGAGTGCAGTGGCGCAATCTCAGCTCACTGCAGGCTCTGCCTTCTGGGTTCACGCCATTCTCCTGCCTCAGCCTCCCAAGTAGCTCGGACTACAGGCGCCTGCCACCATGCCTGGCTAATTTTTTGTATTTTTAGTAGAGACGGGGTTTCACCGTGTTAGGCAGGATGGTCTCGATCTCCTGACCTTTTGATCCGCCCATCTCGGCCTCCCAAAGTGCTGAGATTACAGGTGTGAACCACCGTGCCCAGCCTTATGTAACACTTTCTTACAATACATGGTCAGTATCTAATATCCACCTGTGGGTAAGGAAAGTGGAGAAAATAAAAGAAAAAGAAAACCAAGGTTTGTGGTTTGCCTACCACATGCCAAAGTTTGAGAATCATTTAAGAAGTTACTTAAAATCTTCACTGGCTTACACATATTTTGGCATTATTTTACTAGACAGATAATACACACACACACAACACATGCATGTACATCTTAGCATTTATTCTTTATATAAGCCTATGCATGCCCTCATATTATAAATGAGAAAACTGAGATATCAAGATTCAGTTACTGGCTTGGGTCAAACAACAGGCAATAGACAAAGCTGTAGTTTGAACAGTCATAGTGTGACTTCAGAGACTTATATCTTAATTTGTATACCAGCACTCAAATCATATTCCATAAGAATATTTCCAATAACACTTTTTCTTTACTTACTTAGAAGATGAAGTATTCATAGGCAGAAATCCAATAAATCTCTTACCTGGCTAATGCTACAATGAACACTATTTATTGCTGTTTCAATAAGCTCTTTTCTTTAATAGTCTGGCGTCTTAGAACCTGCATCTGTCTAAGTAAAGGCCCATCTCACTCCTATCATTTTCAATATTACATGCAGTGCTTCCATGATGTAATTTTATTTCTGCTTCTACATATCTTTTGAATTGGCTCTCCCCAGGGGAATGAATGATTTCCTAGTTATTAATTCCTATTATAATTTTAGTTCTCATCATAGCTGGCCATGTTATGGAACTTTGACAACTCCCAAACCATCTAAGTTATTTCCTTCTTTCCATGATGTTTTTCTTTTCTCGGTTTTCATTTTTGCCTTCTGATTGCACTTCCTTAGTTTCCTTTATTTTGTGCTTTTTCTGCCCATTCCTTCAACATGAGAGTTCTCAATCATTGCACTCTGTTTTGTACTGCAAATATTGTCTCCAAAAAAATTTCATCTAATATTAAAGGTTATAACATGAATGTACATGCTGACATATAAAAAATCTGCATAAGAAGCTCTATCTCTCCCTTGAGTCATCTAGTGAACTACTTACTGTACATCACTCTAAAAATTTATATTTAATTATGTCTAAAATAATTCATTATCTGATCTCAAGAAAACCTCCTGTATTCCCTATCCTAGAACCTGACATGACCTACACTCAGTGACTCAAGCATAGAATCTAATTTTTATCCTCAGGATCTCCTGTCTCTCACCTTCACACCCAACCAAGCAACACATCCTACATGTGTGGAATGTTACCATAACTTCCTAACTGGTCTCGTGGAGTACTTATTACCATTAAAATCCATTCTCCAAACCTCCTTTAGAGCAAATCTTTCTGAAACAAAAACTGACCAAACCACTTCCTTGTTGAAAACAGTTGCTGGCTTCCTGTTACATATAAGATAGAGCCCAAGCTTAGCAAACAAAAACCTATATGAGCTGGTGTTTGACTACCTCTCTAATTTAATGACCTCTTTGTTCTGTGCCCCAAGATGCTAATTCACTTGTGGTTACATGTTCACTTTTTACTGTGTAAATTGACAATCTGCTCACGATGGCTTTTAAATTTGTGCCTATAAAGAAAATGCCTACTAATATTAAAATATATATTTCCTCCTTCTCTGGGTGGTATGCACTTCTTTTTAGTACTTCTGTGTTGAGCATTATGGTATTGGCACGCTATATAGTTTAGTGATTGTGGTTAATAGTTCATATTTCTGTTACTTTCACTACTTCATAAGGCAGTAACACATAGCACAATGTCTAGCACAGAGCAATGTTCAGCAAATGGTTTCTAAGCCTCACTTAAATGTCGTCAATTCCTTAAATATGAAACAAAAGAAATACGTTGCTTTCTGATGCTATAAAATTCCATTGTCAGTCAAATCAATAAAAAATATTACTCAAGTAAATTAATGGGCATGATAAAGCAGTCACTTCATATCCAGGTATGTTTAACTATTCAATTGGTTTGTCATGATAAAAACATGATTTTATTTTAGTTGGAAAAAAACTGTCATTTTAGAGGAGAAAACTCATATTCTCTCAATTGTTTGACATTTTCTAGTTATTTTGGTGAAGTTTAAATAGACCTTGAATGGCATGGTTTGTCCTACTTTCTTACCCATGCAGGAAAGATACACTGAACAACTGGCATACTTGATTATCTTATGTTCCAAGGCAATTATTTAAGACCTGTGGCTGTCACTGTCATAGCAAACTTCCTCTGTTTACCCAGAGGAAACACAGTGACATTCATCAACATGTTGCAAGGTAGTTTTAGCTTGAAAGTATCATGTTTAAACATTTAAATACATAATATTTAATTTTTTGTTTGATTAAAATATTTTATACCTAATACTTTGTCTTCAACTTAGACAACTAATTGCTTTTGAAAAATTACACCATTCAATTTCACATTTCTCTATATGGTAAATGCTGATAAGTAACTTTCATTTATCAACAATATTGAATACAACATGAGTTATGTTTCAAGACATAATGCTCTGGGTGGCAGTTGTCTTTGATGATGCTCAAATTAAGTGTAGAATGTACACTACAAAAAGTGGAAGTAAAAATACAAAAATTGAGAATTTAATAAAAATATGAAAATATATTTAAGTATGTCACATAAAATTGTGATATGTATGAAAATAAAATAATTGTGACTTATTTGAATGACCATCATTAACCTTTTAAAAAATAGTTATTTTATTTTCTTTTAAGCTAATACTATACTCTCAACATTAATTTTTTTGCAATCTAATCCTCTGACCAGATTTTTAACAGTTAAAAAAAAAAGGTTAATAAAATGGATTCCAAAAAAAAAATTGTGAAGGGATAGTTTGGAAGCCTTATCTGATGATGTATTAAGAGCACTCTTTTCTTTCTTTCCTTTTTTTTTCTTTTTTTTTTTTGAGAAAGGGTCTCACTCTGCCACTGAAGCTGGAGTGCAGTGGCAGGATCACCGCTCACTATATCACTGTAGCCTGAACCTTCTGGGCTCAAGCAATCCTCCTGCCTTAGCATCCCATGTAGCTGGGACCATAGGCGTGTGCCACCATGCCTGACTAATTTTTGTTGGGTTTTTTTGTTTTTTGTTTTTTGTTTTTGGTAGAGATAGGATTTCACCATGTTGCCCAGGTTGGTCTCAAATTCCTGTGCTCAAGTGATACGTCCACCTCTGCCTCCCAAAGTGCTGGGATAAGAGCAATCTTAAACTACACACAGCCGTTCGACTTTGCTTTTGTTAAGGCTTTAGTCATCTCATCCCTGGCCCATTACAGTAAACTTCTCTAATTTCCTAACACTAGTCTCTCCCAAAGTCAGCTCAGAACTGGACACCACCAGAGTAGAGATCTACAAAGCAAACATGTCACATTCTTCCTGTTTAAAACTCTTGGATGTTTTCTATTGCCAACTGAAAAACACAGTAATTCCTTCTCATAAAAACTACAGATATTCAAATACATTCCCAGTTTGCGTTTCCAACCTAACCTTTGTCCTACCTCATTCTTTAATAAAAATACTGAGGCTTCTACACATTAACTTTTCTTGGCCTTTATCAATTATAGTAAATTATTTTAAAGGGTATTATTCAGCCTCTTTCAAAGGAAAAATTCCTATTCATCCTTTAAGACTCATCTGAAATAGCAGCTCTTTAGTGAAGCATTTGACAACATTTCCAGGCAAATCATTTACTGCTTTCATGTGTTCCCACAACCCTTTTGTCAACTATTAGAGTTGTTTCCTTCTTATACTATAATTACTTGTCTGTTGTCTCTTATACTGTAGGTTACTCAAATGTAGAAACTATATTTCTTCTTTCTGCACTTCTCGTCCCAAAGGAATGGAAGATACTCAGAAAGTTTCTTGAATAAATATGTGTGTAGGTATTATGTATGTATATAAATGTAAGATATGTGTGTGTATAAATATATACATATATATTTCCCAGAAGTAAACATGATACATGCAAAACACAATAGTCCAATACAGTTTTATTAGCACAAGGAACATTTACCAAGGTATGATTGTAGGATAACCACAATGGATGGTGCAATAACCACAGGTAGCGACCAAGCTCTTATCAACCTAGATTCCACAGGACAAGAAGAAGGAATGGTTACTGAAAACAAGAAGGGCATAGAATCATGTAGAGTTACATGCCTTGGGAGGAGCAGTGACTTTCAATTAAGAGACAGAGCCCGTTGGAACCTTCTTCAAGGAAGAAAACTAGAAAATACATATCCTGACTCTATTCTACTACTTCTCTTCAGTCTTTTATTGGTAATCCTTATTGGTAGACATCAGTTGGAAGCCTAGGGGTCTGGGAGCCCCTTGATGTAATCAAAACATATTAGGACTCCAAAGATTATCAGCACAGAGAAGGATGAGGAGTAGGTCTTGAGAGACAAATGAAGAACATCCAACATTACTTATTCATAGCATTGTATGTTACATATAACACCATCTTCAGGGATGACCCAATAAGTAACTATATTATCCTTCATTACTACCCACATTCTAAATAAATTGAGAGATGAAATTTATCATTTATTTAAAAAATTAGAAAATCTATCTAAACACTATCCTTGTTCTTGCTGGAGGAGGTCAGATTGAGGGACATAACTTTAAGCCTATTTTCCAAGAAAATTTGCAAATACTGAGTCTTAAATCTGAAGGACTCAGTTATCTATTCATTAAAATCTAAACTGGACAGTTCTGTTGAATGCATATGTGGTAGAGCAGGATCCATGCTCCCTTCAGGCAAATTGGCCCCAAAAGAAAGGACAGAATAGAGAAAAATAATTCAGTTATTCTTCCCAAATTTACAAATCAGGTGTAGTTAAATATTAAATGGAAAAATATGTAAAATGCAAATTCATATATAACAGGTATGATGATTCTCTTTCTTCCTAATTCCAGATGTCCAGCTATCAATTGGAAGAAATGAAACTTCTTAACTTTAGAAGAAGAAAGGAGGTTGCAGAGGAGAAGGTGAGGCATTGCAGTGAAATGTAGCCAACTCTATCTCAGGAGGCTAGGACCTGGAGTGTACATCCTCTGCCACCAATATTAATTCTCCTGACATAATCTGCCTGTATAATGCCACTGAAATTGGCAGCAACAAACTAGAAGGTTTTGGGAATTGCTGCCTCTGTTTTAGAATTCCCTGCCAAACTTAAAAGCTAAAATATTAACCACAAAATATTTCATATGGATCAGATAACAATCAATAGGTGTTATCAAATGTAGTCAGGATTTGGATTGATTTAAAATATAAATTCAGGCCATCAGAACTCTAGCCAGTCCACCCTGGTATTTCATTAACCTCTCAACACAACAACCTCATATTGCACATTACTGAAATTTTCAGACCCTGCATATGGAATTATGGGAATAATAAAGGAAAAGAGAGAGGCACTTAAAGAAAATCAAGAGCAGAAAAAATACATTTGCCTTCTAATGATATACTTATCTACTTAATAGTCAAGTAACATTTTTCTGTGTTATGTTAGATTATATTAAATGTTTAGAAGGAGAACCTCTAGTTTTTGAACACTGAATAGTTGTAACCCTGATAATATATGTTAAATTAATTTTTGCTCATCTTCTTAAACTACATTTATATTAAAATGCATTATGTGTGTGATTTAATATTTCTAAAAACTCACAGGTTTTCAGATCTACAAGTTGAGCATACCAATCCGAAAATCAGAAATGCTCCAAAATTCAAAAGTTTTCAGCACCGACATGATACTACAAATGGGAAACTTCATACCTGACCACATGTGGTGGCTCACAGTCAAAACACAGATGCACAATGCACAGTTTATTCAGTATCCCCAAAGGAAAAAAGACCCACCCATCACACTGCAGCTGTGATACATCTTTTCCATGTACAGACAGATTCTCAGTCCCAAGTAGCCCCACAAAGGGTCATAAAATGGCACATGTGCAGGACAGACACACTAACAGCAGGTTCCCCACTATGCTCTACAGGAGGCCAAGACCTACATGCATTACTCACTGTGTTTTCTGTTGGTTTATTTGGTGTATTTTTTGTTCTGTGGTGTAAAGATATTGTTGAAAACATCAAAAAGACCAGCAGGTAGCCCTATGTGTGACAGTAATAAGACAAAGAGGAAGCATTTCTGTTTACCTATAGCACAGAAAGTCAAGCTGTTGGAGAAAATGGACAGTGTGTGTAAAATGTCTTACAGAAGAGTATGGTGTTGGAATGACCATTACTATGGCCTGAAGAAAGAGAAAAATAAACTGTTAAAGTTCCGTGCTGAAAGTGATGAATAAATGTTAATGAAAAAATAGAAAAACACTGCATAAAGTGAAAAATAAAAATCCCCATCATGTACTAAAAGGGTAGATTCATTAATATCACAGTGAACATGTTCCACTTCAAGTAGGATAAAGAACAAGACCCAACTGTATGCCATCTTCAAATGACCCATCTCACATGCAATGGCACTCATAGGCTCGAACTAAAGGAGTGGAGAAAGATCTATCAGGCAAATGGAAAACAAAAAAAAGAGGAAGATTGCTATTCTTATTTCACACAAAACAGACTTTAAACCAACAAGGATGGAAAAGGAAAAGAAAGGCATTCCATAATAGTAAAGGGCTCTATTCAACAAAAAGACTTAACAATCCTAAATATATATGCCGTCAACGTTGGAGCACCAAGCTTCATAAAACAACATCTTAGAGACCTATGAGGAGACTTAGATAACCACACAGTAATAGTGGGAGACTTCAACAGCCCGCTGACAGTGTTAGACAGGCCTTGAAGGCAGAAAACTAACAAAGACATTCAAGACCTAAACTAAGCGCTTGGCCAAATGGACCTCACAGGCATCTACAGAATACTCCACCCAACAACAACACAATGTACTTTCTTCTCATTTGCACATGGCACATATTCCAAGATCAACAATATGCTCACACACAAGGCAATTCTCAACAAATTCCAAAAAACTGAAATCATACCAACCGCACTCTAGGAATGCAGCATAATAAAAATAGTAATCAATACCAAAAGATCTCTCAAAACCATACAATTACAAGGAAATTAAACAACCTGCTCCTGAATGGCTTTGGAGCCACAGAATGAAATTAATGCAGAAATAAAAAAATTCTTAGCTAATGAAAACAAAGATACAACATATCAGAATCTCTGGGACACAGCTAAAACAGTGTTCAGAGGAAAGTTTATAGTGCTAAGTGCCTACATCAACAAGTTAGAAAGATCTCAGATTAACTACCTAACATCACAACTAGAAGAAGTAGAAAAGCAAGAGCAAATCAACCCCAAAGCAAGTAGAAAAAGAAATAAAATCAGAGATGAACTGAATGAAATTTTGGTTCAGAAATCTATACAAAAGATTGATGAAACCAAAAGTTAGTTGTTCTAAAGTAAAAAACAAGATCGATAGACCACTAGCTAGATTAATAAAGAAAAAAGGAGAGAAGATCTAAATGAACACAATCAAAAATGGCAAAGGTGGCATTACTACTGACCCCACAGAAATTTAAAAAAAAATCAGAGACTATTATGAACACCTCTATGCATACAAACTAGAACACCTAGAAAAAATGCATAAGCTCCTGGAAATATAATCTTCCAAGATTGAACAATTAAGAAATAGAAATCCCGAAAAGACCAATAATGAGTTTCAAAATTGAATCAGAAAAAAAAAAAAACTACCAACCAGAAAAATTCCTGGACCAGACAGATTCAAAGCTGTATTCTGCCAGATGTGCAAAGAATTGACATCAATTCTTCTGAAATTATTCCCCAAAATTTAGGGGAAGTGACTTATCCCTAACTCATTCTACAAGGACAACATAATTCAGATAAGAAAACCTGACAGAGACACAATGAAAACAGAAAATTTCAGGCCAATATCTCTGAAGAATATAGATGCAAAAATCCTCAACAGAATACTAGCAAACTGAATCCAGCAGCACATTTACAATTAAGTAGGCCTTATTCCTGGGATCAAAGATTGTTCAACATATGCAAATCAATAAATGTGATTTATCACATAAAGAGAACTGAAAAACTACATTATAATCTCAATAGATGCAGCAAAGGCTTTCAATAAAATTCAACATCCCTTCAGATAAAAAATCCTCAGTAAACTATGAATTTAAGAAACATATCTCAAAAATAATAAGAGCCATCTATGACAAACCCACAGCCAACATCATACTTACTGGACTACTGGGAGCATTACCATTGAGAACAAGAACAAGGCAAGAATGCATACTCTCACCACTCCCACTCAGCATAGTACTGTAAATTCTAGTCAAAGCAATCAGGCAAGAGAAAGAAATAAAAACATCCAAATAGGAAAATAAGTCAAACTATCTATCTTCACAGACAAAACCATTATATTCCTAGAAAACCCCAAAATCTCTTCTCAAAGCCTCTTAGATCTCATAAACAACTTCAGTAAAGCCTCAGGATACAAAATAATTGTACCAAAATTAGTAGCATTTCTGTACGCTAATAACATCTCAGCTGAAAGCCAAATCAAGAACACAATCCCATTCACAAGGGCCAAAAAAAGAATAAAACACCTAGAAATACACTTAACCAGGGCGGTGAAAAATCTCTACAAAGAGAATTTAAAAATGTTCCGCAAAGAAATGAGATGACACAAACAAATGGAAAAACATTCCAGGCTCACAGAGAGAAATAATCAGTATCATTAAAATGGCCTTACTCCCCAAAACAGTTTACAGATTCATTGCTAGTCCTATCAAGCTATCAGTGTCATTTTTACAACGTTAGAAAAAACTATTCCAAAATTCATATGTAACCAAAAAAGAACATAAAGAGCCAAAGCAATTCTAAGCAAAAAGAACAAAGCCATAGACATCACACTACCACCTTCAAACTCTATTACAAGGTTACAGTAACCAAACAGCATGGTACTGGTACAAAAACAGGTCAATGAAAGTGATCAGAGAACTCAGATATAAAGCTACACACGTACAACTATCTGATCATCAACAAAATTGGCAACAACAAGCAATGAGGAAAGGTGTCCCTTTTCAAGAAATGAAACTGGGATAACTGGCTACCCGTATACAGAAAATTAAAACTGGATCCCTTCCTTTCACCATATATAAAAATCAAGTCAAAATTGATTAAAGACTGAAATGTAAGACCTAAAAGTATAAACGTCTTAGATGAAAACCTAGGAAATATCATTTTGTACATAGGCCTTGGCAAAGATTTTATGACAGAGCCTGCAAAAGCAATTGCAACCAAAACAAAAGTTAATAAGTGGGACAAAATTAAACTAAAGAGCTTCTGCACAGCAAAATAAACTACAAACAGAGAAAATAGATGACCTACAGAATGAGAGAAATATATACAAACTATGCATCTGAAAAAGGTCCAATGTTCAGAATCTATAAGGAGCTTAAATCAACAAGCAAAAAAAGCCTCTGTTAAAAAGTGGGCAAAGACTTTTTTTAAGACACCTCACAAAGGGAGACATACACACAGCCAACAAGCATACAAGCATATGATAAAATGCTCAACATCACTAATCATTAGAGAAATGTAAATCAAGACTACAATGAGATACCATTTCACACCAGTCAGAAAGGCTATTATTAAAATGTCAAAAAAAAAAAAAACCAGATATTGGTGAGGCGTGGAGAAAAGAGAATCCTTATGTACTGTTGGTAGGAATTTAAATTAGTTCAGCCACTATGGAAAGCAGTTTGGAGATTTCTGAAAGGACTTAAAAAAGAATTACCATTTGACCTAGCAATCCCTTCACTTGGTACATAACCAAAGGCATATAAAATCATTCTACCAAAAAGACACATGCACCTGTATGCTCATTGCAGCACTGTTCACAATGGCAAAGACATGGAATCAACCAGGTGCACATCAATGGTGCACTGGATAAAGAAATCATGGTAGACACCATAGAATACTACATAGCCATAAAAAAGAATGAAACATGTCTTTTGCAGCAATATGGATGCAGCTGTAGGCCATCATCTTAAGCAGATTAACACAGGAACAGAAAACCAAACACCGCATGTTGTCACTTATAAGTGGGAGCTAAACATTGAGTACACATGGACACAAAGAAAGGAACAATAGACACCGGGGCCTAATTGAGGGTGGAGGGTGGGAGCAGACTGAGTATCAGAAAACTACCTATCAGCTACTATGCTCACTATCTGGATGATGAAATTACTTTTACTCCAAACACCAATGACACACTATTTACCCATGTAACAAACCTACACATGTACCCTCTGAACCTAAAAATAAAAGTTAAGAAAAGAAAAACTAATGAAGATTTAATAAAACAAACCACAAGCCATTTAATGATATGCTGATCATGAAACAAGGAAATATCAATCATGATGAACAGAAAACTGAAGGGAACTGTGAATATTCAACAGACTGGTCACAGAAATTTAAGAAAAGATAGAGAATTAAATGTTTAAAAATTTGTCTTGATAAAACATTTGCTGATCACAAAGCAGTGGATAAGTTCATTGATGAGTTTGTCATGGTCATCTCTGATGAAAACCTGATGCCAGAACAAGCTTATAATAGCAAATAAATATCACTGTTTTGCTGTTATTGACTCTGAAAGACACTGACTACAGAAAAACGACAGCCCCTATGGGAATTAAGAATGCCAAGGATGGAATAACTATGCTGGGTTGTGCTAATGCAGCCGGAAGATAAGTATAAACTTGCTGTGATAGGCAAAAATTTGTGTCCTTGCTTTTATCAAGGTGTGAATTTCTTACCAGTTCATTATTTTTTTAAATTATACTTTAAGTTCTAGGGTACATGTGCACAACGTGCAGGTTTGTTACATAGGTATACATGTGCCATGTTGGCTTGCTGCACCCATCAACTCGACATTTACATTAGGTATTTCTCCTAATGCTATCCCTCCCCCAGACCCCCACTCCCCTGACAGGCATGTGTGATGTTCCCTGCAATGTGTCCATGTGTTCTCATTGTTCAATTCCCACCTGTAAGTGAGAACATGCAATGTTTGGTTTTCTGTCCTTGTGATAGTTTGCTGAGAATGATGGTTTCCAGCATCATCCATGTCCCTGCAAAGGACATGAACTCATCCTTTTTTATGACTGCAGAGTATTGCATGGTGTATATGTGCCACATTTTCTTTATCCAGTCTATCATTGATGGACATTTGGGTTGGTTCCAAGTCTTTGCTATTGTGAATAGTGCCACAATAAACATACATGTGCATGTATCTTTATAGTAGCATGATTTATAATCCTTTGGATTTATACCCAGTAATGGGTTGGCTCGGTCAAATGGTATTTCTAGTTCTAGATCCTTGAGGAATCACTACACTGTCTTCCACAATGGTTGAACTAGTTTACACTCCCACCAACAGTGTAAAAGTGTTCCTATTTCTCCACATCCTCTCCAGCATCTGTTGTTTCCTGACTTTTCAATGATTGCCATTCTAACTGGCGTGAGATGCTATCTCATTGTGGTTCTTATTTGCATTTCTCTGATGACCAGTGATGATGAGCATTTTTTCATGTGTCTGTTGGCTGCATAAATGTCCTCTCTTGAGAAGTGTCTGTTCATATCCTTTGCCCACTTTTTGATGGGGTTGTTTTTTTCTTGTAAATTTGTTTAAGCTCTTTGTAGATTCTGGATATTAGCCCGTTGTCAGATGGGTAGATTGCAAAACTTTTCTCCCATTCTGTAGGTTGCCTGTTCACTCTGATGATAGTTTCTTTTGCTGTGCAGAAGCCCTTTAGTTTAATTAGATCCCATTTATCTATTTTGGCTTTTGTTGCCATTGCTTTTGGTGTTTTAGTCATGAAGTCTTTGCCCATGCCTATGTCCTGAATGGTATTGCCTAGGTTTTCTTCTAGGGTTTTTATGGTGTTATGTCTTACGTTTATGTCTTTAATCCATCATGAGTTAATTTTTGTATACAGTGTAAGGAAGGGATCCAGTTTCAGCTTTCTACATATGACTAGCCACTTTTCCCAGCACCATTTATTAAACAGGGAATCCCTTCCTCATTTCTTGTTTTTGTCAGGCTTGCCAATGATCAGATGGTTGTAGATGTGTGTTGTTATTTCTGAGGCTTCTGTTCTGTTCCACTGGTCTATATATCTGTTTTGGTACCGGTACCATGCTGTTTTGGTTACTGTAGCCTTGTAGTATAGTTTGAAGTCACGAAGCATGACAACTCTGGCTTTGTTCTTTTTGCTTAGGATTGTCTTGGCTATGCGGGCTTTTTTTTTTTTTGTTTCCATATGTACTTTAGAGTAGTTTTTTCCAATTCTATGAAGAAAGACATTGGTGGTTTGATGAGGATGGCACTGAATCTATAAATTACCTTGGGCAGTACGGCCATTTTCATCATATTGATTCTTCCTATCCATGAGGATGGAATGTTCTTCCATTTGTTTGTGTCCTCTTTTATTTCATTGAGAAGTGGTTTATAGTTCTCCTTGAAAAGATTCTTCAAATCCCTTGTAAGATGAATTTCTAGATATGTTATTCTCTTTGTAGCAATTGTGAATGGGAGTTCACTCATGATTTGGCTCTCTGTTTGTCTGTTATTGGTGTATATGAATGCTTGTGATTTTTGTACATTGATTTTGTATCCTGAGACTTTGCTGAAGTTGCTTGTCAGCTTAAGGAGATTTGGGGCTGAGACGATGGGGTTTTCTAGATATACAATCATGTCATCTGCAAACAGGGACAATTTGACTTCCTCTTTTCCTATTTGAACACCCTTTATTTCTTTATTTTGCCTGATTTCCTTGGCCAGAACTTCCGACACTATGTTGAATAGGAGTGGTGAGAGAGGGCAGCCTTTCCTTGAGCCAGTTTTCAAAGGGAATGCTTCCAGTTTTGGCCCATTCAGTATGATATTGGCTGTGGGTTTGTCATAAATAGCTCTTATTATTTTGAGATATGTTCCATCAATACCTAGTTTATTGAGAGTTTTTAGCATGAAGTGCTATTGAATTTTGTCAAAGGCCTTTTCTGCATCTATTGAGATAATCATGTGGTTTTTGTCATTGGTTATGTTTATGTGATGGATTACACTTGTTGATTTGTGTGTGTTGAACCAGCCTTGCATCCCAGGGATGAAGCTGACTTGATCATGGTGGATAAGGTTTTTGATGTGCTGCTGAATTCAGTTGGCCAGTATTTTGTTGAGGATTTTCGCATTGATGTTCATCAGGGATATTGGTCTAAAATTCTATTTTTTTTTTTGTGTCTCTGCCAGGCTTTGGTAGCAGGATGATGCTGGCCTCATAAAATGAGTTAGGGAGTATTCCCTCTTTTGCTATTGATTGGAATACTTTCAGAAGGAATGGTACCAGCTCCTACAAAGGGATTTAGATTCCCACACAATAATAATGTCAGGGAAGACTTTAACACCCCACTGTCAATATTAGACAGATCAACGAGACAGAAGGTTAACAACGATATACAGGATTTGAACTCAGCTCTGGACCAAGTGGACCTAATAGACATCTACAGAACTCTCCACCCCAAATCAACAGAATATACATTCTTCTCAGCACCACATCGCACTTATTCTAAAATTGACCACATAATTGGAAGTAAAACACTCCTCAGCAAATGTAAAAGAACAGAAATTACAACAAACTGTCTCTCAGACCACAGTGCAATCAAATTAGAACACAGGATTAAGAAACTCACTCAAAACCACACAACTACCTGGAAACTGAACAACCTGCTCCTGAATGACTAGTGGGTAAATAACGAAATGAAGGCAGAAATAAAGTTGTTCTTTGAAACCAATGAGAACAAAGACACAACATACCAGAATCTCTGGGACACTTTTAAAGTAGTGTGTAGAAGGAAATTTATAGCACTAAATGCCCACAAGAGAAAGCAGGAAAGATCTAAAATCGACACCCTAATATTGCAATTAAAAGGACTAGAGAAGCAAGAGCAAACAAATTCAAAAGCTAGCAGAAGGGAAGAAATAAGATCAGAGCAGAACTGAAGGAGATAGAGACCCAAAAAATCCTTCAAAAAATCAGTGAATCTAGGAGCTGGTTTTTTGAAAAGATCAACAAAATAGATAGACCACTAGCAAGACTAATAAAGAAGAAAAGAGAGAAGAATCTAATAAACACAATAAAAAATGATTAAGGTGATATCACCACCGATCCCACAGAAATACAAACTACCATCAGAGAATACTATAAACACCTCTATGCAAATAAACTAGAAAATCTAGAAGAAATAGATAAATTCCTGGACACATACACCCTCCCAAGACTAAACCGGGAAGAAGTTGAATCTCTGAATAGACCAATAACAGGTTCTGAAATTGAGACTATAATTAATAGCCTACCAACCAAAAAATGTCCAGGACCAGAGAGACTCACAGCCAAATTCTACCAGAGGTACCAGTTCATTATTATACTAACAAAAAGGCATGGATCACCAGGGAGATCTTTTCTGATTGGTTTCACAAACATTTTGTACCAGTAGTTTGCCCTCACTGCAGAAATACTAGACTGGATGGCAGCAGTGTGATTGTCTACATGTGTGGCCTAGATAATGAAACTTTTGCCTTCTGATGAATTCATGTATATAAACTTGGTTTCATGCACTATATTATTTAAAACATTGTACAAAATTACTTTCAGTCTATGTGTATGATATGGTTTGGATGTGTGTTCCCATCCAAATCTCATGTTGAATTGTAATCCCTAATATTGGAAGTGGGGCCTGGTGGGAGGTGATTGGATCATGGGGGAAGGTTTCCCCCTTTGGTGCTGTTCTCATAATAGAGTTTTCAGGAGATCTGGTTGTTTAAAGGTATGTGGCACCTCCCCCACCCACTTTCTTCCTCCTGCTCTGGTCATGTGAGACGTGCCTGCTTTTTTGTCACCTCCTGCCATGACTAAAATTTTTCTGAGGCCTCCTCAGAAGCATCATGCTTCCTGTACAGCCTGCCGAACCATGAACCAACTAAACCTACTTTCTTTATAAATTACCCAGTCTCAGGTATTTTTTATAGTAATGAGAGAAGAGACTAATACAGTGTATAAGATGCATATAAATAATGAATAAATAAATTTTGTGTTTAGACTTGGGTCTCCTCCCCAAGATATGTTATTACATATATGTAAATATTCCAAAATCCAAAGAAACCCAAAAGCTGAAACACGTTTGGTCTCAAACATTTTGGAAAAGGATTACAACCTATATTCTAATTGTAATGGCATCTCAGAGGAAAAAAATACAACTCTTTCATCAATTATCTCTTAGATTTTCAGACTTTAAAAATTTAAATAACATCAGTAAAATCCGATGTAATTTTAAAAATGGATATTATTGGGTGTCTGCCTGAGACTGTACCTGAAATTCCAAAACTGTGAATTGTTTACTGCATCCTCAGAAGATTATTTCTTTCCCTGGAAATATTTTTTGATTAATCCTTTTAGTTAAACACCAAGCAAAGTTCTTTTCTGAAATGGAAATACCTGAGACAATTTCAATCTAATCATGTGGGTTGGATCTGTAATGGGTTGCCAGACCTGATTATTGGTTGATCATTTCCCTTAAAGAAATGTTTCTTTATTACACATATTTTCACTTACCTATCCCTGCCTATTATCGCATGTTCCTGCAGAATTAAATGCTGTCTGTTTAAAGAGTTGCTCAAGGTTGAGTATAGAGATGGGTAACGTGGCAGCAGACATGTATAGGTCTTCCCTTTCCTTCCCTTTCCCTTGTACTGCAAGAGAGACTGTGCCAACTAAGGGGAGTAACCTTGGTACAGCATGACTTTCTCTGGATTTCAATGGCCTTCACATGCTATAATGAGAGAAAATGCATAACCCAGACTTTAAGAATCATACTGTGTTCAATCTAGACTTGATAAGGTGCCAAATAACAAAAGCAGATATTAGTAGATTGGTAAGGTTTCCCTGGAAAAAATGAATATTCTGATAGTCTCTCAGCAGATCCACATACAGTAATATACATTGTAAATTTTACATCACTTCTGTTATTCTGAACATTCAGTAGAGTCAAGTTGCAGTTAGAGTTCGGGCTTTGTGTTTTTGTGTGAAATTACAAATCAATCTCTCCTGAGTTTCTGATTGCTAAGCAAAAAAAAAAAAAAAAATAGAGCTGGGTCCCCTTCCTTAAAGCTAGAGTGGTAGTGACAAGAGCAGTCATTAGCGAAGACAGCTGTACCCATCAGAGTGGTGGCACCACCACAGCCAACCTCAGCGGAGCCAGCACAGTGGCAGCATGTCTGGGGGCTGCAGCAGAATCATGTAGGAGGCTTATTTCTGGGCACTCATGTGACAACTATCTGTGAAGCTCTTAGAAATAGCTAGAGGACATGTTGAGAGATGCTAATTTCTGTCATTCAAGTACATAGGGAGGATGCCTTTGTAATTTGGATATTTTGAGTTACTTATGGTGTGTGGTACTCAAGTTGGTCAGGCTGGAGAACATTTGTGTTACATAAGCCTTATTTGTTA